>NC_000016.10:72744318-73047348 GCF_000001405.40 Homo sapiens | reverse complement strand
TTAAAGGGAGAATCAGAGTTTTGGAGCTGGAGGGCACCTTTGGAGATCATCTTGTCCACCCTCTAATTTTAGTTTTTTCGCACTCTTGGAAAAGTCAGAGCATTTATTTCCTTGGGCAGGGGCGGGGTGGGGAGCTGATGCAAAGGAGAGAGTCAAGATTTTTATCCTGTTAGGAGGAGGAATGCCTATGTTTAGGTCAGTAGCAGAAAAACAATAACAACAAAAAGAAGCATTGTAGGCTTGGAGGGAAACGAACCTTCTGGAAAATGTTCTTTTCTGCCTTGGACACACCTGTGTTATGATAGGAAAAGGCCTGGAGGGCAAAGACTGCAGCTCACGCATGGTGTGTGCTAAGAGGGAATTGCGTGGCACAGTGGTACCTCCTGTGTTAAACTGGCTTAAGTGAAAGCCGTGAGCAGGTGAATCCAGGAGGGTCATCCCTCCCCCCACCCTCTGTGTCATTTAACAGTCCTTGAAGACTCCCTAAAGCCACTGACAGAAAACCCCAGAGAGAACAGATGGCTCTGCCTGGGCACAGAAGGAAGGCCTCTCCTTCATACTGGGTCCTGCTTGTCAGAATGCACCAGGGCAAAGCCTTGAAGGTAGATTGTGAGAAAGTTACACATCATCTTATTTCTCTCTATGCTTTGAGATCCTTGGAGACAAGTCACTAAATAAATAGTGTATAATTTAAAGCTCACCCTAGCTGGGGAAACTCTGTTTCCTTGCCGTCAAGCAGCAGGTGCGAGTTTGTAGAGTTGGCCCCTCGAGTTCCCTCATTCCTGAATTCAGGAGGTGTCAAATCTTCACGTTCAGTTAATGGCTGTGGTTTCTGGATAGGTTTCAAGGGAAACCCTGAAAATCACGAGTTCCAGGAGGCTGGGCTGGAGGAGGACACGAGAGTGCTGTGGTGGGGACTGCATTGGGTAGGAAAACATACACCTTCCAAGGTAACCTGATCAAGAAAGGCCGTAGCAAGAAACATGAGTCTGCTCCTTGTTATCAGAACAGCCACTGGCAGCCTGAGATTCTGAATCCCTCTTGCTACTCAAACATGAAAAACAATGAAGGCAAAAGTGAGGTGTGAGGGAAGTCAGGAGACCACGGTTCCAAATAATTGAAGGGTTTCAAGAATGGGGTCTTCACAGAGAGGTACATACCTGGATGTTTGCACGCCTGTATTTGTGTTCATTCTGTTTTGCAGAGACCCTGCAGGCACCCTTTCAGAGAGTGTGTAGCTATGATGGCCAAAAGAAACTTTTTCTCTCTCCCTTTGCTAAATTACAGGACTAAGGAGTTCTCCTCATGGTGTTTCCAGCATAGTTTTCAGAAAGCATGTAAAGTGCCTCTCAGAGTGGGCTGGGGTCACAGTTGGCTCTTTTATTTAATTACACAAGTGTTATTTAACAACATGGAGCAGATGCAGAAGCGAGCACTTTTAGACTTTAAAAACAGCCCTTTCAGAATCACAAGGAATTAAGTGACTTGGAGACCTTCTGTCTTTATGACATGGGTCACTTCCCTCTCTCAACAACCCCCCCCCACTTTTTTTTTTTTTTTTGAAATGGCTGTACTTTCTATGAAATAGAGCTACTGTTTTCCATTTCTCCTGAAAACAGTGTTGATGAACAGGGAACTATTGAGAAACACTTGCTAACTATTCAATAATAATAATAATAATAATAATAATAATAATAATAATAATAATGTAAATCCATGCTGCTTCCCCAACCACCTGAAACTTAATTTTGGTTCCTTTTCTTCCATTTTTTGTTTGCACAAATGAATGTTAAGGGAGGGTTGGAAAGGCCCATCTAAAACGGTGCCCTCCACAGGCCCCTGCCTGGCTCTTCCCACCAGGACAGTGAAGTGCCTGCCTTCTTGCTGCTTTGAGGTTGAATTTAACTGCTGTGTCAACTCAGTGCCAATTGGACAGCCCAGTGGCAAGGAGCTAAAATAAGCGAGATTTAGTTTTCATCATTATGACTTTAAATGATGCTTGCTAGACACTCCCAGGACCGGCCTGGCTCATCTTTGGTGACCCAAAAGTGGTTAGTTCATTAGAATAAATCTGTGATTACAGACTGCTGGAAAAGTATTTCTAGGGCTAGTGGTGATGTGGCTTAGTTCTAGCATCCAGGAAACATGTCCTTATTGTCACTGTGTGCAGTTGTTCCTTTTTGGTGTATCTTTCAGGGGTAGGAGCTTTTTTTCTTCCACCTACAAAGTATCAGTAAGAATCTGGAAATGCTTCAGGGCTCAGAGCAGACCCTTACTTAAGAAATTATTTTTATTGCAGAGTTGTAACAGTGTCATCTTAAAAAGTAAATATTTAAGTGACTAAGCAACATTTTGTAAAAGTGTAGGGAACTGGCTTGAATTATTTAAAGGGGAAGAAAGTGAGCTGTCTTTATAAAACTCACCTTTTGGCCAGGCATGGTGGCTCATGCCTGTAATCCCAGCACTTTGGGAGGCTGAGGCAGGCAGATCACTTGAGGTTGGGAGTTCGAGACCAGCCTGATCAACATGGAGAAACCCCGTCTCTACTAAAAATACAAAATTAGCCGAGTGTGATGGTGCATTCCTGTAACTCCAGCTACTCAGGAGGCCGAGGCAGGAGAATCGCTTGAATCTGGGAGGGGGAGGTTGCAGTGAGCTGAGATTGGGCCATTGCATTCTAGCCTGGGCAACAAGAGCGAAACTCCGAAACTCCATCTCAAAGCAAACAAACAAACAAACAAACAAACACTCACCTTTTAAGAGTAACTCACTTGTTTCTCAGCTCTAAGGATTTAGCCTTGACTTACAAGTAGGCAGCAATGATTCTGGTCTGAACAAACTTATATAAACTCCATCTCACCCTCACTCGTACTGCACACTGAAGATGCCTGTCAGTAACCTGAAGAAGTACAGTATGTGCTGTGGTTTATGCTTTCATTTGTTATTAAAATGATTGCTTGCTGTTAGCCTGGCCTATTTCTGTGATGTTTGGGCCTGTTGGCTTGCTCTGGTTCCTAAGGCTGGTGCAATTAACCAGGATGGGGGCGTTACTGTAAAAACACAACAGGAAGGCAGATTCCATTACAGTGAACCTCATAGGGGTATCCAAATGCTCTGGTATGAGAATTTGGTGGTAATGGTTATTATTAGAAATCACAGCACAGCTCAGAACCACCGTCCTCTGCCTGAGTTAAAAAACTATGGTCAGGGGAAATGGGAACCCAGTTTTAATAGAATCTAGGCAAGGGAATTCCTTGGCAGGAGCTAGTTTAAATCATAAAGGGCGCCTGTTCTGTCCAAAGCACAGTGTCCTGTGTCCTCAGGCCACTCAGATTGAGAAAGGAGCACACAGAAGCTACGGTTGTGTCAAACCGCCCCGAGGGAGAGACCCAGGCAGAAATCTTGGCTCATTGGCAAGCCACTTTGAAAATCCAGATTAAAGAGAAGCACTACAAAATCAACAACTGTCAGAGGGCTTTTCTCTATGATTTAAAGTTGACTGCCAGATTGATCTCTTTGAACATGTGCAAAGTGGCAATCAGATGTTGGAGGGCTTCTTTGGGCTAATATGGTAAATGACTTTGATATGGACAGAAACTGAGGACAGAGGTGCAGAGCAAGGCTTAGTGCCGATTGACAGCAGCACTGAGCTGAAGCTTCAGAAGTAGGGAAACGACTGGAATGTTTCTGGTTTTCATTCTTTGGGCCAGGGGACAGGTGGGTGAGGACAAGGCCGTGGTCTAGGCAGTGATGGGGGTGTCTCTAGAGAGTTATTTGCCCAAGGAAAGTACTTTGGCTTTTAACATTTAAAGGGGATTTTTTCTTTCTTTGACGTTTCTGCCTTTCAGCCTTCATTCATGGAGTTTCTTGCTTTTACAAGAATAAGGGCTCAAATAAAAACAGGGAGGGAGACATAGAAAGTTTGCGAGATGGCAAATTCAGCCCCATTTTGAAGCAAGACTTCTGTTTTGTTGGTTTTAACTCCAGCCCGGGCCTCTTAGCAAAATGCCTGGGCTTCATCTGCCTTTTGGGTGACCCCCTCTCCCTGTCCATCAGAGGGTCACCACAGCAGTCTCAACATGAGGATTACTGTGTGGGGGGTTTGATGTGTACCTTTCCAGAGGGGCCTTAGCTGGCTTGCTGTGTCCTGGAGGTCTTAGGTGGTTCTGCTGTGTGTTCTTTGAGCTTTGGTATTAACACATGTGCTGCCTCTGAGATTTGTCCATCCTTTTCCCTCCCTGGAGTCAGGTCTAAAGCTTCCAGTGAGGCGGGCAAAACATCTGCCGCACTCCCACCCCTACTCCTGGCTGCTGGTGGTTTGGGATGAAGCCACTGAAACTCCCTTGCAAGGCCACACCTTGAGAAGATGGGCCGGTGCTGGGATGCCTCTCACTTTCTATTCTGCTTGGTTTCTGGGAGGAAGCTAATGACATAAGGGGCCTAAAGGCTTTCTTAACTGGTGACCTGGAGTTTAATTGTAAGTGGGTCTTTCGGGGCAGCAGTTAGGAATGTATGGATCACCTTCAGTCATCTGCAGGGAGACTTGGACTGGAAGTGGGAGAACTGGCTCCACTGGACTCTGAAAAAGGCTGTGGAGTTTTCATCTGCTGCTGATTTCATCCACTGTCCCAAAAGTTATCTTGGCCACAAACCTTTGATCTGGGAGTGAGACCCCTCGCCCGATGCTTCTAGGGCAGGAGTCAGTGACTGCCTATACCCGCTGTTCTGTGTAGATGGGAGAGGGTGTTAGTTATTGAGTAGGGCTGAGTACTTGGGGTGATTTGGGGTGGTTAGGCATGATTGGGGCTTACACACTGGAGGGGTCATGTGTAGGCTTCTTGATGGGGTTCTTTCAGGAAGGAGGAGGCAAAAGAACAGTTTTGCTTGTTTCTTGGTTGTTCCTGACTCCATCCAGGAGTGTGACTGGAGAAAAATTCTTCTGAGTGTATCGGTTAGGCTGGCTTTTGGATAGATGGTCCCCGGTGCCCATTTCTATCATAGGCTCTGCATTTCAGTAGGAAGATTCTAGTTCAGAGGCGACTGCCTCTGTCTTCTCATTTGAATCTCCTTAGTGGAGAGGCAGGAGGCAGATTAGCCGAGTGCAGAAAGACCAAGGGGCTTAATCTGATAGTTGATCTCAGCCCTGCATCCCCTGAAAAAGTCATATAAGTGCCTGTTCAAATATGGAAGTCTGTCTCCCTTCAGTATGCAAACATCGCTTTTCAGAAGCATTTAAACTCCTGAAAGTCTATAAAAACCACATATGTGTAGACATGAACTGAGCTGCTCCCCATGCTTCCAGTCTCCTGAGTGGCCTATTTCTGATGACTTCTCCCTTCCCAACATCTTTGTCCCGTGGAAGTTGCTGAAGAACACATGGGTGCCTTTCTTCTCCATCTCCCAACTTCTCTTTTTTCTTTTTTTAAACAATTGTTCTTAACTACTCAAGAAGCAATGCAAGCCTCTTCCACCATTTAAGGCCCTGCTTCCTAAAATGCTCTTTGGCTCAAGGCCTTGGTTCTTAATGTACATTTGGCCTTGACTGGAGGAATGGTTTCTGCTTCCCTTTTAACAGCTCCGCTTTTTTTTGTGGAGTATCTGCATCAGCGTTAAAGTGTCAGGTCAACTTTTGGACACTTTAGAAGAGGCTCATGGATTTCAGTGTGTGCGGCAGGAGGTTGGTGTCACTACTCAAGCGACTGCTTTTAAATGCCATCTCTGTTCTGATGGAATCTTGAATAGTGTCCCCTTATGTTATTTGATAACGTAATTGAGATGGGCATTGATGAAGACTTTCAGTCTGTGTAACTGACTATATGAATGTGTGTTACCTGGGCCCCTGTTGGTTTGTTTTTCATAAGATAGTATTTTGCCCACTTAAAAAATGTTGTTCAAGTAAAGAATGGCAGAAATGACGGTAGTAGGGTCACCTCAGCCCTGCACACCCTTTTTTAACGGAGGCAGTCGAAGCTGGTTTTTCCTTCAACAGATAGGAAATCCAGAGGTATATTTGGGGAAAGCAGAGAACTTTTACACCTTGTGGGAAAGGACTGTCAATATATTTTGCCCTTGCTGGTGAAACTATAAAAATTGTCCAGACAGTGGAAAAATTGGGTGACAGAGGAAATCCTGGTGCGGACTCCCAGATGTGTAACTGGAGGGAGGTGTGGTCTTCCTCATTGTTTGTTTGAAGGTAGGAAATAATTACAGAATAAAACAGGGCAGGGTCTGGCTGAGGACCAGAGCACTGCTTGTGAATCCCCTTCAAATGGGGACTCAACAGTGAATGGGAGAAGCAAAGGTGAATCAAAAAAGCCCACTCTTTGGAAAGGTGGCCTCTGCTCTTTCCTCTGCTATGGGCCTTACACCCTCTGCTGAGGCCATCAGTGTTACACCCTCTGGTGAGGCCTGAGCTGTGTGACTTTGGACCAGTAATTTAACCTCTTTGGGCCTCACTTCTTTCGTCTGTAAAATGGGCCTAATGCATACCTTACATTTGTAGTGGGAAGTAAATGAAATAGGAATCAGGGCTTCATACCACTTCACATACTGAAAAGCTTCTCCGGATATTGGCTGCCATCTCCACGCCCTTTTCATTTCTTTCTTTGCTACTGATGGCCTCTGCTACCTTTCGTTTCTTACCACCTTGGAAGAAATAAACTAAAAGGTCCAGCAATTCTCTTCTTCCCCATGGGGTGGAAATAGAGCCAACTCCTTTTGACATCTTTGCAACCGTGTTCAGAAGTGAAAGAGTCTGAAATAGTTACAGTGTCCCCCATCCACCCCAGCCCTCCCCTTCTGTCCCCCTCCCCAGGCTGGCAGGCGGCCCTCCAAGTGAGCAGCCTACTCAATGACCCACCTAGAGAGGCCTTCCCCGGCTGGCTTGTGTATGCTAATAGGCCTGACTTGTCCTGGCTTGTTTGTAGTGATTTGTGGAGGCATTTATATGCAAATACTATCAACTTGCAGAGTTAATTATCATGTGCCTCCCCTCTACCCCCTCCTGCTCGGCCTCCCAGCCTGGCTGGGCTGTTCTCATTCAGCACCACGCTCTTCCTGTCTTGGCCTCGCCTGTCCCTTGCCCTGTCCCCTTCCTATACCTGCAGGCCCCATCACAGCTCCTTTGCTGCTCCGTTGCCTGTCACAGGCACCCAGGCCTAGCCTGTGTGGTCAGGCATGGTGAACTGGGCATGCCAGTGACTCCCCCAGTTCAGACTCTCTGTTAGAGGCCTACTCTTGCTTGTGGGGGAGCCTGCCTTATGTTGCTTTGAGTTTTAAGCCCCATGTTTACCTACTAGCTTGAAAAACAGAGCTGCCCAGACATAATCAACCCTTGACACTCAACCCAGTCTGGCGACAAAGCGATTATAGTTTTTAAATTATTAGTAGTATTTTCATTTCCTCACATTGCTTATACCGCTCAAACTTATGACCAGTTCCGAGCTCTGGAGAGAAGCCATTTTGCAAAGGGATGTCCCCTCCTGCTCCTGGATATCTGAGTATTAAAAATTTGCTTGGGTTGTGCATGGTGGCTCATGCCTGTAATCCCAGCACTTTGGTAGGCCTAGGCAGGATTGCCTGACCTCAGGAGTTTGAGATCAGCTTGGGCAACGTGGTGAAACTCCATCTCTACTAAAAATAAAAAAATAAAAAAAGAGATACTTGGGTGGATCTCAGGCCTGGTCACTTCCTGGTTGTGTGTTGGCACTGTTGATGTTTGGGGATAATTGTTTTTGGGGGGAGTGGGCCACCTTGTGCATTGTAGGACATTTAGTATCCCTGGCATCTCCCCACTAGATGCCAGTAGCACCTTCTTCCCTTGATGTGACAATCAAAAATGTCTGCAGGAATTGCCCACTGTCCCTTGGGGAGGCAAAATCGCCTCCAGTTAAGAACACCTGAAATAGAGGTTACATTTGCTTCTCCTGGTCTAAAACAATGGCAGGTTCCCGGCCACTCCCCCCATTTAGACACCTTCACTGCAGCCTGGGAGTTGAGCAGCCTCTGCGTATGTGATTCCACCTGATACCAGATGATGCTGTTTGCTCAATTTTACACTGGTCTTTTTGGCATTTAAAAATGAAGAATCTGGGCTGGGTGTGGTGGCTCAAGCCTGTAATCTCAGCACTTTGGGAGGCAGAGGCAGGCGGATTGCTTGAGCTCAGGGGCTTGAGACCTGCCTGGGCAACATAGGGAGACCCTGTCTCTACAAACTTTTTTTTTTTTTTTTTAATTAGCTAGGCTCGGTGGCATGTGCCTGTAGTCCCAGCCACTCAAGAGGCTGAGGCAGGAGGATCTCTTGAGCCCAGAGGTTTGAGCCCAGGGGTTCGAGGCCAGCCTTAGCAACATGGCAAGACCTTGTCTCTACAAAAAAAATACAAAAATTAGCCGGGCGTGGTGGTGCACGCCTGTATTCCTAGCTACTCGGGAGGCTGAGGTGGGTGGATTGCTTGAGCCCAGGAAGTAGAGGCTGCATTGAGCCGTGATTGTGCCACTGCACTCCAGCCTGGGTGACAGAGTGACATCCCGACTCAATAATAATAATAATAATAATAATAATAGTAATAAAAAGGAAGAGTCTTTCCTTTTAGAGCATGGTAATGTGCTAGCACTTGAGGTGGTAACATTTGCACCTCTCTAGTGCTGTCCAATAGAGAGAGAGAGAGAGAGAGTACAAGCTTATATGTAATTGTACATTTCCTAGTAGTCATTCATAAAAAGTAAAAAGAAACAGGTGGAATTAACTTTAAAACAGATATTTTCAGCAACCCACGATTTCACCATGATGTTCTGGTCTCAACGCTCAGAACCAGCCCCATGTCCAGTGCTCAGAAGCCGCGTGCAGTTGTGGCCGTCATATTGGATGGCTTAGTTCTCAGATGATTCTGGGCCTTTGCAGCCATGACGTCAGGTCGTTTTCTACTGTTACTGAGTCAGGGAGGAAGTTTTTTTCTTCTGTTTATTCTCTGAAAGGTAAGGCCTTCCTTGGCTGCACAGCTGCAGCTGAGAAGCGGATTCTGAAGGGGCAGGGTCTCTAATCTCTAGGGAAGCTCCCCCAGCCTCCACAGTGGGGAAGCCCTCTAGACAGGATTTTGGGCTGAGCCTGGATAGTTGGGGGGGTGGGGGAGTCAATATCCCGAGGGCCCCGTGGACTCTCGCACCACACAGACTAATGCTTCAGGTTAATTTTGTGTACAAGGTCCCTTTTGTTGGACAAGGGGATGAAAGTCCACAGCTGTGACTGGAAAGAGGGGAAGGACCCTCTGGGATGACCTTGTTTTGGAAAGTCTAAATGGAATACTAATGGCCGAGATCTAAGAAGGGTGATGTATGTGTGTGTTTGACTGGGCTTAAAGATAAGGTGAAGAGTATTTTAAAAGTTGGTGTGCAGCTTCCCAGATAACCGTATGCCTGGGGCCAGTTACGATTTATGGCAAGCTGGTAGTCATGGCTGTGTGTTGGTCTCACTTTATCTTTTGAATCCTGGCTCTATAGCTTAACCGGTGGTGCTCTGTTTGTTTATTTTATCTTTTTTGGGTGGGTGGGGGACATGGGGGTCAGCCAGGTTTTACAGTGAAGCATAGCAGCATTTTATAACACACGAAGGGCTGTTCATATTTCTGCTCCTGGGTGCCCTGGGCTGTGTCACTTTTTACTGTCCCTAATGATAGCACATGCCAGGGTGTTGCATTCTAGAGTTTCCAGGAGCCTGAAGTGCAGGCCCCCATCTTGTACAGTGCCACAAGCTTGCCAGAGCTGTGAGCCGGGGAGGAGGTGTGGAGGCCTTAATATAGCTCCAAGCCCCAGGTTTCTTTCATCTCTGAGGTCAGCTTTTTCCTGTTGCCTCTTGACTTATTGAAACTGTCGCCGGGCTGGCCAGCACACCCAGCAGACTTTCCTAGTAAACAGAACAGCCCTGGGTGGCAGGTTCTTCGCTTTTTCTAGACGACAGATGAGCAGTGGGATCTTATGTCACTCAGTGGGACATTTCATATCTCCTCTGAGTCATTCCCTAAAAACCGCTTTTCTTAGAACTTAAAGAGATGCAGAATTTTACAGTAACCATGAAATTTCATGGATGCATTTGAATAGCAACCGGATATTTGAATACCTCCTTACCCCAGTATTCCTAAGGAAGAACTTTACACTGAAAAATACTCCCAAACTTTGTGTTTGGAAAACGTATGTTCTTGAGCTAGTTTGGACTCCGCTTTTAATAGTCGGGTTGTGATATACGGGTGTATCTTAAATCTGGGGTTCTCTTGTATTTGTACTTTGACAAGGTATAGTTGATGGGAGGGTGGGGTGAGGGTCTTTTATTTGCGCAGCAGTAAGGATGAAATGGGCAGTTCTTCTGATTTTTGGATGTTGTCTACAAAAATAACTTCTCTCACAATAAATTGGCATAGGAAGTTTGCGGGTGTGTTTTTTTGGAGGGTGAGAGATGTGGTCTGACTTCCCTCAGACTCTTCGCTTCACCTCTTGAGTAGGCCACGGCCATCTGCTTTAACAATTTTATTTTTTTTCATTTTAAATCCTCAAAGACAAAGGGACCTGGAAGTTCAGACCTGTCCTGCCACATTCCTGAGTAATTTGGTTTTGATTAACCCAAGGAGAAAAGTTGGTTTCTCCTAGCGACCGACCGAGGGGATCAAAGCGCCGGGAGGGGCAGTTCCCCTGATACACCCAGTCCCCCTCCTCCCTCTCTCCTGCCGGCCCCTCTCCCCTCCTCTTCCTCTACCCTCTACCTCCACCTCCCTCCTCCTCCCTGCGCCTTTTCAACCTCCCCCTCTTTAGAAGCTGAGCAGGAGTTATTTCCACTTTCTGACTCTCACAGAAGTGGAAGCGTATCATAGAGCTTTGGGTGGACAGACCAGGGAGAAATACATCCCCCCACCCATCCCTTTCTTCCTAAACTCCTTTTCCCCCCACAAAGCGGCAGAGCGCATTCCTGTGCTAATCCGGCTGCTGGAGGAATGCAAATGGCTGTAATTGTGTGCCTCTGGACCGGCCTTCCGCATCTGTGCAGCTTTTCTTCTTTGAGGAGGTGGCTAAAAAGTTCATTTACATAGAGAAATGAGACTGGCCTTGTGATCCCTAGTGGCAGAATAGGGACTTTCTAATAGGAAAGGGGCCACATCTGTGCTGCCTGCACCTTCCTCCCGCAGCCCTCCCCAGTTGTAGAGAGAGAGAGAGACAGAGAGAGAGAGAGTCTGTCTATGCGCGCGCACGCGTGTGCTGTGTGGTATGTGTGTATGGGGTGGGGGAGAAGGTGGACACCAGGCCCCTGCTGGGCATATTTTACAGAAGGGCAGTTAAAAGGGAGAAGTCTTCTCTTGATAGTAAGAAATCAGGCTGGAGTAGGAGACGGCTTACTTTTGGACAAGCCTCGTGGGTAGTCCTGGTATTAAACCACAGTAAATGACTTATTTTTATTTTGTTTTTGAGACAGGGTCTCACTCTGTCTCCCAGGCTGGAATCCAGTGGCACAATCTCAGCTCACTGTGCCTTCCTCCTCCTGGGTTCAAGTAGTCCTCCTGCCTCAGCCTCCCGAGTAGCTGGGACTACCAGCGTGGGCTGGTTTTCCACCATGCCCGGCTAATTTTTGTTTTGTTTTGTATTTTTAGTAGAGACGGGGTTTTGCCATGTTGGCCAGGCTAGTCTCGAACTCCTGAGCTCAAGTGATCCACCTGCCTCGGCCTCCCAAAGTGCTAGGATTACAGGTGTGAGCCACAATGCCTGGCCTATTATTATTTTTTAAAAGCACGCTGTGGGTCCCAGAAGTGATTTATTTTTTCTTAGTTTATACTTGAGTTTGGCAGTGAGTTGTTGGATACTAAGATTGTTCAGCCCATTTAAAAGTATCATTTGGGAGCCAGTACATTGTAGCTTTAGGGAGATGTTCAAGACAGACAAGAGAAGTCTGTCTCAGTCATATCCGAGAACACTTAGAATCCCGCCTGAATCTGAAGTTGAAAGACAGGCAGAGGTTCTGAAACAGGACCATCCAGTAGAAATACAGTGTAAGCCACGTAGGTAATTTTAGATTTTCTATTAGTCACATTAAACAATGAGAAACAGGTGGAATGAATTTTCATAATACATTTAGCCCAGTATATCCAAAAGGTTATCATTTCCACAGGTAATCAATATTAATAAAACTATTAATGAGATATTTTACATCCCTTTTTTTTGTACCAAATCTTTGGAGTCCTGTATTTTTATACCTTCAGCACATCTCTATCGAGACAAGCCACATGTCACAGGCTCGGTAGTGACAAGGGTCGGTGGCTACCTAGTGGATGGTGCAGCTCTGGAATAAAAGATTGCTGCCCTGTGCTCTTCTGAGACATTCTGTTGATGGAGCCAAGTCAGCCATCACCCCTGTGACCAGCTGCTTGCATTTACTGGGGAATGGGTGCAGGCTCAGTCTG
This sequence comes from Homo sapiens, assembly GCF_000001405.40. Lineage (NCBI taxonomy): Eukaryota > Metazoa > Chordata > Mammalia > Primates > Hominidae > Homo > Homo sapiens. The sequence continues at coordinate 73,034,914 of NC_000016.10, read as the reverse complement.
CACACAGCGGGTTTGGTCAGAAATGCCTGGCTCCCCCGACATGCTCATGAGATTGTTAGGAGATAGAACTGTGACATTGGGGTGCCAGTGTTCTGTAAACTGCTTCCTGGCGTACAGGTGGGGGTGCTCACCTGACTGTGAAAACCTTCCCAGAGGCAGAAGACCAGCAGTGGCAGCAAGGCACGGGCCACCTCCTCAGGGGACAGCCCCACTCTCATTCATTCCTGTGAGTGCTAGTGTGTTTGTTACAACAGACTTACTGCTTCATGTATATTACTGAAATCACAGACAGGGCTGCAGGGAGCCTCTAGAAATGCTCGTTTCACCCTCTCCGTGGTGGGTTGCTAGTTTGGGGCAGGAGGAAGGCATGAATCTAGAACCTTCTACCTGTAGGTAATTGGTGTGGTTTTTCTGACTTCACAGTCATTTCTAGCACCACACACACAGGCTTCCGGTTTGGCTAGTCCAGGGACTGTGTGGTGCATTGCTTGGAGGGGACTTTCTCTTAGAGGCTCTAGTGCCCCCCAAGATGAGAGTTGTAGGAGCTGCCACTGTTGGGAGGGTCACCGATTCCAGCAAGAAACTTCCCCTCGCCTTCTTCTCTTAGTGTTTATTTGGATTTCTGCTTTCTTGCCTTATCTTGATGCCGCGGAATGGAAACCTTCCCTAGTCGAGGACCAGTGGGCGTCTCCCATTGGAGGAGGAGAAATGGAGGGACAGAGGGTGACATGGAAAACTCAGAAACAACCTTGTCCATGAGAATCAGGGGTGTAATGGAGGCAAGCAGTCCCATCCTAGACTTTTTTTTTTTTTTAAGTTCGTTACAGTTTTTCTTGTTCACCCAGAAGTGACTTCTTTTCAAAACTAAATGATTTCAGCCTTGGTACCATTACAGCTCTTCTCAGTGAAATAGCAAGGAGAACTGTCTGCTGGCTTCTAGCAGAAAGCGCCACTGTGAAATGTACCCTAGAGAAGATGCTGCTTTCAGATGCTTTCAGAGCGGCCGGGAAGTCCTGGAGTCTTCTCACTGTTGACCTTAGCGTTCCTTGGTCAATACATGTGACAACAACAATTTTCCTTTGCCATTGCTGTTCCCAGAGCACCCAGCCAGCCTCCTACGATTTGAGGCTCTCCTCTAGGATGCCAGTGGGATTTGTGCCCCTGGTAAGCTGAGAAGCGGGTGTGGATTTGGGTTTGGAGGGAGGGAGGTATCGAATTCCTTTAACAGGCTGGCCTCCTGGCAGGCAGGAAAAAAACTGTGAAAGTGTGAGGTGGAAGGGGCCCCGGCGCTGGCCTCTGCTGGGGACAGAGCATCGCAGCTGTCTGACCCCGGGTGAAAAGTTCAAATCTGCATTTAAAAGGAGTGCCAGTCCCCCCCCACCCCCCGCCTGCCCCCTTTCCCCCCAGTCAAGTTGAAACTGTTCACGTTTTAGAGGATATGATCAGGCCCTGTGCTGGGACACCAGGCAGCCCCGCTTCACTTCTGTCAAGACCCAGTGCTGGGGGGCGGCGGGGGAGCTGCTCAGCTAAGACGCAGTTCTTGAATAACAATAGTAGTTGAGGACGAACCCTCGGAGGCGCCTGGAAGGGAGGGGAAGTTTCTCCCTCAGTCAGACACTGGGCATTTAACCCCTTTTTCTCCAGGTGCTTTGCAAGGCCGTTCCTCTTCTGTCCTCCTCTCCAGGTCATTGGTGGGTTATGTGGGGGTGCTGGCAGGGCTCCAGGGTACTGGGGGTAGGGGGTAAGGAGGTGTCTGGCAGCTGAGGTCACCTGTCCATGGAGGGTGGTGGAGCTCAGGCCTGGAAGGGCTGCTCCCCTGTCGCGTGGGGTCAAGGAGGGCCCAGGCTTGGGGAGAAACTTGAGTGGGTTGGGATGAGAGCCTGGCTTCTGTTTTCCATGCATCTACCTTCTTCCTTCCCCATCCTGCTCCTGCTGCCTGGCACCCAGTGGGGTCTGGCCGCAGCCCTGCCTGAAACCCCCTCCACTGGGGCTCTGATTTGTTTACTGGAGCATTAGGTGAATGTAAACAGTTCAACCTCTCCGGTTTTATATGCTTAAAGGGTCTGAGTGTGAATACAAATGGGTATTAGGCCCCTGTGGTTCCAATGACTGTCCTCCATCCGCTCTCGTTGCTAACTAGCAGGTCTTTAACCTGCTGGGGGGAGGAGGAGGAAAAGAAAGTCCTTTGCAAGCGTGTGGACTCTGGGATGTCTCTACTTTTTTTTTTTCCTGTTCTTTTTTTAAATGCTGAGCTTTAAAAAGTGATGTTGGGAGGCCCCCATCTGTAGGACTGAAAGTTGAAGAGCACTGAAGAGGAAAGCTGCCCGCTCTGGGGAAGGCTAGTTATTTTGGTCTCTTTTTGGGGACGAAGAGAAGTTTTCTAGGTTCCTGTTACTTTGTCGCATGCGCTCGTGAAGTCTGACTATGGCGTTGAGAAATCCTTTAGCACTGGGCAGGTGGTCGAGTATACCTCTGGTTTTTTTGTTCTTTCTGAATCTTCTTTTTAAAAGGGTAGTTAGGAATGGATGCCTTGTATGACTGTGGTCACTAGGAAAGGGTCTTTAGCCAGGTTTTTGTTTTTGTTTTTTTGTTTTGCTTTTGTTTGTGTTTTTTGAGACAGGGTCTTGTTCAGTCGCCCAGGCTGGAGTGTAGTGATACAATCATGGTTCACTACAACCTCCATCTCCTGGGCTCAAGCGATCCTCCCACCTCAGTCCCGCAACCCGAGTAGCTCGGACTGTAGGCATGCATCACCACGTCTGGCTAATTTTTTAATTTTTTGTAGAGACAGGATCTCCCTGTCTCCTCGGCATCCCAAAGTGCTGCAATTACAGGCGTGAGCCACTGCGCCCAGCCTATTTGGCCAGTTTTAACACATCTTCTTATTTTCTCCCTACTAGAGTAGGACACATTTTTTTTTTCTTTAGGGGCTCTCAGGAGCTCATAAAGTTTTGAGGCAATGCCAGGCCACTTACTCTTATAAGGTTCTAGAATGTGCATTCTATTGGGGTGCTGCCTTCCCTCTGAAATCTCAGTGCCTTCACCCCCCTTCCCCACTCTAACTCCTCCCATTCTCTCCACACCTCTGCCCTCTCCTTCTAGCAAGGGTCACAGTGGGCCTTCTTTTCAGCCAGAGGGCCCGTGGTGACCTGCAGAGAAAGGAGCAGAGGATCTTCCGCCCTGCACGCCCGCGTTCTGGTTCATGCATTCAAGGCCCAGCTCGTTCTGTTTGCTGTGGTGGCTCTGAGTCCAGTCACGCCATCATGGGGGCATTTTAATTAGCAGTGCCTTAGTCATTAGTGAGTTATTGTTTTTGTCTGGAAACACTTAAGTACTGTTTACTCGATGTCTCCACGAAATGCAAAACAGCAATTAAGCAGAAATTTGTTGTATGAGGCAGGGACCAAAATGGATCATCAAAAGCAGGTTGTGGTTCCTCCAAACCAAGGAAAATCGCTTTTCCCTTTGGCCTCCTGATACCTGGAATGCTCCAAACCCTCTCTTTCTTCCCCGACCTGCCCCCTAGAGTTACTGGCTAGAAACACTCGGGAACTTCGTGTTTTCCTGCGTCCTTCCTTCCTTCGCTGGTGTGAACATTTGGGTTTGGTGAAGTGTGAATGTTTACTTCCCCCCCCGCCGCCAGGCTTTTTTGGTCGGCTACCTGGGATATTTCAAAACATTTTCAAACGAAGATTAATTATTTGTGAAAACATTTGTGATGATTTATAGAACTTGAGTTCGTTTTCTTTACGCTTCTTGAGACCAAGTGCCATTGTTAGTCTGATAGATCCTTGTGACCTCTTGGGAGTATTGGGATGCTGAGATAAATATCCTATTTACCTAAAAAGAAATCTTTTTATGGATTGGTAAGAAAGAAGCCAAGGCTAGGAATTCTGGCTGCAGTAGAATGGAGAGGTAGCAGGAAACCACACAAGGGGTGGAGAAGTGTGGATCTTCTGTAACTTGGACGAGTATGGCTGAACCTAAGGAAGGAATTGCTCCTTGCTAAGACACAACACAAAACAAAAATCCCAGACCAGCTTCAGTAGGATTCACCCCCTCCCCAGGGTACAAGGTTTATGGAAAATGGAATCCCTGAGAAGGCTGAGAGGGGCGTGCAAGGGAGGCAGGTTAACTCCAAATGTATCATATTAGCCTTCTTTGCAGGAGACACATTGGTACGAAACTCTTGGTAGCAAGTTGGTCATTGGGGACCCTAGTTTCTAACTGCTCTAGCTCTGGACTCATGCTTCCTGTTTCTTCTTCTTTTTTTTTTTCTCTTTTCCCTTCAAACAATATCTTCTGACTTCCAGATTTCTGATAAATTGATAAGAGGCATTGCGTGAGTCAATAGAGCTGTAGACACTTTGCCAATATAACCCCGGCTCTATTGATCTGCCAGTAAATTAAAGTCTTACTTAGAGGCTGCCGATATTTCTAATCTCCTGCCTCACCAATTACATCCTCCCAGCTACCTGGAAAGAGGACTTGAGCCTTCTAACCTTTTTGTGGTCTGCTCTCCTTCCATGGAACTGGGGGCACTTGCCTTGCTTATCTGGTAGGTGAAGGGGCAGCGTGGAGGAGAATGAACCTGCTTAACTCCTTATATGGGATCTGTCTCCGTGCTATGAGATTCATTAGTAAAAATGTCTGGCAAAGCAATTCCATTGTGGTGGTCACATACATTTTATAGCGAGTCTCCAGGCCACTCTTGCCCTTGGGTGGGCTCCAAGATTGGAGGTAGAGAAAGTTGAGAGTAGCCGGTCTTGGGGATTATCCTGGCATATTTTATGGCTGTCTTCCACTTTTAAAAAATTTGTGAATAGCCTTTCCTTTGCCCTGGGAGGAGAATGGGTGTTTGGATTAGATGTTGGGTTATTAGTATTTATCACTTATTAAAACAAAACATGCCTAAGAGTTTGTGGAAAATTAGAGGATCAAAGAGGAGTCCCAAGATACATTAGGAAGGATTCAAGTGTGTTTATGTGCATGCTGCTTTTTTTGGAATTTGTTTTGTTGACATTTTGCATTCTCCTTATTGGAGCAGAGACATGACAGAGAAAGAACTCATTTTTTGTCCATTGTAATTTTTGCCAATGTCTCCCCTCTGCCACTTCCCAGGCCAGCCTCTCTGTCGTTGGCATGAAGTTGAGTAATGACAACAGCCACCTAAAGATGTCCACGCAGGAACAGTGGGGCTGATCGAGTTCCCTGCTGGGATTCCCACTTGGGCGATGGCCTTGTGAGCAAATCGTTTGTCCGATAAGCTCTTTTCAAGTCCCGTTTATGTGGTTGGCTTTGGGAAGAAATCTCCAGATAAATGCTGTTTTCTCTCTAATACTCCAGAGCGAAAAATCAATGGGAGGGATAATTCCTTCCGTCGTCCAACACACACTTCTTGTGTGTTTCTACCTGTGGCATCACTCACAAAAAGTTTTTAAATAAAATATCCAGTCCTGAGGTCTCAGCTTTTCTCCAGCATTTCAGGGAAGGGAGCTTTAGGAGGCTCTTGTGTCCCCTTTAGTAGAAGGAGCAGCATGGACCCTGTGACCAAGGAGCGTTTCTCATTTTCCTCTTTTTCACTCTCCTTACCTGTCAAGAGGCTGAAGGTGATGGCGAACCCAGGTGAGGAAATGTGGGAAACACGCCAGTGTGGTTCATCGATGCTAGCTGCATTTGGGAGGTGATAGAAGGGGCCTTGGGGTCCCAGGAGCAGGTGGGAGCCATTGAAAGGACTCCTGTTCCTAGCAGAGACTTTCCGAACTGCCCCTGGGCAGCCAAGATGGCCCCATGTTGAGGCAGTGGAGAGGGTCTACCTTTGGTGAGGTCTTCTCTGCTGCTGGGCTTGAGGAAGGTGCACTTGGCTCCCCTGGGCTGAGTGAGTGAAGAAGATGTTAGACAAGCAGAAACCTCAGGAGGCTGGGATTGACTTTCCCCTTTGTTTGGATTGCATTGTATTGTAGGAGGTGTTGAAATCTTGTTCACACCTGTCGAGGCTGAAGCCTGGCTTTCAGAGCAGTTTGTAACAAGACTTCTGTTGTTGTTGCCGAAAAGGTTTCCCTGCTCACAACAGAGGAACTTTATTGTAGCAACTTGTTAATGTTCAATTAGGCAAATTTTGGGTGCCCCGGGGCTGTGGGAGGGCCCCTGCTCACTTTTTCTGGGCGGCCCACTGCCCCCTTTCCCAGGGATGGGCCCGGAGAAGCAAAGCCTGTACCATGGGCTTCTTGGAGAGCCACCAGTGGGGGTCTTGGCAGAGCTTGAGAATCCCTCCGAGCGGTTGAGGTTATTGGAGATGGAATTCTGTGTCTTGAGTTCTAACAATCGTCCCCTGTCTGTTGGTGCTTTGGGGCTCTCCCCACCCTTGGGTGTGGCCAAGGCTGTGCCTGATGCATCCTTAGCCTGTGGGTTGGCAGGAGGAGCGACCAACCCCAAACCCGGTGTGTGGCAGCCCCAGCATCACACTGCCCCGGGCTCTGGAGCCCTGTTCTTCTTGGGGATCTGAGCCTGCCTGGCCACACCTGGGCATGTTCTCTGGCTTTCTTCCTGGCAGGACTTCTCCCGAACAACTGTCCGGCACCTTGATGGATGGTGTTTTCCACCTCCCGGTGGACTGAGGTCTTGAGACCTTGGAAGGGGAAAAACAGGAAGCTCATTTCTCTAAATAGGAGGTCTGACTCGGAGGTGCTTATGTTTTCCCACATGAACATGGCTGACAGTTGTCTTCATGGTGGAAAAAAGGGGAATCTTGGGACTGAAGCTCTGTCCCCACACTCCCCCAAAAAAAGGAGAAGCCGCAGGGTCCCGGAGGGGCCGTGTCCTATCCTGCCCTGCCCTGACCCGACCCACTGTCTCGGTGCAGCTGGGACCTGGCGGCCTGGGAGGAGGTGGGAGGTGGGTGCTGGCTCCCCTTGACTCTGGGAGGCGTCTGTGCTGGGAAGGCCCGGCTCTGTGAAATATGGTCCCCGTGGCAGCCTCTCTCTGCAGTGCTGAGCGATGAGGAGTGCAAGGCACCCGGCAGTGTATTAAACACTAGTTGAGCACAGGAGGGGCAGTATATCACAGGAGAGAGATAAGCAAAGTTCTCTGATAGTGGATCAATAAAGGTTAGTGACATCATATCTCAAAGTGAGGGAACCTGCTTTCTGCACAGCCATTTATCAGATCCCAGCCTGGAAGGGCATTAACCCCTTTCTGGCCAGATTTCTTCTTACTGAACACAGACCCAAATTCCTTCTTGGTGGTGGGGGCAGTGGGGAGGATAGAGGGTGTCATTTTCCCTAACGCTGTATTTAAGGAGGACTCTTCACATGCTGCTTTCGGAAATGCCTTCTGCAGTTAGCATATGAAACCAGCTGTGGCTAGAGCATGCGTTGTGTATTTATGGAAAGTTTCTTAACTTGAAATTTTGTGCAAAAATTCCCATAAAAAGGCATTCCCATAAAAAGGCATTGTTTTCTAGAGAAGTTTGAACACCCCGCCTGCATGCGCAAGCTGTATTGCTGTCAGATACCTGGAGCCTGGGTTACGTTTGGTGTTTGCTAGGCAAGCAATTTTGACTGGACTGGAGAGTTAAAATTGTAATAAGCCTGGGAATGATCACGGTTTGTCTTTTTTTGGCTTTGTGGTATTCTATTAGTAGATATTGAGAAGTCTCCCAGCAATCTGGGATTGGCAAACTCTAGTCTGCGGGCCAGTTCCGACCCAACACATGTTGGCATGGCCTGCCAACCAAGAATGGCTTTTACATTTGTAAATGGCTGGTGGAGAATCAGAAGATGAATACGATTATGGGACATCTGACAATATGTGACATTTATATTTGTGTTCCTAAATGTTCATTGGCAAACAGCAGCACTTGCTTGTTTGTGTTTTGTCTGTGACCACTTTCATGCTATCATGTGGTGTAGGTGAGTAGTTGCAGTGAGAATGCGTGGCCTGCAAGGCCTGAAATAGTTACATGGCTCTTTATGGGAAAAGTTTGCCAACCCTAGTCTAGGCTCTAGCTCCAAATCTACTGCTAACTAGCTGTGTGACCTTGGGTAAGTCACGTTAGTTCTCCTTTACCTGTGTTTCACTGGTCTCTGGAATAAAATCTTCTCCCCCAGCGATTCCAGGGTGTGCTGGGAGTCAAATAAAAATGGATGAGAAATGGTTTTGAAACATAGCTTGCATTTGCAAAGTGTTTACTATTAAATGAGCAGACCCTTTACTATGTGTTTTTTTTTTTTTTTTTTTTTTGAGGCAGTTTTGCTCTTGTTGCCGGGCTAGAGTGCAATGGCATGGCACAATCTCGGCTCACTGCAACCTCCACCTCCCAGGTTCAAGTAGTTCTCCTGCCTCAGCCTTCCAAGTAGCTGGGATTACAGGTGCCTGCCACCATGCCTAGCTAATTTTTTGTATTTAGTAGAGACAGGGTTTCACCATGTTGGTCAGGCTGGTCTCGAACTCCTAACCTCAGGTGATCCACCCGCCTTGGCCTCCCAAAGTGTTGGGATTACAGGCGTGAGCCACTATGACTGGCCTTTCTGTTTTTGTTTTTGAGACAGAGTCTTGCTCTGCCCCCCAGCCTGGAGTGCAGTGGTGTGATCTCGGCTCACTGCAACCTCCGCCTCCTGGGTTCAAGCAGTTCTCCTGCCTCAGCCTCCCTCCCAAGTTGCTGGGATTACAGGCGCCTGCCACCACACCTGGCTTTTTTTTTTTTTTTTTTTTTTTTTTTTTTGTATTTTTTGTAGAGATGGGGTTTTGCCATGTTGGCCAGGCTATTCTCGAACTCCTGACCTCATGGGATCCACCCACCTCTGCTTCCCTAAGTGCTCGGATTACAAGCGTGAGCCACTGTGCCCAGCAGACCCTCTACTATTTCAGCCTATCGGAGACTGCCAAGACATGGGTGTGTTCCTTTTGGGAAGCATCGAATCTGGCGTGAGAGGTTGAGCTTTGTGGAGGTCACATAACTTGTCTCAATCCTGTGTCACATTGGGTGAAGTTTGAGTCTCAGTCTGTCTGAAAACTTGAAGGCATGCATCTTCCCGGAGAGAACATCTTTCGCTTTGCAAGGGAACATCAATTTTCCTCAGTGACTGCTGTGATTTTTATCCTGAAAGAGTTGGATCACTTTTCTTTCCTTCCCACCAGTGATTTATAGACAGGGAGAGCAGGCCTTTTCCTGTAGGTCTCTGACTGTTTATCTTTTTCGGTTGGGCCCTGACAATACTCTGGCTGGGATGTTCATGTTGGCTGGGGTGTCAGGGGGCCAGATGCCAGACCTGCAGCCCAGGGGTGCCTGGGGGAGGGATAAGGAGGCCAGAGATTCCAGCCCAAAGCTAATGGGCTGATGTCCAAGTGGAAAGTGTATTTTCATTGAGGAAGTGTAGGCATTAGAGGACCCTGGATTACTGTGTGATTGTGCTGTCAATACTGCTGTATCGAGTCCGTGAGGGCTCCACAATACGGGGAAACACTTAACTCACTGCTGCTGCTTATTGAGAAGCCAATAGCAATTTACTTGCTGACACTTGACATCAAATCCATTCCCAGAGGTGGAGCTCTGCAAACCACCATGGTGTCCCTCCCCTTCCCGGGCCCCCTCTCTTAACTTGGGTGTCTGCCCATGTGTGAGTCCTGCATGGGCTGGTGGCTGCCGCCGCATTGGGAAGGACTTGGGGCAGGGCGGTGCAGGGCGGTCGTTGTGGGGAGGGGAACGTTCCTGTTTAACTTTCATAGCTGACATGACATTTTCTTCTCCTCCCAATTGCTCTCATACTCATCTTCTTTCAACAAGTGCTAAATGACCCTCCCTTCGTTCCCCCTGCGGTGTAAGTCTTCTGCATGTGGGAACTTTCTCCTCTCCATAAAAAAGTTAGATCCTTATAATGGATACATGCGGAGATCATATGTGGGAGAGGGCTGAGGAATGTCTCGTCTCCAGGAGGCAGGCGGTGTCTAAGGGGCAGTCAAGGCCGAGGGGTATTGTGTTGGGGAGTAGAGAGCTTCCCATACAAGGTGCAGGGCCTTCCTGGGCCCACCTTCTGGGGGACATGTAGCCGCTGAGCTGTGGGATCCGGCACAGCCAGACCCTCTGGTCCTCCTGTAATTCTTCGTGGAGTGGAGTCTCTCTGCAAAGTGTCTGGCTGCTTGATTGACTGTGTTTTTACATAGCCAACCTGTTGAGATACTTTCAGACCCTGGAGTCTTCTAGAATAATCAGCTCACAAATCAGGGTAACCCGCTTCTGGGAGGCGGAACCCGACTGACACATGGCGGTTTAGGGGTGACCAGCCCAAGGCTGCCATTGGATCTGGCTTTACTGAGTGCTGGTGAGATTTCGTTTTATCATTGCATTCCCAGTCCTCGAGAACCAGTGCCCTGATCCTTTCAGTGCAACTCACGTGGGCTTATTTGCAGCTACCACTTGGAGATCAGGGACAGGAAGAATTGGGCTTGGGTAGTCAATGGTGCATGATCTCAGACTCAGTCTTCATGGGTGGTGCCTCCTGCCCGTGGCTGGGGGAAGGAAGGGGAGTGGAGACTTTGCCTGCGGGGCATGATGAGGCTTGGTGGAGACTGGCCATCAATTCAGTGGCGTCTGCTGCCTCCCATCTGGAAGTTTCTCCCCAGCTGGGAGATGGGGCTGCCTCTTCTCTTCTTTCGCCCCTCCCTTCCCCCATCTCTCCTTGCTCACCTGCCTCTTCGTTTCTTTGCCAAAACACTCCAGCTATTTCATTTCTTTCAGGAGGAGCAAAGCTGTGTGGATGTGAGATGAGGGGGCTCTGTGGACTTTACCTTGTCTCCAGTGACCTTGATTCGATGCAGACTATGGAGCAAGTGGGTGAGGCAGCCTCTGTCTCTGCTGTTTATTTAGCGCCACTGGCATGTGCATGTTGTTTAATGGTAATACTGCACGTGCCTTGTTTCCAGGACGTCCTTCTCTGGGAAGACAGAGCGCTCAAAAGAAGCCCTTCTACCCAGTCTACAGATAGGGTGGGAGGAGCTGGTGTCCTCCCCGTAAGCCTGTCCTGAAACGGAAGTGTCCCTCGGAGCTCCCTTGCATTTTGTTGCCGTGGATGGAGCCACGTGGCCTTTGGGCTGACGTCGTGGTGTGTGTGGTCGTTGCAGCCTTTCTCTTCGTTACTCTAGGCTCAAGGATTGGCGTGGGTGGTGGCAAGATGACATGAAGCCTTTGAGGTTATGGATTTGAGCTCTGATTCCAGCCGTCTTCAAAATACTCACTTTAAGCCTTTTCTAAGCGCTGGTTTTCTGCAAAGCAGAGGGTCCTACCTGAAGGATGCATTAGGGGTCTTCCGGCTCCTAGGTGTGTGACCTGCGTAAGCACAGTGCTGCCTGTAGCGCATCGTGGGAGGGAGCCGGGGGCATTGGCTGTTGCTTTGGCCCTCGTGGCTTATGATTACAGTGTGCACACTTGTCTTGCTGTGCTTATCTTATTCACCTTAAGAGTTTCTGGGATCCAGCCTTTCCTCCCTCCGCCCCTTACCCTCACAGGCCTGCTCCAGGCCCCTTGTGTCTAGATGACAGCAGGCTCCTAAGGGGGGTTTCCCTCCAGCCCCTTCCACCTCCAGGCAGTCTCTGTGCGGAGGTTGCACAGTCTTAGCTTGTAGGCAAAACCTAGCCTGTAGATGTGTTTTGTTCAGCAAATACTATATTTTATTTTATTTATTTATTTATTCTTGAGACAGAGTCTTGCTCTGTCGCCAGGCTGGAGTGCAGCAGTGCGATCTCAGCTCACTGCAGCCTCTGCCTCCGAGGTTCAAGCGATTCTCCTGCCTGAGGCTCCTGAGTAGCTGGAATCATAGGCATGGGCCACCACGCCAGGCTAATTTTTTATTTTTAGTAGAGATGGGGTTTTGCCATGTTGGCCAGGTTGGCCTCGAACTCCTGACCTCAAGTGATCTGCCCGCCTCGGCCTTCCAGAGTGCTGGGATTACAGGCGTGAGACACTGCACCTGGCCACATACTATGTTTTAAACATGGGCACATTTCACAGAAAAATCAGTATTAAAACCTTCTCTTGAAAAAAAAAATCGGGGGATTTGGCCATTTTGGGTCTTCAGGGCAAAACCTGGCTAGAACAGGGTGGTGACTGCCCCTTGTGGAAGGAACATCTACTTTTTAGGTTGCCAGAGCTCACTGTTGCTTACCAGCTCTTACCCTACCACGTCCTGTTTCCCAGCCAACTTCGCTCATTTGTGTTACCTGCTTGGCCCTGTGCTGTCTGGGATCGTGGCATGTGGGCCGTCATTGGACTGAAACTCAGTTTCAGCGGTTCTCCGTAGGGGGTGATTTTGCTTCCTCCCCCCAAGATTTGGCAGTCTGGAGACATTCTTGGTTGTCACACTTTGGGGAGAGGATGCTACTGGCATCCAGTGTAGAGGCCAGGGATGCTCCTAAACATCCTGCGATGCCCAGGACAGCCACCCTCATCCCCAACGAAGAATGACACAGCCTGAATATCAGTGGTGCTGCCCTCAAACTCCCGGCTCCGTATTCTTCTTGTTCTGCTGACCAGGGGCCTGCAGTGGCTCCTCTCCCTCCTGCCTTTCACCATCTGCCTGCCTGGCTTGCAGGCCTGACTCAGGGAGACGGGCTTCTCCCAGCCTGGCTTTCTCAGCGAGAGCTTCCAGCCTTGGGGCTTCCCTGGGCTGCCCTTGACCTTTTGTTTGAGAGTCCCATGTGTGCCAGACACTGTTGTTGGTGCCGGTGATACTCCAATGGGGGCAAAAAAAGAGAGAAATGCTTGTCTGCTTGGAGCTTATACTACCTCATCTCCCTCACTGGACATCATTACTAAGTGCATTATAGTATTTTGGATGATGTTAAATGCTGTGGAGAGGAGGCGGGACGAGGGCAGGGGGTGAGCAGTAGTTGGCAGGTTCGGTGGACACAGTGAAGAAAGGCTTTCGGAGAAGGTGACATTTGAGTAAAGACTCATTCCTTAGCTTGGAGCTGTGTCACTCCAGCCTCTGCCTCCCGTCTACACGTGGCTGTCTTCCTTGTGTGCATTTCTGTGTGTTCCCTCCTCTTCTAAGGGTACCAGTCATTGATTTTTTTTTTTTTTTTTTTTTTTGAGATGGAGTCTCGCTTTGTCACCCAGGCTGGAGTGCAGTGGCATGATCTTGGCTCACTGCAACCTCCACCTCCCAGGTTCAAGTGATTCTCCTGCCTCAGCCTCCTGAGTAGCCGGGATTATAGGTGCCCGCCACCACACCTGGCTAATTTTTGTATTTTTAGTAGAGACAGGGTTTCACTATGTTGGCCAGGCTGGTCTCAAACTCCTGACCTCAGGTGATCTACCCACCTCAGCCTCCCAAAGTGATGGTATTATAGGTGTGAGCCACCACACCTGGCTCAGTCATTGATTTAAGGCCTACCCCGATCTAGTCTGAGCTCAATTTAGTTATAAATTACTTCAAAGACTCTATTTCCAAATAAGGCCATGTTCTGAGGTTCTTGGTAGACATGAGTTCTAGGAGGGATGCTATTCGATCTGCTCCAGGTGCTTATCCTCTGGATAGATTTTGAAGGGAGATATGGGACAAGACAGGACATAGAGTCAAGGGTGACTGCAAGATTTTTAACTTGAGTGACTGGAAGGACTGTATCCCTGTGGCCTTGGCTGGGCTGGCCAGCTCAGCAGGCCCTCGTCCCAGAACCTCGAGCCCCGTTTCCTCGATTGTCTTTCCTCGCTGCTCTAAACCCCTTCAGTCTTTCCTTTTATTGAGCCACTATATGTCTACTTAGCATCACAATTAGGCCTCTGAGTTAGCTGCTCAAATCTTTAATTATGAGTAAAAGGGTAAGGTGCCAAGTCTGTCTGAGGACATCGGGAAAATAATTTAAGGAGCTTCATTTTTCAAAGTCCTTGGGCCTATACCCTTTCAACTAATCCTTGCAGGTGCTCTATACGGTATGCAGAGTGGGGACACATCTCATTTTGTAGATGAGAAAAGCTCAGAGACTAAATGGCTTTGGGGGATCATCGAGCAGTTGGTTCAGATCTGCATTTGAACCCCTATGGAAGAGTATTGGGGGGGCGGGATGAAGTGGATTATATAGGAAGACATCCTGCTGCATAACGTTTTACTCAGTTCAGCCAGATTTGAATAGGATAAGACAGAAAAGGTCCAACAACCATGCCCGTGCCTCCCTGACTTTACCCTTAAACCAGTAAATATTTAAATGGAGAATTTCAGGAAGACCAGGGGCATTGAAGAATCGTTGAGTCAAACTCAACATTGGAGGTCTGAACTGATCAGTTCCACTTGATTTCAGTTTCGATGACTATTGCTGAGTCATGGTCGACAAGCACTGCCAAAGTCAACACCACGGGCCTGGCCGGGGCAGCTGGCTACACAGTGGTTTGTCCCATGGGTCCCGCGTTGCCCGTTTTCTGTGTATTTCAGAAGCTGTCCCATATGGTGAGGCCATTCTTGGCCCTTACACTCTGTGTGGGGGATGTTTTTCTTTCGGAATCTAAGACAGAGAGCTTTTGTTGGGAAATTTCTTGTGAGAAATCAGAAGTATGTCTTTACTTTTTGATAGTGTGATAGCAACATCACCCCTCTTCGTGGTTTCCTTGGGCAGTTTGCTATTTGATCTGATCAGAAATTTGCTCATGATCCTAAGGGAGTGTTCTGCCAATGTAAAGTTTGCGTATGTGATTCATTAAATGTATTTTTAAAAAATTAAAATCAGGCCTCCCGGTGCCTCTGTAGAGTAATTGATGCAGGGCTCTTGCTGGTGCCTCTTGTCCTGGTGACAGTGGCCTTTCCCACAGTCATGGTGCTTCCTTTTTCTTGCATAGTCAGCTCTCAAACCAAGAATGTGAAGGATCTGTGTGAGATGTTGCAGGGTACAGTGGATTTTGTCTTTCAGCGATGATAACGAATGGTGATAGTTCCCATGGAATGTCTCCATGGTGCTTGCAGGAGGTTAAAGGGCTCAGTACGGGACCCAGACAGAGTTGGAACAGACATTTTTTAAAAACGTGTTTATGCCCAGCCAGGAATGCCAGCCCGCTCTCTCATTTTTCTTACCAGTGGGCTAAACAAATAAACAGTTCCAGTTGTGGGCAGATGGATGAGGAGATCTTGAAGAAGCCATAGAGAAAGGGAAGGGGGCGGGTGAGCCCTGATTGCTCTACGTGGGATGAGGGGTGAGAGAGCGGAGAAGGCTCTCTAGGAACGGGCTCAGGGTTTGGACTGAGACGTTGCTTCCTGCGCGTCGTGATGACTCACAATCTCCAGGTTCATGCCCTTTAGAGCAGACAGTCTGTGCATCTCAGGGTGAAGGTGGGGATAGCAGAGCGGGGTCACCCAGTAGCCAGGGCAGGTTTGGGGAGGCAAAGTGCTGTTCCCTCGATGCTGCAGTGTGGCTGGGAGGGCTGCAGGGGTCCAGGCAGGGGTTTCCGGTGGGCACCTTGGTAAGGAAGTGTATGTGTGTTCACACTTGGTGGAAGGGTTGTGGTGGCCTGTAAACCAGGCAGCCCATGTGCACTCAGGTGCGCGTGCAGACACGCACACGCACACGCACACACACACACACACACACACACGCACAGACACACACACGCACACGCTGGTGGAGGATTCAGAGGCCCTTCTGGGGCTTGGCGTCATGTCCTGAGAGCCACCTTCCTGAGACTATAAAGTGGGAGTGAGGCTCACGTCCACTGGCAGCTGGCAGTTTCAACAGCATCAGGCCACTTTCTGAAACGAACTGGCCACTCGGTCCTTGCCTCGTAGTGATAGCTTTTGAAAGTCACAAGTGGCTTTAATCCCAACTCTTTTGACTTGAGCCAGGATGAAAAGGTGCCGGATGTTTTGCTGTTTTATTCTTTCATCCAGTGACAGCCTTGAGGATTCTGGGAATGATGCATCGAGGGATGTGACAATGAGTGTGTGATACAGCGGAGCTCTGGGCCTCTGAGGTGTGTGTCCTTAGAAGCGAGGTCAGAGTCTTAGCGGAACCGGAAGCTTGAGCCCCAACACTAGGGTGCAAGCAGAGCTGGGTAGTGAGTTCTTTCTGGGTTGGTTAGGAGGGAGGGTAACCTTTGAATGAGAAGAGCTGTAGCTTTCAGAATAAAATCACAGTGGCAAGCATTGAGGAAACTGACAGCCAGTTTTAGCATTTAGACTATACAGAGGCTAGCTTCAGTCCTTCAGGGAGACAGTTCAGATTCTCAGAGTGAAGAGAGTATGATAACACACAGCCAAGCCTGGGGTGAATCCCCACAAAATGCCAATTAAAGAAAATTCTTGCCATTTATTATTTAGAGTTATTTTATTTTATTTTATTTTTGAGATGGAGTCTCACTCTGTCGCCAGGCTGGAGTGCAGTGGTGTGATTTTGGCTCACTGCAGTCTCTGCCTCCTGGGTTCAAGCGATCCTCCTGCCTCAGCCTCCCAAGTAGCTGGGACTACAGGCTAATGCCCAGGTAATTTTTTGTGGTTTTAGTAGAGACGGGGTTTCACCATGTTGGCCAGGATGGTCTCGATCTCTTGACCTCATGATCTACCCCGTTCAGCCTCCCAAAGTGTTGGGATGACAGGCGTGAGCCACCACACCCGGCCTTAGAGTTAATTTATTTTATAAGATCAAAACCATGGCCAGGCGTGTATGCTCACGCCTGTCATCCCAGCACTTTGGGAGGCCAAGGCAGGAGGATTGCTTGAGCCCAGGAGTTCGAGACCAGCCTGGGCAACATAGTGAGACCCTGTCTCTATAAAAAAAAAATCAAGCAAAATTAGCCGGGTGTGATGGCGCATGCCTGTAGTCCCAGCTACTCAAGAGGCTAAGGCGGGAGGATTGCTTGAGCCTGGGAAATTGAGGCTGCAGTGAGCCATGATCGTGCCACTGGACTCCAGCCTGGGTGACAGAGCAAGACCCTGTCTCAAAAAAAAAAAAAAGATAAAAACTGAGAAAACATAGGTCCCACTTCATCGAAAAAATCAAATTTTCATCCAAAAGGAGGAAATCATTTTCTGAAGAGGAGAGAGTAAAAGTGGGGAATTAAGGAGCATCTGCAGAGGTAGGGATGGGTCAGACAGTAGGCATGGGCTCTATGCAGGTGGCAGAGGTCTTAGCCTGTTTGGTTTGCTGCTTACCCCTAGCCCTAGTCCAGAGAGAGCAGTCTCTGGCACACTGGGGCCACTTGGATATTTTAATGGATGGTTGGACAATTCTCTGGACGAGCTCTATCTGTGGGGTGCTAAGCTAGCAAAGCTCTTGGTGGAGGACTATGTGGTCTAGCTCCCTGGAGTTGGAGAAGTCAGCTGATAGGTTGTGCTAAAGACCAGAGAGGGGTGGGTGGAGGGGAAGAAGAGAAGGCATTATTTAGTCGTGACGGCAGCCAAGACATTGGTGGGGAGCCCAGGTGAGTGCTGGAGAGAGAACAGTGTTGGCAGAGTTTTCATGACTTGGCGAAGGGCACCACTGGAAAGCGGGGCAGGAAAAAACTTGGAGCATTTTCAGATATACCTTTCAAGTATTCCTCCTCCTAAGGCCAACAGGGGATATTTTTTGGGACCCACCTCCCTGAATGAGAGCAAAACTAAGACCCCACTCCCCTGAATCCAAACGTAGAAAATTCCCATCACGTCTTGGGAACACATTCAAATTGCCCACTCAGCCTTTGATATCTTTTTGCCTTTTTTTTTTTTTTCGAGATGGGAGTCTTGCAGTGTTGCTCAGTCTGGATTGCAGTGGCACAATCACAGCTCCATGCAGCCTCAACCTCCCAAGGCTGAGGGAGGTGATCTTCCTGCCTCAGCACCCCCAAGCAGCTGGAACCACAGGCACATGCCCCCACGCCTGGCTGATTTATTTTTATTTTTGTAGAGATGAGGTCTTGCCATATTGCCTAGTCTGGTCTTGAAATCTTGGGCTCAAGTGAACCTTCCACCTTGGCCTCCCAAAGTGCTGGGATTATAGGCATGAACCACTGCGCCCAGCCCCCTTAGTCTTTTTTTTTTCAAAGGTGCATTAAGGCATAAGGAGTGTTCAGCAAACTCTCTTGGGATATACACGTGAACTTGGGTAGGGTCCCAGTGGGCTTCAGCTGTAATGGGGAGATTCTGCTCGGAGCCACTCTGCTGTCACCAGGGTGCGAATCCACATCATGAGAGGCACAGAGAACATTCTCAGTTCACCCAGAGGTTACAGAGAGGCTGTAAATGGACATTCAAATAGAAGAGGAGGAAATTACTGGAGTCAACTCTGGTGTAAGGGCTTTAAACAAAGGCCATAAATTAGTCATATGGTGACATCTAAGGAAGACAGGATTCTATTTCTGGGGTTGGTTTATTATTATTTTGAGAGGCATCAGGAGAAGCAAGAGGAAAAGAGAAATGGGTCAAGTAGCATAAAGAATTTGAATCAAGGCAAACTAGAAACCAGTTTTGCTTGAATTACCCTTCTTGGGACTTTCACTATTCAAAGTCGTATCTTTCACAAGCAGGAGGCTGAATGAGAACCCTTTGTGAAAGGTGGTTATGTTTTGTTTTTTTTTTAAACCACTTCATCTTGTCATGTACAAAGTAGCGCCTTGTACATGTGTGCTAAAATTGAACATTTAAATCCTATTGAGTAATCCTAGTTACTCCGACCTTAAAAACCAAAACACAATTCATGTTAATTGTTAACATAATACTTCAGGTTAATTGTTAACACAAAATGGGGAAGTGGCAACAAACATGCAGGAGTGGGAGAATTAAGTCATATCTGGGCCTAGAGAGTTAAGTGGTTGGGTAGTCTGGCTTGTGATTGAAAGAGAACTGGAGGAGCCTGGGATAGAAATGAGATGGTGGTGATGGGATCTCCTTTGCGTAAGAGAGAAGACTATTCTTTGCATAGAGGTGATTCAGAAATCGCTCTGTGGCAGGATGCCTTCTGTCCATATGGCCGGTCTTTGCGTGGGCCATTCTTCAAGGTGCCATGCCTTGACTGGGTCAACATGGCCAGTGCCCGTATGGTGTGTAAAACCCAGTCCTGGAAAGCTGGCTCCCCTGGAGGTGTTGTGCAATTGGGGCAGCCGGCAGCCAGCTTCTGATGTGGTTGGCTGCCTGGCTCACACCTCTCAGGTGCTGCGGAGACAGCAAGATCCAGTGGCCCCAGGCTACCACGGAGGCGGGCAGGGTGCCACGGCCTTCCCGAGCCATTCTGTTTCCTTTGTCTTCAGGAGCCCAGCGTGCACGGGCCCTGGCTTTCCAGTTCTTCAGGCTGGCTGCCTGGCATCACAGCGAGGCTTCAGGCGGGCCCACCTGTGGAATATATTGGGTAAGGTTGGCTCGGCCTGGCTTTTGTGAATTGATAAAAGGAACTGTGGATCCAGGGATTCTTCTTGAATGTAGATGTTTCTAGTTCGGTGTCTCCTATTAGATAAAATAAACATGTAGCACACACAAACTCTTTGTCCAACTACTGTTTTTCTGTTGTTTCCTTGGTTAATTTGGATATTTATAAATCTCAAATGCGGTAGGCCAGGATGGGAGGTTTTTTCTGTCTAATGCTAAGATACTCCACTGAACACCTCTCCTAAGACATAGCCCTCGTGGCCGGTGTGGTGGCTCACGCCTGTAATCCCAGCACTTATGGAGGCTGAAGTGGGTGGATCACTTGAACCCAGGAGTTAGAGACCAACCTGGGCAACACAGCAAAACCCTGTCTCTACAAGAAATACAAAAGCTAGCTGTGCACGGTGGTAGGCGTCTGTAGTCCCAGCTACTCAGGAGGCTGAGGTGGGAGGATCACTTCAGCCCGGGAGGTAGAGGGTACAGTGAGTTGAGATTGCACCACTGCACTCCAGCTTGAGAGACAGAGTGAGACCCTATCTCAAAAAAAAAAAAAAAAAAAAAAAAGACACAGCTCTTGATTACAGCATCTGAGGCCTTTGGTCCTAATTTTTGGTGATGGAGAAAGAGAGGTTTCAGCTGGTCCCTAGGGTCTGGAGAAGGAGGGTAGTGTGAACCCCTTGGTAGGGTGAACCCTTCAGGGACACCCCTGCTTCTGTGTGTCCAGTGGTTCTGTCCCCCTTTCTCCAGATGGCTATACTAGTTTCCTCTTGATGCCGTAAGAAGTTACCACATAGGCCGGACATGGTGGCTCATGCCTGTAATCCCAGCACTTTGGGAGGCCGAGGCAGGTGGATCATGAGGTCAGGAGATCAAGACATGGTGAAACCCCTTCTCTACTAAAAATACAAAAATTAGCCGGGCATGGTGGTGCCTGCCTGTAATCCCAGCTACTCAGGAGGCTGAGGCAGAGAATCGCTTGAAGCAGGGAGTCGGAGGTTGCAGTGAGTTAAGATCGCACCACTGCACTCCAGCCTGGTGACAGAGCGAGACTGTGTCTCAAAAAAAAAAAAAAAAAAAAAAAAAAAAGAAGAAGAAATTACCACAAACTTGTTGGTGTAAAACACAAACTTAAGTTTGCATTTTGATGTTTTCTGTAAGGATGTAGTATGTTTAAACTTTATTAACTAATGTTCAAAACTGCGATGTGTGCATAGAATATTACGTATGCATGTTCATGTCTAAAGAATGGCTGTTGATGATAAAATAAAAATCAGCTTTCATTTTTCCAAAAAAAAAAAAAAATGCAAAAAACCGCAAACTGATTGCCTTGTAGCTGGAGCCTAGAAGTCTGAAATCAGTTTCAGTAGGCTGAAGTCAGGGTGTTGGCAGGGCTGCTTTCTCGTAGCGGTTTCGAGGAGGAACCCATTTCCTTGCATGGTCTAGGTTCTGGAGGCCCCCACATTTCTGGGTTGATGGCCCCTTCCTCACATCACTCTGTGTCATGCTTCTGTTACATCTCCTTCTTCTGCCTGACTCTGTCCTCTCCTTTGCCCCTGTTGTAAGGACCCCTGTGATTGCATCAGGCCCCCTGGATAATCCACGATCATCTCCTCTATCCAAAGATCCTTCACTTGATCGCATCTGCAAAGTTTCCTTTGCTGTAGAAGGTAACATATTTGTAGGTTACGGATATTAGGATGTGGGCGTCTTCGGGGGTTGTTATTCAGCTACTGCACGGTCCTGTGGAGGAATTGGTGCAGTTGGCAAAGAAAGAGACCCCCACGTGCCTCTAGAGGTAGGTGGCTCAGGAGGGCAAAGCTAAACCAAATATTACAGCCTTACCTGTTCCAACAATGCCTATTTCCTTGGAAATGAGGGAAGAGGCTTCGAGATGAAATTTGGTGGCCTCTCCCCTCCCCCAAATAATGTGACATTATTTTGTGAAATTGTATTTTGGTGAGGCCCAAAGAGTCATACTTGAGAGAAAAATAAAAGAGAGTGTTTATAAAGGGTTTTTGGCCAGGCACCGTGGTTCAGGCCTGTACTCCCAGCACTTTGGGAGGCCAAGGCAGGCAGATCACTTGAGCCTGGAAGTTTGAGACCAGCCTGGGCAACATGGCAAAACCCTGTCTCCACAAAAAATAGAAAAATTAGCTGGGTGTGGTGGCACACGCCTGTGGTCCCAGTTACTTGGGAGGCTGAGGTGGGAGGATCGCTTGAGCCAGGGAGGCAGAGGTTGCAGTGAGCCAACATCGTACTACTGCACTCCAACCTGGGCGACAGAGCAAGACCCTGTCTCAAAAATAATAATAATAAAAAAATAAAGAGTTTTCACATGGGTCCCTGTAAAGAAAGAATCCAAGTGTTGTGGGAATAAGAGCAAAGGTTCAGTGGAGATTGATACCACACTTTAGAGGTCACTTGAAGGGCACAGATGGGCAGTCTGTGATGTGTTCAGGATGGTGGCCTCCTCTCTGCCCTTCTTGTACAGCCCCTTGGCCTGGGTACCTTCACTCCCGTGATTGGTAGGTCTGTACCTCCTGAGCGCCCAGATGAAATGTCCAGTTGCTAGTTGATGGCTTATAGGCTGCCTTTGGCAGTCCAGGAGTCCTGGGGGAAGTGTGTGCATAGGATGGAGCTATGTTTCTAGAACCAGCATGGATACATTTTCTGCTACAAGAGATATTGCAAATGACAATTCATTCCTTGGCTGGCCTCTGATACTATGTATTTGAACCATATGGAATCACCATTTTTGGATTAAATTAGAGTTGTTAATAACATCATGGAAGAACGTGTTAGGTTCTGGGCAAGGATCTTAACAGCACGATTTTGGAACAAGTATAGGTTGTTGGGTATCTAGATTATATCATTCGTGCCAGGATCTCAAAATTTGGGATGGAAAATACTTCTATCAAATTATTTTCCTTTTCTCTCCTCTTCTCTTTTGTCTTTGTCTTCATCTCCAGCTGCCTAGATTAAGATATAAGTAGTTTCACCCAAATTCCAAGGAGGACTTGGAGGATGAAGGCCGGTTGCTGCTGTAGTGTGTAGCCACCGTTGGGCACCGGCCGTGGGCTTGGGCCCCTCCCTACACTTGTTCCAAAACTGTGTATTTAAGATCCTTGCCCAGAACCTAACACATTCCTCCATGATGTTATTATTTAACAGCTCTAATTTAATAAAAAAAATGGTGATTCCATATGGTTCAAATGCATACTATCAGAGGCCAGCCAAGGAATAAACTGTCATGTGCAGTATCACTTGTAGTAGAAAATTTGTCTCTGATGGTTCTAGAAACATGGCTCCATCCTATGCATGCACTTCCCAGCACAGAGGTTGAGCTGCAGTGGTCATGGAGAGGCGCTGTGGAGCTGAATGGAGTTTGAGGCTGTCTGCCCGTTAGTTGTACCTATTCCACCAGGTGTTTTGGTGTTGGAAGACTTGAGATCAAGTTCTCAGTTGGCAGTGGTTTCAAAGCCCTGCTGAGAAGACTGACTGCCTTTTTGGGTACCTCTATTTTGAAGTGGCTGTGACATTTGACTGTAATGTTTAGCTCGAATGTGTTTTGTGCTTGATGAGCTAATAGCATGCCTTCCTCTAAAGATAGTATTTCAGTGGTGGCAGAAGAGGCTTCCTCTTTGGTCTTGGGGGACGGGGACAGAAGTCAGCTTCTACCCCTCGATAGAAACTTACCTGGTGCCCCAGAATTAGTGCAGAATACCCAAATAACACCAAGATAAAAAAAGGTATCCCACCGAATTGAGTTGAGGAGGGGCATCTTAATTTTGGTTGCATTTATTATCCCAGTATTTTGGGGGGAGGGGAGTTAGCTTAAAGCTTAAGAATCCACAGGGGGGCTTGTGATTTTTTTTTTTTCCTTGAGATTGAGTCTTGCTCTGTCACTAGCCTGGAATGCAGTGGCATGATATCCATGCACTGCGACCTCTGCCTCTAGGTTCAAGTGATTCTCCTGCCTCAGCCTCCTGAGTAGCGCCACCAAGCCCAGCTAATTTTTGTATTTTTAGTAGAGACAGGGTTTCACCATGTTGGCCAGGATGGTCTTGATCTCTTGACCTCGTGATCTGCCCACCTTGGCCTCCCAAAGTACTGGGATTACAGGTATGAGCCACCACGCCCAGCCCAGACTTGTGATATTAATATATGCAGTGTTGCTGGGTGTGGTGGCTCACGCCTGTAATCCTAGTGCTTTGGGAGTTCAAGGTAGGAAGATTGCTTGAGGCCAGGAGTTTGAGACCACGCTGGGCAACAAAGGGAAACCCCATATCTACAAAAAATTAAAAAAAAAAAAATTAGCCAGGGCCAGGTGAAGTGGTTCAGGTCTGTAATCCCAGCACATTGGGAGGCTGAGGCAGGCGGATCGACCTGAGGTCAGGAGTTTGAGACCAGCCTGGCCAACGTGGTGAAACCCCGTCTCTACCAAAAAATACAAAAATTAGCCCGGTGTGGTGGTGCATGCCTGTAGTCCCAGCTACTGGGGAGGCTGAGGTGGGAGAATCGCTTAAACCCGGGAGGTCGAGGTTGCAGTGAGCCAAGATCACGCCACTGTACTCCAGTCCAGCCTGGATGACAAGAGTGAGACCCTGTCTCACAAAATAAAACAAACAAAAAATTAACCCAGTGCGGTGGTGCACACCTGTAGTCCTAGCTACTCGGGAGGTAGACTTGGGAGGATCACTTGAGCCCAGGAGTTCGAGGCTGCAGTGAACTATGACCATGCCAGTGCACTCCAGCCTGGGTGACAGAGCAAGACTCTGTCTCTGTGTAAAAAAATAAAATAAAAATAAAATGTTCAATGTTGGTCAGAGAGTAGAACTTGATGTAAATGTCTCCTGGAGTAGAACTCGTGTGCCCAAAGGACTGGCTCTGGAGTGGGTGGTTTCTGAAGACAGACACAGCACATCAGGCAGAGTGGAGACTTCTGGCTGCCAGCTCGGTCCTTTTATGAGGTGTCTAGAGTCAGCTCCCCTGAGAGGAGGAGGCTGAGATGAGGTAACCTGGTTCTGCAGGTCAGCAGGGAGGCTCTGCCCTGAGGCTGTGTGCCGGGCTCTCTGATAATGCAGCATTTTCGCTTTAATGCATCTGAAATGTGGATTATACTATTAATTACTGCTGGACAAAGAGGGATTAGTGCAGCTGGCCCACTTTCCCCTTTGCACTTTTACACTTCCCCTTTGCTAGGGAATGGGCCAAAGGCCAGCGGGTTTTCCTGTCATCCGTCTTTTGTTTTAGCGGCAGTGGCTGCTGAACCTCTCGTGGGGATGAATGGGGAACGGTGCAGAGTCTTGAACTCCATTTGGCACACGGGCGATGCAGGTGGCACAGTTTCCTTCCCCACAGCTGGGCATTCTGTGCCAGGCTCCTAGGGTGGCTGCTGGGTGGCTTCTCCCCAGCAGGGCGAGTAGCAGTGCCCTGCAGCATCTTCGCTGTTAAAGGGCCTTGCTCTGTGGTGGGAGCTGAGTGCCACCTTCCCATGGGGCGTGCCTCCGTGGGTGTTCTGATGCTAATGGAAGCCCCCAGGTGCTGTGTACCTTTATGAGTTTTTTTTTTTTTTTTTTTCTTTGAGAGGGAGTCTCGCTCTGTAACCCAGGCTGGAGTGCAGTGATGCAATCTCGGCTCACTGCAACCTCTGCTTCCTGAGTTCAAATGATTCTCCTGCCTCAGCCTCCTGAATAGCTGGGATTACAGGCGTGCGCCACCACACCCTGCTAATTTTTTTATTTTTACTAGAGACGGGGTTTTGCCATTTTGGTCAGGCTTGTCTCGAACTCCTGACCTCAAGTGATTCGCCTGCGTCGGCCTCTGAAAGTGCTGGAATTACAGGTGTGAGCCACCATGACTGGCCCCTTTGTGAGTTTCTTAAATGGTCAAGTAAAGTACAAAAGGCTGGCCCTGCCATCTGCTGCTGGGGGATGGAGGTTTTGGTAGCCAGCAATTAGCCCATGATATTGTATTTGAGACATTCTGAATGCCTAAGTTTGGTACTAACACCTTATCTTTGCATAAAACGTTATAGATTTTAAGTAATATATGATTACATTTTCTATTTTTTTCCCATATTCAGGCTAGTATACTCATTTTTCATCCATATGGAATGAGTTTTTTTTTTAAATAGATGAAGCATTAAATAACCACATCTCACTAATAATGCTCCCAAGAGTACATAACTTGGTGGTGTTTGCAATTACATACAATGTAATCTGTTGTGTGTGCAGGCGTGTGGATTTCTGTTTACCGGCATCCTTCATTATATGGTAACATAATATACAGAATTTCCCAGTTGCAGAAATTAGAAAGTAGGAAACAGATTTCTTCAACGTAAATTGGAAAACTGATTTATGGAGTCCATTTTTTTTTCTTTTCTTTTTAACTTGGCACTACAAAGTTTGTGGGAAGGAAGGGAGTTGATACGGTATGATGCTTATAAGCACAAGTTAATTCAATTAATTTGGGATTGAAATGCGTTTTAAGGTCTGTAGCAGGCAAGATCTACAAGATGTAGTAATTGTAAAATGGGAAAGGCTGCGTAAGGAGATACAGGGAACTGGCTACTGTACTGCCTCAGCTTCATGTTCCTGACATTTAGGTTTCAAAATAGCCCAGTTGGAACCTCATTAAGCTTTTTAACATATATATACACACATACACACACACACACACACACACACACACGTATATACTTTATTTTTCTTGTAGCTCTCAATTCTTCTGAACTTGGAGATTGCAGAATTAGAGATTATTGTTTTTCCCTCCTGCCTTCTTTAGTCACAGATGTAATCATCTTGGGGCCAAGTCTTACTCAATTGAAGCCATCTCTAAATTTCATCAAAAAAATATGGAAGTTTACTTGGTTATATACTTAGATGGTGTATCTGGGATGGTTTTATTCCATTTATTGAGGGGTGACTTTGCTTCTGAAATAAGCAAGCAGCATATGCCCAAGATAAAATTTTCAGAAGGCACAGAGACTTAACATCCTCTTCCCTCTCTCCTTGTGTTGCTTACACTCAGATCTCTCAGTGCCCCAGGACCAATGGTGGTTATATCCCTTCTACAAGGAGTGTCTGTAGATATGGCCATCACAGCATTATATGAGTCATTTTTCACTTTTAACATTGTCGTGTTTTCTATTTAAAAGGTTTTTTTTTATTTGCCAGAGTTTCATCTCCTTTCAGAGATGTTTTTATCCTCCATAGAATACTTAAACATGTTAATGAAATCCAGTTACTTGAAAATTTAAAAATATTCTCCTAAATCACACTTGGGTCAAAGAGGAAATGAAGTTACTGTTACAGGATCATTAGGAAATATTGAGAACTCTGTATATCTAAATGTATGGGTTATTACCAAAGTTATATTCAGGGGCACATTTGTAGCTTTAAAACATTATTAAAGAAAATGAAAATAAATGAATTAAGTATTCAACTCAAACTTGGAAAGCATAAAACAAGCCTAAAGACAGCTGGAGAAAAGAATTGTAAGATAAAAGTGATATTAATGAATTAGAAAAACAGATAAAAACACTGAATTGATAAATCTAAAAGCTATTTGGGAAAAAAGGCCAAGGAAGTAGACCAAATCACTATCATGTTTAATTAAGAAAAGAGAAAAGAGAAAACCCCAAATACAGAAAACTAAAAAGGAATTGATATGATAGAAAAAGTGTAACAAATGTAAGTTGCATTTGAAGTAATTGTTTTGTAATGTAAAACACAGTAACTTAAAATGCAACACCTTTGAAAATCCCAGTGACATGGCTGTTGGGAAATGACTTGGATGTCTGAAACTTTAAATCAGAAACTGGGGAAGAAGCTGAGCATTAAAAAAAAAGTTCTGGCCTTGCGCGGTGGCTCACGCCTGTATGTAATCCTAGCACTTTGGGAGGCCGCGGCGGGTGGATCACGAGGTCAGGAGTTGAGACCTGTCTGGCCAACATAGTGAAACCCAGTCTCTACTAAAGATACAAAAAATCAGCCGGGTGCGGTGGTGGGCACCCGTAGTCCCAGTTACTCGGGAAGCTGAGGCAGGAGAATTGCGTGAACCCGGGAGGCAGAGATTGTAGTGAGCCGAGATCGCACCACTGCACTCCAGCCTGGGCGACAATGTGAGACTCCGTCTCAAAAAAACAAAAACAAAAAACAGTTATGAGGAGGGCTCTGGATGCAAGAAGTTTAAAGGATAAGTTATTTTAAACTTAGAGGGATGCTATAATTGCCTGCTAAATACACTGTTTCAGGGAATAGAAAAAGAGGTAAAGCATCCCAGTTGATTTGACAAAGCTAGCATAATTCTGGGAACCAACACCATCACAAAGGTTACACAAAAAGAAAGCTGAAGATTGAGTTCCGACATGAGTGGAGATGCAAAAATGCCAGATAAAACAGTCACAGATTGAATTTAGCATTTTAAAAGAATCATAACCACATAGGATTTATCCTGGAAATGTAAGAAGGGGCTTAATATCAGAATGTCTTCTCTTGAAATAATCATGTATGTAGAGCCAAGAAGAAAAACATAATATAGTTGGCCTTCATAGTCACCCGTTCTGCATTTGTAGATTCCAGCAACTGCAAATCAAAAATATTTGGGGAAAAAATTGGGTCTTTACTCAACATGTAAAGGACCTGTGGACTCGACAGCCTTTTTGCTTGTCATTATTCCTTAAATGATACAGTTTAACAAATATTTATATAGCATTTACATTGCATTAGGTGTTATAAGTAATCAAAAGATGATTTAAAGTATACAGGAGGTTGTGCATATTATGCTGTTTTATATCAGGGACTTGACTATCCTCAGATTTTCGGGATCTATGGGAGATATAGCAAGGGACAGCTGTCTGTCTGTGTGTATGTGTGTGAGAGATACATTTGATCACCTTCCTTCCTTTCCTTCCTTTCCTCTTTCCTTCCTCCCTTTCCTTTCCTTTTCTTTCGTTTCTTTCTTTTTTTTCTTTTCTTTCTTTTCTTTCTTTGTCTTGTTTTGTTGCTTAGGCTGGAGTGCAGTGGTGCAATCATGGCTCATTATAGCCTTGACCTCCAGCTCAAGCAGTCTTCCTGCATCACCTTGAGTAGCTGGGACTACAGGCACACACCACCATGCTGGGCTTTAATTTTTTTTTTCATAGAGATTGGGGTCTCACTATGTTGTCCAGGCTGGTCTTAAACTCCTGGCCTCAAGTTATCCTCCTGCGTTGGCCTCCCAAAATTCTGGGATTATAGGCTTGAGCCGTCACACTTGACTGCATTTGGTAATTTTCTACCCTTATTCCTAGTCTGCTTAGAATTTTGAAAACTCAAGCTTGAAAGAGGATGCATTGACTTCTCAATGAAGAAACAGGCAGCCAACACCCTCAGACTTAGTGATGAATCATGAGAGGCAACATTCTGAAACTGGGAACACAATGGAGACTATGGAATATACTAATTTGCTAATTTCTTTTTCCTACCTTATTGAACTGGTCAGGATGGACAAACCAAAGTCAAATAATGGTTAAAAAGAAACAAAGAAAATTATTTCCAGATGTTACTGTCTTCCTAGTGGCCCAAGACACATTTAAATTTAATTAAGGAGTTCAGTTACAACGTAACATTTTAAAAGATAATTAGCTTTCTCATATACTGGGAAAAACTGGTTAGAAAATATAGAGATCACTCAGTGGGATGGAATCAAATAGAAATGTGTCTGGTAAAGGTTGTATTTCATGTTAAGTGAGAGGAATCAGAGTAACAGCTCACATAACGCTTCAGAACTTCTAAGTGCCAAGCATTATGCTGAAGACCTTTTTTTTTTTTGAGACGGAGTCTCGCTCTGTTGCCTAGGCTGGAGTTCAGTGACACAATCTCAGCTCACTGCAAGCTCTGCCTCCCGGGTTCACGCCATTCTTCTGCCTCAGCCTCCCGAGTAGCTGGGACTACAGGCGCCGGCCACCACGCCCGGCTAATTTGTATTTTTAGTAGAGACGGGATTTCCCTGTGTTAGCTAGGATGGTCTCCATCTCCTGTTCTCGTAATCTGCCCGCCTCGGCCTCCCAAAGTGCTGGGATTACAGGCGTGACCCATGGTGCGCAGCCAACTTTTTTCTTTTTTTGAGACAGAGTCTTGTTCCCTCACCTAGGCTGGAGTGCAGTGGCACGATCTTGGCTCACTGTAACCTTTGTCTGCCAGGCTCAAGCAGTTCTCCTGCCTCAGTCTCTCAAGTAACTGGGGCTACAGGTGTGCGCCACCATGCCCAGCTAATTTTTGTATTTTTAGTAGAGACTGGGTTTCACCATTGTTGGCCAGGCTGGTCTCAAACTCATGGCCTCATTATCTTCCCGCCTTGGCCTCCCAAAGTGCTGGCATTATAAGACGTGAGCCACTGCACCAGACCAAGACTTTATATGAACTTATTTAATCCTCATAAAAACCAGATGAATTGGATACTACTAATACATTACTAATAGTTCATTTTATAGTGAAGGAAACCGAAGCTCAGGGAGTTTAAGTAACAGGCTCAAAGTCAGCCAGACTTGGACACTGATGTAACTGACAGCAAAACCAGTGATCTCTATCACTGCACTTCACTGCCTCTCGTATTATAAAATTATGCAATAAATGGTTGTAGGACAGTTAGATAGCCAAATGGCGGAAAAATTAGGTTAGAGCCATTTTTCATAGCATATGTTACCATCCATTCCAGGTGAGTTGGAGAGGTAAAAGTAAAACTAAAATCACAAAAGAGCTAGAAGAAAATATAGGTTAATATTGATCTGAATATAGGGCAGTGAGGAATATTAGGCCTAAGCCTTGTGGGGAAGAAATTG
The DNA here is from genome assembly GCF_000001405.40 of Homo sapiens. NCBI lineage: Eukaryota > Metazoa > Chordata > Mammalia > Primates > Hominidae > Homo > Homo sapiens. The sequence continues at coordinate 73,004,779 of NC_000016.10, read as the reverse complement.
TAATAGAAAAGATTGATGTAGTCTACTTAAAAAAAATTGTGCATGCTGGTCACTAATCACAAAATTTTAAGGCATATGACAAACTGTGAAAAGGTGTTTAGAGCACATGGAATTGACAGTGTGTCCTAAATCCTTAATATATAAAGAGCTCTTAAAAATGAATGAAACAGCCAGGTGCAGTGGCCCACACTTGTAATCCCAGCACTTTGGGAGGTTGAGGCAGGCACATCACAAGGTCAGGAGTTCAAGAACAGCCTGGCCAACATGGGGAAACCCCATCTCTACTAGCTGGGCGTGATGGTGGGCATCTGTAATCCCAGCTACTTGGGAGGCTGAGGCAGGAGAATGGCTTGAAACCAAAAGGCAGAGGTTGCAGTGAGCCGAGATTGCACCACTGTGCTCCAGCCTGGGTGAAAGAGTGAAACTCCATCTCAAAAAAAAAAAAAAAAAAAAAAAAAGATTGATGCATACAGATAGAGAAAAATGGAGGCCAGGCACAGTAATCCTAGCACTTTGGGAGGCTGAGGTGGGAGGATTGCTTGAGCCCAGGAGTTTGAGACCAGCCTGGGCAACATAGTGATACCTGTCTCTACTTAAAAAAAAAAAAAAAAAAAAAAAAAGTCGTGTTTTTATGTAGTTATTATTGTGGTAAACAAAAATAAAAAGAGATAAATGGGCAAAGAACACAAATGGACAATTCATGAAGAATAAATCTAGGCTGCCCATTTGAAGAGCCAAATGAGACCTCATTGTTTTAACGTATTTGATTACTGGTAAGGTTGAGCTTTTTTTGTTTTGTTTTGTTTTTTTGAACTAAGTGGAAAAAAAAAAAAAAGCAAATACCCTGATCTGGTTATTGGGTATAAAAATTAGTATACCCTTTCTGGAGGATCATTTGGCAGTATGTGTCAAGAAACTTTAAGGTTTATTTAAATGTGTAGCTTTTCCCCCCGTGAATTCCTGACCCCCTCACTCTGTTCTGCCTCTGCATTTCTGACCATACCATATGCCACTAGTAAAATACTATACAATTAAAAAAATGTATTATCCTTTTTGTTTGTTTGTTTGTTTTTTGAGATGGAGTCTCGCTGTTTCGTCCAGGCTGGAGTGCAGTAGTGCAGTCTCAGCTTACTGCAATCCCTGCCTCCCTGGTTCAGGCGACTCTCCTGCCTTAGCCTCCTGAGTAGCTGGGACTACAGGCGCCCGCCATCACTCCCAGCTAATTTTTTTTTTTTTTAAGAGATGGGGCGGGGTGGGGAGGGGGGGGTCTCACCATGTTGGCCAGGCTGGTCTCGAACTCCTGACCTCAGATGATCCACCCACCTTGGCCTCCCAAAGTGCTGGGATTATAGGTGTGAGCCATTGTGCCTAGCAAAAAATGTATTATCCTTGATTGTTTCCCCTGCTAGAATCTAAGCTTCACAAGGGCGGAGTCTTTGTCTGATGGTTTTTTTTTTTTTTTCCCTTTAATTATCTTACGTCTAATACCCGGATCAGGACTGGTGACAACTCCATTTGTAATAAGGAAACCCTGAGAGTCGTGCAAAGGAAATTTATACATAAAGATTTTTGCTACAGACACTTATAACAGACATTTATAATAGTGAAAAATGGAAACTATCTGAAAAATCTTACAGGGGATTGATTTAAACTGTGGTGCAGCCATATGGTAGATGCTTATGCAGCTATTTAAAACTCCTGCCTCCTGGTTATAAATGTGGGAAAACAGTGATGTAAATGGAATGAAAGGAACTCTGTGGACTATAGGACTTCAGTTTAATTTTTAAAATATGCATAGAAGAGAAGCTAAAGAATTACATATGACTGATGGCTATTTCCAGCTGGTAGAAGTACAGGCTACTTTTAATACTTTGTTTTCTGAGCTCCGCATAGTGAATATCTATTACTTTTTGTCATGAGAAGAAAATATGTGCTTAAAAGTTTGCAAAAATGTAGAATCACTTAAATAGCACTGGCCTGTGGCTGTGTTTGGAGGCTTTTTGGAGATTATTCAATCTTGTGAATTAGCGAGAACCTAATTTAAAAAAAAGCAGCAAAGATGCTTCACAAAATGTCCTTAGGCTACTTAGCTTTAATTATTTATGATATTTACTGTAAGCATCTATGGTATGTGTTTGTAAAAATAGTGGAAGTCTTAGTGATCTGCAAGCTTGTGGAATCAATCGCCTTGGGTACTTGAGAACACCTTTGCCCAAGTTAGCTGTCTTGATGGAAATGTGTGTGCTGTCTTTCTGATATGTCACTGAATTTCAAAGCAAACTTAGATCACACCTCAGCATAAGCTGGGTGGGCAGTATGCAGTTGTGATATGTGATATGTCGATTCTGGTATTAACCAAGGAGAAGACGCTCTGATCTACCTTCTCTATCTCGTCACTTTGTGGAAGGACTTAGGGGGCAGGTATAGGAGAAGCTGCCAAGTGCCAGGGGAGCCAGCCACCACAGAGCATTAATCTTGGTGTGCCAAAAGAGAAGACCAGAGTTACTGATGGAGTTCTCCTGGCCAGAGAAGTAGAAGCTTGTTCAGCATGTTTGAGTAGAAGTTTCCTGGAATCCCTAAAGAGTCACGTGCTATCCTGGCGGGGGTTTGAGTTCCATGTCCGTTACTTTATGGCTGTGGGTCTCAGATGCTTTATCTGTAAAAGAAAGTTAGACTGGATTCTCTCCTCACTCTTTCTTCAACCCTAAAATTCCAAAGCAATCTGGTATCCTTTTATTTGGGGGCATGACTGTTAGGTGTCTCTGTCATCTGTGAGGATGGAGAGAGGCCCAGGGAGTTTTGCTGCTTTTCTGGTCTATGGACCGGAATGTGGGCTTGATAGGTAATGCCACATGGTGAGAGGAAGGTGGCTAGAGAGAGTCAGTCTGGCCTAAGTGAGAATCTCTGCTACTTACTGGCCAAAATTATATATTTTCTTTTCTTTCCCCCCCTTTTTTTTTTGAAGGGTCTCACTGTCTTGTCCAAGCTGAAGTGCGTGGTGGTGCAGTCAGGGCTCACTGCAGCCTTGACCTCCCGGGCTCAAGGCATCCTTCCACCTCAGCCTCCTGAATAGCTGGGACGACAGTCATGTGCCACCACACTTGGCTAACCTTTTTTTAAAAAAAATTTTGTAGAGACAGAGTCTTGCTATCTTGCCCAGGCTGGTCTTGAACCTCTGAGCTGAAGTGATCCTCTCACTTCAGCCTCCCAAAGTGTTGGGACCACAGGCATGAGTCAGCACTCCTGGCCTCCATTATATCTTTTCATTTGCAAAATGGAGATGTGTATTGTTATCTATTGCTGCATCACAGATTACCCCTAAGTTCAGTAGCTTAAAATGGCAAGCACTTATTATCTTACAGTTTCTGTGGGTCAGGAATCGGGCTGTGGCGTAGCTGGGTCCCCTGCTGCAAGGTCAAAGTGTTTACCTGGGGCCGTGGTCTCATCTGAAGACTTGACTGGGGACAGACTGAAATCTGTGCTCACACACACGGTTGTTGATAGGATTCATTTCCCCAAGAGCTGCTGGCTGGAGGCTGCTCTCAGTTCTTTGCCATGTGGGTCTCACCACAGAGCAGCTCACAATGGGGCACTTGGCTTCCATAAGGGAGAGGAGGAGGAGAAGGGTGCAGATGACTAAAATGACGGTTTCTTTGCAGCCTCATCTCAGAAGTGGTGTCCTATCACATTTGTCCTATTCCATTTGCATGCTGTTGGTAAGAAGTGAGTCCCTATGTATTGCTCACTCCCAAGGGGAGGGGACTACACAAGGGTGTGAATGCCACGGGGTGGGATTGGAGGATCTGGCTTAGAGGCTGCCCACCAGGGATCATAAGGACTGAGTGAGGCGACAGTTTGTTCAAGTGTCAGGAACAGCTTCATTGCTTAGTGTTGGCTGCTGTTCTTGTCTCCACCCCCAGTTTCAAAATTGCTTTGCCTAAGGGGTTTGTGGGGTTCAGCAGAGACTCCAGGAGTGTGTCGAACGTGGAGGAAGGTCTTGTCACATGATCTGACGCCCATCCGCTGTCCTTTTCCAGTTAGGCTTTGGAGTGTCTGCTGGGTGTGGCATGTCTAGCGTAATTTGAGAGGGAAATGGGTGTTTGGCCGCTGAAAACATCCAGTGTGTGTTTCTGTGGGTTAGGCAGCTATTCAGAGAAACACCCAGGAGCTCTTTGGGAGCCCACGGGTCGAGACAGAAAAGCTTCCTGAAGTTGTCCCTTTTTGTGTGTCTCAATGCCACCACTTACGAAGTCAAGGAGGAGGCCTGCCTGGCACATCCTTCAGTTAAAGGATACTCTATTGGGTTGAGCCGAGTGCCAGACATTGCCACAACCCTAGGAAATGAGTTAGGAAAAAAATGGAAAGCAGAGTCCTCCCACTAGAACAAGCTGAGCTTTGTGCAGAACAGGCTCCAAATATGAAAAGACCATTGTTCCCGGATGGCTTTTTAATTCATGCTCACCACTCACACCCATCAGCTCGCCAAGAAGAGGCGCCTCCTTCCTTCCTTTCACCGCGTGCCCTTCGTCCCTCCCTCCTCTCTCCAGTGCCCTGGGGACAGGTCGAGGGACCCTGGGGGATGGGAGGATGCCGAGCCTGGTGTTGACAGACAGTGGTGCCTGCTCTGTTCTTCTGCCCGGGATACTTACTCGGGTGGGCCCTCCACCTGTTGGAGAGCAGCTCTCTGCATTTCTAGGTTCGGAAGCCAGCCCTGTCCCCATGGGGCTCCGGGAACAAAGCCCAGTGTCAGCCCATTCCAGTCTTTCCTTCAAAACTCTGTGCACACCTTCTCTTGCCTGCAGCCAAAGCGACAAGCCAGAAGTGAACTGTTTTCTGTATGTTTCCATTTTCCCCGGGTTGCCCTGCTCTTAGAGCTGAATCTGGATGGATGAGCCTGCAGAAGCTTTCAGCTTGCCAGTGTCCTCCACTCCACCAGATAGGGCAGGTGCAGCTGCTGAGCGGAGAGAGTGAAGTATGTACTTATGGTGTGAAGAAAATTGACTGATTCAAGAGTTGCTGCCAAAGTGTGTGTGGTCTCGTGGGCTCAGGTGAGACCCCTGCCCACGCTGGCATCGAAGGCTGTCCCATGTCTGACTTGTATCGTGCCCAATAGGATGGGGTCCTGACAGCTCTCAGGATAGATGGGTCACCCCTGAGCCAATCCTGCCCAGATCTGGACTGAGCCTGCGAAGTTTTCTGGTTAGCGGTTGCTGTGAGCATGCCTCCAAAGTTTATGCCCTGTGGACATTTTTCTTCTGCTTATAGTGATTCCCAAGCCTGTGGATTTGTCCTGTGTTTGTTTGTGCCTTAAGATTTTCCAGGTATCCAGGCATGTTGGCTCATGCCTGTAATCCCAGCACTTTGGGAGGCTGAGGTGGGAGGATCACTTGAGGTCAGGAGTTCGAGACCAGCCTGGCCAACATGCGAAACCCTGTATCTACTAAAAATACAAAAATTAGCCGGGTGTGGCGGCATGTGCCTATAATCCCAGCTACTCAGGAGGCTGAGGCAGGAGAATTGCTTGAACCTGGGAACCTGAGAGGCGGAGGTTGCAGTGAGGGAAGATGGTGCCACTGCACTCCAGCCTAGGCGACAGAGCGGGACTTTGTCTCAAAACAAAAAAACAAAAGATTGTGTAGGCACCACCTCAGTTGATTATTCTGTGTAATCTCATGTCTGTAGCGTACATGTGACTAGGGCAGAAATAATTCAGAATAATCTCAGATTAGGTCAAAATGGAAGTCTCCTGTTTAAGAATGAGGAGATGTTTATGTGGCTACTACAGAGTTAACCACATGTCATTGCAAAGACAGTGAGTTTTCAAGTTAAAGGGTTATGAGGATTTTAAATTAAGAAACCCCAGGGGTCTAGTTTAATGGTGGACAAGCCCCAGAGAGACGATCTGATGGACCAGATAAGTTGTACACAATTCTGTGAAAATCTGTTAACTCCAGGCCCGGGCAGCTTAACTTCTTGACATGTCACCCAAATATAATTGTTAATGCCGTGGGAAAGAGTCTTGAGCAGCGGTAAGTTCTGTAAAGTCTGTGAGTGAGAACTACAAGCATGAATTATTACAGTGGGGCCAGATCAGAGTTATGTTTTAGGTTCTCATGATTAGAGGAAGCCAGGGTTTTACATTACTGCAGTATGTGGCCCCTAAGCACCCGAAATGTGGCTGGTTCGCCCTGAGCCATACTGTGAGTGTGGAACACATACCAGTTTTCCCAGGCTTAGTAGGAAAACAAGGGGAAACTGTCTTAATAAAACCTAGATCGATTACGTTTGAAATAATGTGTAGACAGATTCGGTTAAATAAGACATATTACAATGAATTTCACCTGTTTCTTTTTTCCCCTTATTAGTATTATTATTTTTTGAGACAGAGTCTCAGTCTGTTGCCCAGGCTGGAGTGTGGTGGCATGATCTTGGCTCACTACAAACTCTGCCTCCTGGATTCAAGCAATTCTTGTGCCTCAGCCTCCTGAGCAGCTGGGATTACAGGCATGCACCACCACACCTGGTTAATTTTTGTATTTTTAGTAGAGATGGGGTTTCACCATGTTGGCCAGGCTGGTCTCAAACTCCCGACCTCAGGTAATCTGCCTGCCTTGGCCTCCCAAAGTGCTGAGATTATAGGTGTGAGCCACCGCACCTAGCCTTGAATTATTTTTTTGTTTTTATGTTTTCATTTTTGTTGTTTGGACAGGGTCTTGCTTTAAATCACGGGAGTACAGTGGTGCAATCATGGCTCACTGCAGCCTCCACCTCCCAGGCTCAAGCAATTCTCCTATCCCAGCCTCCTGAGTAGCTGGGACCAGAGGTGCACACCATCACACCCAGCTAATTTTTTTCTTTTTTTGTAGAGATAGGCTTTCCCTGTGTTGCCCAGGCTGGTCTTGGAACTCCTGGGCTCAAGCGATCTTGCCGCCTCGGCCTCCCAAAGTGTCAGGATTGCAGCTGTGAGCCACTGCACCAGGCCCCTCCCCTTTTTTAACATGGATACTGGGAAATTTAAAGTTCATAGATAGGTGGTTCCCCTTTTAGATGAAGGATTTACATGAAAGATGGTTAAAGAAGGAAGAGCCATAGATGTGTGGGTTATGATTCTGGCCAGTGAACTTTGTGGAAAGTCAAACCTGGCTCCAGTGGGGAGTGCTGTGAATAAGTCTGGGGGGAGATGATCTGTATTTGCTTTTCAGATTACCCCACCTTAGACAGAACTTTGTCAGATTGTGTCCCACTGGCTGTGATCTGACTGGAAAGTGAGGAGACAGATGTGTAGCGAGAAGACTGAGTCGCTGCCTCCTTGGTGAGGCAGAGGCAATGGGGCTTCACCCTGGGGAACCCTTGAGGGCAAGGGTGGTTACTCAAGACTTGGAACAGCCCTCTTGAGTAAAGAACTCTATTGCTCAACTGTGGGACCTTTAAAGGAAGGCAGCTGTTGCTCAAACAGAGACGTCTGGACCCTCAGAATCCGGTTGTTCAAGTTTCACAGCCCATATGCAAGACAGCACCATTGAATTCTCCAGTGGGATGGAGACCGCCATGATATGCAAGACAGATCTTACCCCGCCAGTGACAGATGGGAGCGATAGAGCAGATTCCCACAGAACCTGTTTGTGAAGCTGCAGGAACACTTGTGCAGTGTGCCCTTATAGAAAAGTTAGATTTCTGTTTGTGATTTCCTTTCTCAGGGTTGGTTTGGGAGGGTCTGTTTTTGAGCCGGGCCCAACGGTTCTCTTTCCGGAGCACCAGGATCTTGCGCTTCTGCCCAGAAGCTGGGTAGCTTTCTTGGCCACACTGAATGTCCAGCCTTACTCTTGGCTTTTACCAGTTTAGGGGTCAAGGGTTGACCATACCAGTTGTCAGTAGTAATACCTAGAGGGCTAGCAAAACGAGGCTGACCTTAAGCTTCTTTTAAGTTTGTCTTTTCTTTGTGATCCTGGATCCGGAGTACTGGTCAGACCAGTCCATATCTGGCTGATTATTATCAACAAAGTAAACTTAACTCTGTGGCCAGAAACAGTCCTTAGCATCCAGCAGCTTAGGTTTACCAGGTGAAACTGCCAGAACTCCGTGGTTGGATTGCACTCAGGGCAGGGCCTGGTAATGCAAGGAGTTGCACAGGCGGGGTTCCCACGCCCCCAGCCCCTCCCCGCCTTGTAGGCTCACAACCAGTTATGGAATTTATCTTGTTATTAGGTTTGTCTCTTTTTGTAGAGAGTTGATGGATAGTTGTTAGCATTTTGGTGCTTAAGGATGTCTGGATAACTGCATGGGTTATAGATTCTAGCCCTTTATTGAGGACCAGCTTCTTGGCTGCTTGGTGCTCTGGCTCTGGGCACACTGGTTTACAGAAGATGAGAAGACACAGTCTCTGCTGATAAGAAAATCATGCTTAGTTGGACTGATCATTGTCCATGCAAATAAGTATCTACACTGAGGGGCTTAGGAGAAGCAAAAGAACGAATTAATTAATTAATTTATTTATTTTATGTTGGAGTCTTGCTCTGTCACCAGGCTGGAGTGCAGTGGCACGAGCTCAGCTCACTCCAATCTCAGCCTCCCAGGTTCAAGTGATTCTTCTGCCTGAGCCTCCTGAGTAGCTGAGATTACAGGTGCCCGCCACCATGCCCGGCTCGTGTGTGTGTGTGTGTGTGTGTGTGTGTTTAGTAGAGACAGGGTTTTACTGTGTTGGCCAGGCTGGTCTGGAACTCCTGACCTCAGGTGATCCACCCGCCTTGGTGTCCCAAAGTGTTGGGATTACAGACGTGAGCCACCGCACCTGGCAGTAAAAGAACGTATGAATATGCCTTCATAATTACCAAGATAGGACAGTGCCTCCTGAGCAGAACATCGAGAAATTCTGGAGCCTAAGGCCCTGGGCAGCTGGAAAATACCGACGTTTATTTGTGTTTTCAATTGGCGCTGTTCTCATATGTGCTCATTTGACCCTCTTAATAATCTTAGAAGTCATTTGGCCAGGCCCAGAGCTTTCCTTTGTTGATGGTGAAACGCTGAGGCCCTGTGAAGTTGCATGATTGGCCCAAGGTCTTGCAGCTAGGGAGTGGCAGGACCCAGCGCGGGGTTTGTGGGCGGATTCCCGTGTTCTTGCTGCACACCATGCCACATCCATGGCTTAAGCCTCTGCAGGAGCTTGGAGAGCTCTGAGGACTGACAGCCTTTGTGTTTCATATTAGGGGAATTTGGGGCCTGGTCTTGGGGAGAGCAATATGACCGCTGTAGTTGTAGTTGTGATCGGAGGGACAAAGAAGGTGTCCATCAGAGAGGTTTGTGCCAGCGGTTTAATTTCCTTTATTTCAGGACTGGAAGTTATTTAAATTACTTTATAGACTTCCTGTTTCCTTCCAAGAGCTCATTAAGTCCGTGCTGAACTGCTTGCTGGGTTGCCATAATGGAGTGCCTGGATCTGCAGTTCCCGTTCCGTCCTCCAGGGCACCCAGATTGGAGAGGCACGGGCGAAGAGTGGAGGGGAAAGTTTGAACAGCTTGTTTATGGTGACCCCTTTAATTGACATGCCATTAGGACTCGACATTTATTATTTTCCTCAAGGATAAAGCGTGCCCTGGACTCTGGACTCTGTAGAATATTTTCTGAAATGTGTTAATTTCACCATCCCATTTTGGAGAAGGGGCAGGCACCTCTCATCTGGCTGTAGGAGTGGGAACCCTGTCTACATTTTTGGTGATTGGAGTGCAGCATTGGACTAAATGGGGCGTTAGGAGCAGATTACGGGGAAGGCTGAGGATTCCCCTGGTGATCAGGAAAACACATTGGTGTAATTGGATTACCTTAACCCTTCATTTAACTTGATGGGAATGCTTTCAAACAGGGGTTCCGGAATATTGCTACAGCTTTTCAACCCTGTCCACAGGCAGCTCTTGAAGAGATGTGCATTTGACTAGATGATTTACCTTGAAACCTGCCAAGAGAATAATTTTAGGAAACACCCCCGCCCCTTGTGCCTCTTTAATTGTTCCGTCAGGAGGAACCTTGGTGCTGAGCACTGGTTCTGTTGAGAAGTGCTAATTAGAAATAATAGCTACAACAAACAAGTGTTAGGAGGCAGCCTAAGTGATGTCAACATCAAGAAGCTGTCATTGGCTCCCTGCAGATGTGCGGGCCAGCTGTGAGGCAGGGGAGCCTGCTGCTCCCTGCCATCCACCTGGGGAAAGGTAGAGGAGGTAGGAGTCGGATAGGCTGCCATAGCCAGGCCCCCTTGGCTCGATGACTTTTGTTCCTTGGTTTGAGGTTCTGTTAATGCACTCTAAGTCCCATTGGTACTCAATATGGACTCAATTTCAGCTGGTCCAGAAAGTCTTGGGGGAATCCCAGAAATGGCACCTGGGGGCTTGGGGAGGGGAAGTCATTCCATCCCAGGAGGCAGACAAGAATCCTTCTGAAGGTGGAAGTAATACAGCGACTTAAATATAACCTGAGCCAGACTTGCATGTCTAAGTGAATGCTGAGTCTTAAATATTCATTTACAATGTTAAAGTCTATAATTTCTTCATAAAGAATTCTAAAATAATAAAGATGACCTGGTAGGCAAAATTCACTTGTATTTTCTAAAAGCTTTTGATAAGGTCCCTTATAAAAGATTAAGAGAGAACAAAACCACAGTGTGGCACAAAGTCCTTGTTGTGGATTAAAAAATGATTAAGTGATAGGGAACAGAAGAATTCTGGTGGAGACCCACTGCTTGTAGCGGGGAGAGGTTAATAGAGGGGTGTCTGAGAAATCTGTCGTCGGGGCTGGAGTTATTAAGTATATTAATTGTTTGGAGAAGGAAATGGAGGGTGAATTAGTGCACTCGGCTGCTGCTACCCTGGTTTTTATAACTGGATTCAACCCAGAGAGTCTCTACAGCCCCGAATGCATTGGGGGATCGGGCAGCACAGTGGCAGAGGAAATGAAGTTTGAAGACGTCTAGGGTGTAATTCAGGTTGGCAGAAAGTCTGGTCCACGTGGGAAAGCTACCATGCCCCCTGAACTTGCCGCCTCTCCTGAGGACAGAGGTTCAGGAGTTATCGTGAGCAAACAGCAGTTCAGTGAAGTGACTTTTTAAGTACAAAACAGATAAAGGAAATTGGAGTGGGGAGTGGTGGGCTTGAAAAATAAAGGGTTTTCTTAGGAAGGATGAAACAGGCGCTGCTGTGCTGTTGGGCATCGCTTGTTGTCCTGTTAGAGTGAGGAGGGATGATTCTTTTCGTCTGACAATGTTCTTTTTTGTGCAGTTTTAGGTATTTTTAGAGTCATGAGGAGGGCAGCTGCTCTATTTGGAAGTGCTCACATCTTTATTTCTCAATGGGGATTTTGCACGTTATTCTGAAACATGTTAATACATGTAGGCAGCTAACGGTAGGGGGGCCTGTGGACAGGTCTGGTGGAATCACCAAATCATAGCAGATGATACTACGGATCTCTTAGCATAGACCACATGGCCTGGCATCTAGAATCTTGTGATGCGAACAGTGGGCCATACAGGGTGCTTGGGTGAGGAGTGATTTTGGTTGAGTGGGTGATAGGAGCAGGCAGCCAGGCTGGCCAGCCAGGCCGGGGGACCTGTCTTCATGTGTCCTGCCTTTTTGCAGTTCTTGTTTTTTTTGTTTGTTTGTTTGAGATGGAGACTAGCTCTGTCACCCAGGCTGGGGTGCAGTGGTGCGATCTCGGCTCACCACAGCCTCCACCTCCCAGGTTCAAGCGATTCTCCTGCCTCAGCCTGGGAGTAGCTGGGATTACAGGCGCCTAGCGCCATGCCCGGCTAATTTTTCTATTTTTAGTAGAGATGGGGTCTCACCATGTTGGCCAGGCTGGTCTCAAACTCCTGACCTCAGGTGATCCACCCGTCTCAGCCTCCCAGAGTGCTAGGATTATAGGCAGGGGCCATCGCGCCTGGCCTTTCTGCAGTTTTTGATGCCCCTCGAAGGCTCTTTGGTGCCTTCCTTCCGCGGCTGGAATGAGTTTCGTGTGCACGGCCATCCACCTTGAGAGGTTGTACCTTTCTGAATGGGCTGTTCCAAGCAAGCCATACATTTCTTTCTTGGTCAGTCTCCTTTATTTGCTAATTTCCTTTTGCTGTCTGTCTCTTTACATGGGTGCCACTTTAATTAAGACCTAGAGAAGTGCTGGCCTCCATGAGAAATGTGGCTGAGTCCCCTCTTTTGGCTGTGAGTAAATGCCTTTGTGTGGGTTGGGATCCCTAGGAGGCACCCCCCTAGGGAATTTTTGCAATCTTGGCCGAGCATAGTTAGAAGCTGCAATTACTACTTGGTTGCTAATTACCCAGCCTCACATTAGATCCGTTTACAGGGAGAGCTTGGAGCCTGTCAGCAAAGGTCAGCCGGAGGTCCTCTCACTAAACAGCCCTCTTGTGATAGCTGTTGGAGGGGAAAGGCATTAATGGGGGAAGGCAGGGAAGCTGGCTCTGGGCTGTAGGATCCTCGCTGTGGGGGATGGGAGAGGCAGAAGTGCTGTTGATGGCTGCAGAGGTCAGAGAGGCTGATAACCCATCTCATAACCTTTCTCAGGAGGCCTGGAGGAAGGCGGAGAAACGCTTTCATTTTGGAGGCTCTGCTCTAGCAAGGAGGGAGATGGATACTTAGAAGAAACTAGGACCTGTGGGTTGGGGACTTTTAATGGTTGACTATGTGAGAAAGATCAGTTCGGCGACAGCCTCTGAGAGTGGAAGAGACCCCTCTGCCCCCAACTCAGGGCATCATTTCTGTTGTTTCTTTGTACTGCCTATACTGTATTATTTGCTTTACATTTTTCTTTTCACGGGATCCTCCGTTATAACCACAAATACCCACCTTAGCATCATCCCGAGCAATTGTGTCTGAGGAATCACAGGCTCGTGCTGGTTGGATTGGCTCAGATAAACATTGACTGGCTAATGACCAGAATGTACAAAGTTCACCCACTCCCACCTGGAACCATCTAGCCCCTGGCCAGTGTTGCGTGGGTGAAACACCCTGAAAAAAGATGATGGAAAAGACACTGGCCTGGAAGTCTGAGTACTTGTGTGTGACCATGGACAAGTCTCTCTGCTTCTCTGAGCCTCAAAAGTGAGAATACGGCCTTTGTTGGATTGCTATGCAAATGACATGAGAACATGTTCTTTGTCTGTATAAATGTTAATAAATATTAATATAAGCATTAATAGCTAACCCCTATTAAGCATCTACTGTGCTAAATACTTCACTGTCTCATTAATCCTTACAACCCTATGGGGTAAAGATGATCCTACACCCATCATATGAGTGATGAACTTGAGGCCCAAAGTCTGTAGCAAATTTGCTGCTGTTAAATGGCCTCTGCGCTGGGATGCCAGCTCAGAGCATATACTCCTAGCCACGACAGCAGTCCCTCTTTATCCTTGGGGAGACATTCCAAGACACTTAGTGGAATGTCTGAGAGGGAGGATAGTATCAAACCCTAGGTAGACTATGTTTTTTTCTCTACCTACATGCCTATGATAAAATTTAATTTATAAATTAGGCACAGTAAGAGATTAACAGTGATAACTAATAATAAAATAGAACAATTAAAACAATATCCTGTAATGACAGTTATGGGAATATGGTCTCTCCTCTCTCTCAGAATATCTTACTGTACTGTAATGTGGGTAACTGAGGTCATGGAAGATGAAGCCTCGGATAAGGGACTGCTATACTATATTATCCTAATGCTATACAGTACATACTATGCTGTGTATAGGACTTCTTTGTCATTAACCCATTTCTCTCTCTTTTTTTTTTTTTAATTTTATTTTTTGAGACAGGGTCTCACTCTGTCACCCAGGCTGGAGTGCAGTGACGCGATCTTGGTTCACTGCAACCTCCGCCTCCCGAGTTTAAGCGATTCTTGTACCTCAGCCTCTCGAGTAGCTGGGATTACAGGCATGTGCCGCCACACCCGGCTAATTTTTGTATTTTAGTAGTGGCAGGGTTTCGCCATGTTGCTCAGGCTGGTCTCGAAGTCCTGGCCTCGAGTGATCCACCTGCCTCGGACTCTCAGAGTACTGGGATTACAGGCATGAGCCACTGCGCCCAGCCATTATTGACCCATTTCAAGGTGTTAGTTTAGTGCTTCTCTGATATCTGCCTGTTGGGTACATTATTAGACAAAAATCGTTTAAAGTGAGGAGAACTGGAAAGAAGAGGGTGCTCAGCTCCTCCAGGGTGGATCCCTTTTAAGATCGCTCAGCAGCTACAGCAAGGTCTTCAGCACTCAGTTCCTGTCTGTTTGTCCCATCCGTGGCTGGGACAGGCCTGGACTTCCCCATAGCTCTCTCCCGCCCGCTTCAAATCAGGGCAAGATCAGTATGTGGTGATGGGGGCCTTGGAGGCAGGGGCACGATGTGTGAGACTGATAACGTTCTTGCAGCCTGAGACATGGGCTTTAGAGCAGTTTCGAAACTCTGTGTTCTCTCTCTTCACAAGTACAATGCGTTTCCCTGGCATTTACAGGCCAGGACCTGGGAGAACGCCGTGTCGTCTTAAACCTCAGAAATTGCCAAGTGACAGTGCCAAGGGACGGGTTTACTGGTTTCCCCTCCATCGGACTGAGTGCAGCTGCCCTTCCCCACCCTCCTGCAGTTAGGGAGGCGTGTCCCTCTTTTGACTGGCTGAGTCAGAAATCAGCCAGGACTTAGCGCTTTTTGATTTGAACAGAAACGGTGGGGGGAAAAAAACCCAAACCTTGTGGTATTTTATAATTCGGGAAAGTTGGTCTAGAGAGGGCCAGCGAATTGGCTGTGGGACCCTGTTAGGGAAAGGTCTGGGCCTCCTGACTCCTGCTTTCTCTTTTCCTGAGCCAGAGGAGCCCCAGGCCTGTGCATGAAACATACTTGACAAAACTAAATTTTTACTGAATTTCCACCCCTTGGGTGCTGACTAACACCACTTCCCCACATATAACTCTGCGTCCGCATAATTAACATATAATTTGATACCTGGAAATTCATGCAGGGTGGAGCTGGAATGGATTACTCAGCTTTTGGCAATTCTTCCTGGGCTGTAGAACTCTGTGTGCTGCATCTTGCTTCTCCTGTTACTGCTAACTCATTTGGCCCATATTCTTCCCACTTATTTCTTCCTTCTGCCCTGGAAAGATGAGTGAAATAAGTATGTGGTATGTTTTTGTCATTGAAGCAACTGAAGGATTGTTGACTTATCCATGTGCACTGTCCACTTACCTAGTATGCGTGTTCTTAGCCTGCTTCTCGCATTGGCTGGTGGAGTTTGATAGTGCCATGGTTTCTTTTTTTTTTTTTTGAGACAGAGTGTCTGTCGCCCAGGCTGGAGTGCAGTGACACAATCTTGGCCCACTGCAACTTCCACCTCCTGGGTTCAAGCAATTCTCCTGCCTCAGCCTCCTGAGTATCTTGGATTACTGTCATGCAGCACCACGCCTGGCTAATATTTGTATTTTTAGTAGAGACAGGGTTTCACCTTGGCCTGGCTGGTCTCAAACTCCTGACCTCAGGTGATCCACCCGCTTCGGCCTCCCAAGGTGCTGGTATTATAGTCATGAACAGCCGCACCTGGCTCTGTTTTAATTTTTTTTTTTTTTTAATTTGAGACAGCGTCTTGCTGTCTTGCCCAGGCCAAGAGTGCAGTGATGTGATCTTGGCTCACCGCAGCCTCAAACTTCTGGGCTAAGTGATCCTCTTGCCTTGGCCTCTCTTAGCTGAGACCACAGGTGTGCACCACCACTTCCTACTAATATTTGTATTTTTTGTAGAGATGGGGTCTCCCTATGTTGTCCAGGCTGGTCTCAAACTCAGGGGCTCCTGTGATCCTCCCACTTTGGCCTCCCAAAGTGCTGGAATTGTAAGTGTGATCTCTGTGCCTAGCCAGTACCGTAGTTTATTTCATTGCCTGCTTCCTCATCAAGATGATGCCATCAGTATTAAAAAATGCAGTCAGTAATTATCAGTGAAGAATAAAGATGAAAAATTATGATGATTTTGCAATTTAAATTTATAGCATATGCTGATGGTTATAAGTTTTGTTGGAGAAATTATTTATTGTGTTGACACATGTATTAATGTGGGGGAATCATGGCTCTTAATGTACATGATACCTGCCTTTATAGATTGAAAGACTGGGTGAACCCTGACCTGTTGCAGGGACCCAGTTAGTGCAATTGAATTCCAATCAGGATCACTTGGAAATGAATCCAGAAATCCGCGTTATTTGAAAAGAAGTGATTTAGAGCAGTGCAGAGGGAAGATTGTATATGGTGTGAGCTCAGAGGAAGGCTGGAGTGAATCCCTTAATCAGAAATGTTTGGCGGGTTCCAGCCTGCATATCGACCCCTCGATGGCCACAGCTTCCTGATCCAGTGGCTGGAGAAGGATCTTGGGTCCGTGTACCAGCTAAGCATGCACCCTTCAGTCAGCTGCAGGAAAGGTGGGAGCGGGAAGAGTAGCTCCGGGACTGGCTGGCTGTTCCCTGCCCTAGACTGTGCTTATGAGCCTTTCAGGTTTTGAGAACTTGACTTTGGAAAGCTTCTAAATTTGTTCCTAGTGGGTTGATGTATTTTGTGGAGGTCAAATTAGAGCTAATGGCCTTAATGGTTTACAGTGCTCCTAAATGGTTCTTAGCACTTATGCAGGCTCGACTGGCCCTGTTGGGCGGGTTTCCAAGTGTGGACCATATTGTTCTTAGGGTATGTTTTTTGCTGAAGTTATTGTTGGGAGGACAGATATGTGCAAGTGAGGTTAAAAGGTAACAGCAGAATTAGCCACATATAATATTAAACTTTCTTTTGGTATCAAATCCAGGGAGGTGTTTGTTAACATGGGCCCCGTGAGCATATGTGAATGAATAGGGCGTCCAGCTTGGAGTTCAGTAGGTGGCGTTTGTCTGTCCTTTGCCACTTTGCCTAGGAGCAGGTGATTCATGAAAGGCAGTCCTAGGGAAGCCTCAGATTCCCTCCGGCCATTCCTGGTTGCCAAATAGTTCCTCTAAGAGCAGGTAGCCAGGTTAAAGGAATCCCTGGTGCATCCCTTCCAGCCATGCTGTGGTATCCATGAGTTCATGGCAAGGTCTTTGGCAAACGAATGATACTCTACATAAAACTGGCTCCAGTGTTCTGATTTCTGTGTGTTTGGGAGTAGGTGGGGCAGAACCAGATGTCTATAAAGGAGCTGCATGTCTGTACTGGTCCACACCATTGAAGCATACATGTGTACACAGGCACAGTGTGGGGGCAATGACCTCCCAGAGCTGCTGGTTGCAGCTGAATGGGAAGAAAATAGGGCAGGTAGAGGTCCCTCTACCTAAACTGAGGTGGCAGTGGCAACGGAGACCAGGAGCACTGGTGAATGATTTCTCCATGCTTTGATCGGGGAGGGTGGGAGGTGGAAGCAGCCTCCACATCATCTTACTTTGGCCTGTCAGCTCTCAAAGTGGTGTCCCTTCAATTGCAAATGTTGTTTTGAAGGCCTAGTGCTGTAGAAGTCTATTACAGGTAAAATATTCTTAGCTGCTATGAGAGTTGAGTGAGGGATGGGTGCTTGCCTTCTAGCTGCTGATGGAATGACTACTGAATTCTCCTTAAAACTTGAGTTCTTTGTTTTGTGTTGAGACAGGATCTCACTTTGTTGCCCAGGCTGGCGTGTAGTGGCTGGATCACAGCTCCCACAACTCACTGCAGCCTCAGCCTCCTGGACTCTGGTGATTCTCCCACCTCAGTCTCCCGAGTAACTGGGGCTACAGGTGCTCGCCACCACACCTTGCTAATTTTTGTGTTTTTCGTAGAGGTGGGGTTTTGTTTTCGTCGTGTTACCCAGGCTGATCTCAAACTCCTGGGCTCAAGCGGTCTGTCTGACTCGGCCTCCAAAAGTTCTGGAATTACAGGTATGAGCCACTGCACCTGGCTGGGTTCTATGTTTTTTCCATTTCACACTCTGAAAACACACCTTCGGTATATTTGCAGAGCCCTGAAGTCCTGGGGCTGCCATCCTTAATCGCAGGACCCAGTGGCTTTCCCCTAAGAGGTCCGAAGAACATGATTATACTACCTGCGAGATGCCTACTTATATTGAAAAATATGTCTGCATTGCAGTTCCTCTTGAACATGAGGTGACAGCATTGGAGACGGTGCCGATAATTCAATAACTTGCGTCTCGAGGAAAACGGTGGTGTCTGTGACCAAGAAGGAGTTAATTTCCACTGCTAATAAAAACTAAATGGGTGCCTTGGGCATGATAGAACTTGGGACCCAAGCCCAGTTCAGCAGCCCAAGTCACAGTTGAGTAGTGTTGGCGGAAATGCATTCTACAATCAGCATTTGACCATGTTCAGTTAGCTTCATGGCCACCAAGTTCTCCAGAGAAGTTTTAATTACAAACCAAGGTGGTGTGGTTTCTTAAATGTGTTAGAACAAATGGATGTCAGCCCAAGGAGCCCTGAGCAGCCCCCCTCCATCGATAAAACCCCATAATTATCACATGGCGGGTCCTAAGGAGGAAATCTGAAGGCCCTGAGTGGCTGTCGGCTGTGCTTCCGTCCTCCCCTTCCTGAAGTTGGGGGCAGGGTGAGGGTGGAGAAGGACAGTCTGTTCTTTAGAGAATCTGAGAGTGAAGCTCCACCCAGGACGGGCCATGGAGTGCCTGTCCCTGGGAAGAACATGTTAACCGCCCAGGGGTGAGGCCTGCTTTTTGGGAGTGGGAGATTGTGGGGAGTTGGCGGGGTGGGGGGTGGTTAAAAATGGAAGACCTTGAAATGGCAAATCTTTATTAGTTTTGTAAACAGCTTTAGGAAGCGCTGGGAGCATCTTGCAGGGACCCTGCAATTATCATAATAAACAGTTTTATCATCTGCTTGGCAATCAATATTGTGGCTTACACTGCTTTAGTATCTCAGTGGTATTGATTACCTTAACAACTGTGCTGCGGTCAGCTTCCATTAACCCCTGCTCTGCCGGCAGAGCCTGTGCCTTCCCTGGTTGGGCGGAAGACTGCTCTGGTCACAGCCCAAGCAAGTGCCAGAATGTGACAGCTGCTAGTGAGTTCAACACAGCTTGTATCTGAGAGCGTCCAGGAGAAGGGAGGGTTTTAACCAGGGAATCTGGAAGCCAGTACAACTTTTTAAAGGCGTCTTTTTGTGTGTGTGGAGACAGTGTATTAAAACAATTATAGCAGTGGGATTTCAACTATGACTCAGGAATTTGAATCTCAAGAGCGAAAATTCCATTTCTTCCCTGCCTTGAGTCTGTCCAGTCCAATGTTGTTCTCAGCTCTGCCTCGCCCTCCCTGGGGAAAAATTGACGTGTGTAGAATTTAATTGAGGACACCCTTATGCAACTGGCTTTCCTGGGACTCCCCTCACATTTGTTTTGTGATCCACATTTGACTTTTACAGAGAAACCACTTATTTGGGGACATCTAGTTCTAGGATTCAGGTTCCCCTGGATGTCTGGAGTTACATAGTTGATCATAAGATGACAGAATGCTGGAGAGAGATGTCGGTGGCGCCTGAGATGATATCAGCCTCACTGGATAGCCCATCTCTGGTGTGGTTCATGTTTACGTTCCCCTTTTCTCCTGATGAGAAGGTGACAAGGACAGTTTAGGAGAGCAGCTGGAGTCCAGTCTCCAGACAAAGCCAGTAGGCAGACCCCATCATTTCGAGATTACGTAGTATTAAGTGACGTTTCTCAGAAACTTGGGACAAGATCTTGCCTGTGGGGGCGTGTTGGTGTTCGTAGTGGTGGTGGTAGGGGTACGTGTGTGTTGGCTTTGTTTTTTTCCTCTTTTAATTGCTCTATTTTGTTTTAAATATGAGAGATGTATGTGTATATGTGTATAGGTATATATGCATATTTATATAAATATATCCATATGTATACTATATACATGTACATGTATACATACATATGTAAACATGTAATGCATATAAATTTTATATGTATAAATTCTGTTGAGGCCTGGGGTGAGCTTGCACACGATAGTGAGGTTTAGCCCCTTCGCCCCAGCCTTATTGAAGACCATCACGGGGTCCTCAACATTGCAGACCCAGCAACACAGGTGCTGTTCAACCTAAGGGACATTGACCTATAACATTGACCTCTAAGCCATCTACCACATCTCCTCAGTGAATTTTTTTTTTTTTTTTTGAGTCAGAGTCTTGCTCTTTGGCCCAGGCAGGAGTGGAGTGGTGTGATCGTGGCTCCTTGCAGCCTCAACCTCTTGAGCTCAAGTGATCTTCACACCTCAGCCTCCCAAGTAGCTGGATTCACAGGCGTGCACCACCATGTCTGGCTAATTTTTAAGGATTTATAGAGACGAGGTCGCACTGTGTTGCCCAGGCTGGTCTCAAACTTCTGGGCTCAAGTGATCCTCCCACCTCAGCCTCCCAGAGTACTGGGATTATAGGCATGAGCCACTGCACCTGGCCTCACCAGTGAATTTTTCAAGTTTGTGAACACAAGTTTCATGGAGTCACTGGGGAATGGAGGAGGAAGAGGCAGTAGATAGACTAGGAGGAAGGTTGAATCAGGGCAGCTGCCACCTTCCTGACTGTCTTGCCAGGCTGCAGCCTGTGGCTTGCTTATTCCTCTTTGCTGCCTGAGAGGAGCCAGGAGTGAAACTATCAGATGGGGAGGAAGCCAGCAGACAGGTTATTCAGATAAGGGCTGAGGCCTGTGCTTGAAGGAGCGTGAGCAGGTATAGGCAAGAAGGCTGCAGGTGTATGAGATTCCCACCCATGGGATTTAAGCCCCAGCTGGTCAAGGGTTCATGCAAAACAGGGTCAGGAAGCCAGGCCATAGAGAGCCAACAGCAAGATGGAAGGTTCTGGACTATAACTGGTGGGGCCGGGGGGTAATGGCAAGATATGACTTTAGTATCAGACCACAGGCTTACTGAGCAGGGCCTTACCCTGTACCCACACTTGGCAGTGGGTAGTTAGACCTGTGCTGGTGAGGGAAGGGCTCCAAGGACAGATGGTAGGAATGGTGTTTGACATGTGGTTGGAGAGTTGCATGGAGCAATGGCTTAAGCAGCCTTTCTCTCTCTCTCTCTTTTTTTTTTTCTGAGACAAGATCTTGATCTGTCACCCAGGCTGGAGTGCAGGGGCACGTTCATAGCTCACTGCAGCCTCGAACTCCTGGGCTCAAGCGATCCTTCTATCTCATCCTCCTGAGTAGCTGGGACTACAGGTGGGTGCCACCACTCCCAGCTAATTTTTTAATTTTTGTAGAGATGGGGGTCTTACTATGTTGCTGTGGCTGGCCTCGAACTGCCAGGCTCAAGTGATCCTCCCGCCTCGGCCTCCCAAAATGCTAGGATTACAGACATGAGCCATCGCACCTGGCCTAGGCCTTCTCTGTCGACCCCTTTGGGGTTGCCCTCATTCCAGCTGGGATGTTCGGGGATCCTGGTCATTGTTTTGTGTTCTGGATCTACTCACTCTGCCCCCACCCTTCCTCTGCCCAGATTACCTCATTCCATGAATTGGAAAGGTTTGTTTTCCGCATTAATGCTCTTCCTAAAAATGTCACTCAGCTTAGTCAGTTGGACTAAGAAGGTGGTCAGTGGTTATTAAGTTGCCTCATAAGTCTCATTGTTTTCTATCACGGTAGGAACAGGGGCTTCCAAGGGCTCCACCGTGATGGCAGAAAGTGGACTAAAGAAACTGCTCACACCCATAGAATAAGCGACATTCCTGACGGGGAAGAAGCCGGTTTCCTTCTTTTCTGTTTTACATAGATATGTGCACTTTGCTTGGGTCATGCTACAGTAATCCTGGGGCCCAAATCACCCTTTACGTTACCCCCACTGGTCCTAACCTGAACTCTGCGTTGACATGAGCTCCTCTGAGTTCAGCCTCCTTCATGAGGAGCTCCTGGACGTTGACAGCTTATTACATCTTTTTACAAATAGCCTTTTGAGCCGAGTGGTCAGTCTGCTTTGGATGACAGTGTTGTCTTTGCAGTCTAGGGTCTAAGAGGAGGAGTTGCACCCAGGCTACTCCTCAGATCTTAAACTTTTTTATGGGCCAAAGATCCTTGCTTCAGCACTTGGTGCTTTAGTGGATTTGTTTCTCGGGCCCTCCACCATTCTGGCCTATGTAAAAATTTACGACTTAATGTCTTGCCATCACTGTTCTGGTCTGTGTGGAGCAACTCAATATTTGGTGGTGTGTATAACTCTACTCCACTGAGGTGTGATCAATGAAAATACCTCCTTTGGGTCTTTGGCATCCTATCTTTTTCTCGTATTTAGATGATACATGTTTTGGAAGGATTTGGAAGCTTAGGCATGCAGCAGGTAGGTTTCTGTCTTTATTCTTCTTGTTTCTCTGTGAGTTGGTGATTCTCTTTAAGGAAATGATGCCTTCATGGAGCCAAGAGCACCACAGTAGAAACTGTAGCTTGTGTCCTGGTCCTTGCTCTGCAGCTAACCAGTTGCAGGACCTTGAGAAAGAATGACTCGTAGGAGTCACTCAGATGTTTGAATGAATTATTTTTTTAAACCTGTAAAATCGAAAATATGATTCCCATTCTATTTAAAAAGATTGTTAGAGGTCAAATGAGAGTGTTTGAAAATGTGTAGAAAGGCTGGGCGCTGTGGCTCACTCCTGTAATCACAGCGCTTTGGGAGGCCAAGGCGGGCAGATCACCTGAGGTCAGGAGTTCAAGACCAGCCTGGCCAACATGGTGAAACCCTGTCTCTACTAAAAATACAGAAATTAGCCGGGCATGGTGGTAGGTGCGTGTAATCCCAGCTACTCAGGAGGCTGAAGCAGGAGAATCGCTTGAACCCGGGAGGTGGAGGTTGCAGTGAGCCGAGATGGCGCCACTGCATTCCAGCCTGGATGACAGAGCGAGACTCCATCTCAGGAAAAAAAAAAAAAAAAAAAAGGAAAATGTGTAAAACGCTGTGTGCATGGAAGAAGCATTGTTATGTGCCCTTTGGAAGGCTGGTGCTGGGTGTGACTGTGCCCTTGGTCACATATTGGGGTCCCCGTGAAGAAGTCCATTGCACAGAGTGCTTCTGGGGAGCTTGCAGCATGGTGATGCGTATTGAAGTTGGAGGGTGTGCTGGATGTTGGGGGTGGGTATGGGCCCACATATGGCCAGAAGCCCACTTACCACTGGGCCGTTTACCTACAGAGCCACACTAGAGAACCAGCCCAATTGGGAGCAGTTCAGTTGAGGCTTTGCAAAGCAATTAAGGTGCTTATAAAACATTCATGCTGAGATAAAAGACAGTGTGCGCAAAAACAATGGCTGGTAAACATCTGATTTTTTAAACTCACTGAAAGTGTTAAAAATATTTTCTTAACCCGTTGAGTCAAGAAGTGGAGGCTTTTAATTCAACGGATGTATATTCTTCTTAATCAGACTTTGGCTCAAAGCTTGAAATCAAGCTGTTATATAACCTTAGGCTGTTAACTTTTGTAAACAGGCGCATTTTTGCTCAGTAATGATCGTGATAGCTACCACTTATAAAGGCTGTCAGGTGCTATGCCCAGGCGTGATGCATATTGTCTTTTTCTGTGTTCTTTTAAACATTAGCAGCCTGGTGGTGCTTGGTACCTTCTAAGAGAAGGAGTAAGAGTGGGGGTCAGTAGATGGTGGTGTTTGAAAGGAGCTTTAGAGATAGCTGGGGCCCGGCCTGGGAGGAAAGCCCTTCGGAAGAAAGGAGAAACCCACATTTCTTTGAAAAAAGGCTTGGCTTGCCATGAACGTATTGACTCAAGACTGAATCTCTTGGTTCTGGTCAATGCTGTTCTTTTAGAAGATGTTCCTGATAGCGAATGGTAACTTTTAAGGAAAAAAAAAATTACTGTATAAAAGTAGAAAGAATGATATAATGAACCCTTCCATAGTTCTATCACCTTGACTTAACAATGAACTTTTGGCTAGATTTGTTCCGTCTTTTTTGTCCGTTGCTGAAATATTTTGAAGCCAACGATATCATGCTGCTTCATCATTTTCTTATGTAAACATAATATTATTCCCTAACAAAACTGACTTTTTTTGAGACAAGGTCTCACTCTGTGGCCCAAGCTAGAGTACAGTGGTGCGATCACAGCTCATTGCAGCCTTGACCTCCCTGGTCTCAAGCAATCAAGTAGCTGGGACTACAGGCGCACACCACTGCACCCAGCTGTTTTTGTTTTTTTTTTTTTAACTTTTGGTAGTGATGGGGTTTCACCTTGTTGCCCGGGCTGGTCTCAGACTCCTGGGCTCAAGCAATCTGCCCGTCTCAGCCTCCCAAAGTGCTGATACTTGAGGTTTGAGCCACTGCCCCTGGCCAAAACTGACATTATTAACATGATCTAATCCCAAGTTGCAATTCAGACTTATCTGATTGTCCCCAAAATGGCTTTTTACATTTGGCTGGTTAGAACTGGCATCCATACGAAACTACATAGCGCATCTAGCTGTTGTTTGGTTCTTAGGTCCCCTTTAATCTAGAACAGTTCTCCTCCTTCCCCAACGTCCATGTGAGCCCCTACCCATCCAGCCAGCCTGTGGATTTAAAAGGATGATGCGGAGTAGCTTCATGTGGGAGGAAGGCACTGTTAGTGTGGTGTGAAGATACCCAGGTCTTCGTCCTAGCTCTGCCACTGACCGGCTCTCTGACGTCAGCAAACCACCAACACCCTGTGGGGTCAGTATTCTTGTCTATCAGTGGAAACAGTGAGACTAGCTGGCCTCACACTCAAGCCTTCTCATTATTACCTCCACAAAGAGATCCGGGAAATAGGGCTGCACGCCCTACTTGCACCTAGTCTTATCCCATTCTCAGCAGTTGAGAAATTACTGGAGCTAAATAATCCTGACCAATTGATTTTTTTTTCTCTTGGACATTGTAAATAGTGTACCTTTAAAAGCATACCTAGCATGCCTTTATCCTCTTGACTTTTAGAAAGCTTAGAGCCAAATTTGACTCAGTGTGTAGGTTATTCTTACATGCATTTTAAGCTTGATTTTTTTGGTTCAAAATTTCCTCCAGTTTTGTTTTTTCTTTCTTCTTTTGCCCGGGCCTCAATTTATGCTATGATGTTGTATTGTATATTGTAAACAGGATCAATAAATAACTGTGTGCTAGGTATTCTTATGGGGCCATCACCTAGTCTGTAAGCGCATTGATTTCGGGGTCCATGTCTTATATATTCTTTGCTTTGTTGAGGCACAGATTAGGTACTCAATAAAAGCTTCCTGAGAGATTTTGGTTGGACACATTGCCATCACTGGTCCATGTAAAATTTCCATTTTAACAGTGAAGAGTTGTGGGGAGCAGTGTTAATTTCGGACTGTGCCCTGGTTCTTCTGTGATCCATCTTTCCTATGGCGAAATGGCCTGTGGAGGTCTGGAGAGCCACCTGGCTGGTGGTGTTTTTCATAGAACTTGTCTTTTTGAGGAGCTCCTTGCTGTTTTTTCCATAGGCCTTAGGTAAGCAAAGCAATATTTGGCAGGCAAACAGTTGGAGGGATCTTAACTGCTAAAACAGTAACCATTCTGCGTATTCCGAAGAGAAGCCCACCTGTGGTTCCAGCCTTGGACACAGGAGCGCTGTTGTTGGGTGCTGAGGATGATGGAGGTGGATTAGTCACAATCTATCATCTGCTACATCTGTAAAAGAGTAAAGTAGCCCATCACATGTGCTCCACGCTCTCTTAGGACTCAGGTGTGAGCTCTCCTGTTGACACTCAGCTTTCCTTTGCTGCTTGTGAGAGTTTGGCCTGACCCTCAGGAAGGTGTTGGTACCAACTGGTTCTCTCCTTTACCTTCCTAGACCTCTGCCTCTTCATCTATCCAGGAGAGAGAGGGAGAAGAACATCTGTCCTAGAGGGTTAGGTGAGGACCAGAGTCTGGGCATGGTAAGCACCTAGCACAGTGCCTGGCACATAGTAGGCACTCAATAAATGGTAAGTGCCTTCAGGATCATCTCTATGACTGGCTGGAGGACATCTTTACAACTGTTGTATAGTGGCCTCCCCTTTTCTTGTTTGTTGACATTTGGAAGGGGATCCCAAGGGGCTGTGGAGATTGGTTGTAAGGATGTTTATTCTGCATCCCTGGAAGACTTTGCTGTAATCCATAGAGAAGCACCGAGGTGCCTTGTTGGTTCAGAGTCCAACGATGTCTCCCACCCCCGGCCGATGCTCTCCTAGGCCAGCAGCGTGGCGCTGGTCTTTTATTTTTCTGGGAGGAGAGCACTTCCAATCCTCTGGGCAGTGTGGACTTAGCCCAGAGGAAGGCGAGACCTCGGTCAGGGAGTGGGGGAAGGGGTCCTGGGTGTGGCTGGGAAGTTGAGGCTTATGGCCTGCAAGTTTTCTTCTAATGGAATTTCCCATCACTTACTGCCCTGCTGATTTCTGATCAATGAAAATGAAATTGCATCACCTCCTCAGAGGCTCCACGTATGCCTGCTGCTTCCAGCTGTGTCAGTTCCGGTAAAATAATCTCATCAGGCGTGTGAGAGGGTAATAGGAAATAAAAATAAAAACCCACAATTAACAAGAGGCCTTGTAGCTGAGTAACACTTTCCATCCCAGAGCAGAAAGGGCTGGGTCGTGAATGCTCGGGAAAGAGTTCCTTAGAAAGAAAAAAAATCCCAGGCTGGGTGCGGTGGCTCACGCCTGTAATCCCAGCACTCTGGGAGGATGAGGCGGGCAGGTCACCTGAGGTCAGGAGTTTGAGACCATCCTGGCCAACATGGTGAAACCCCGTTTCTACTAAAAATACAAAAATTAGCTGGGCATGGTGGTGTGCGCCTGTGGTCCCAGCTACTCAGGAGGCTGAGGCAGGAGAGTTGCTTGAACCTGGGAGGCGGAGGTTGCAGTGAGCCGAGATCGTGCCACTGCACTCCAGCCTGGGCAACAAGAGTGAGACTCTGTCTCAAAAAAAAAAGAAAAAAGAAAAAAAATCCCTGGTCCTTTTCTTCTTCCCCTTTTTCTTCTCACTTCCCCTGAATTCCATCTCTCCCCTCCACCCTGGGGTGCATGGTTTGAAATTGTGCACAGATTTTCATTGCCCCGCTTTTGGGGTCAGTAGAATTTCTGTGTGATATGCTCATGCTGGTGTGGCTTTTG
This sequence comes from Homo sapiens, assembly GCF_000001405.40. NCBI lineage: Eukaryota > Metazoa > Chordata > Mammalia > Primates > Hominidae > Homo > Homo sapiens. The sequence goes on along the minus strand of NC_000016.10, from coordinate 72,977,689 downwards.
CTTTTTTTTTCCCTGAGTCCCCTGCAGGTAGACACCAAGTGAATCGTAGAGATCCCAGCCTCTCCTCAAGAGCTGTGTGGAGAGTGATTTTTTTCCCCCCACTGACCCACGACAGGGAACTAATAGTTGGGGAACAACTCAAAGTCGAGTGCAGGTTGTACATAGACTTCTAAGAGGTGGTTCATGTTAGTTCCTAGACTTTATGCTTCAATTCTAACTCCTTTAAGAATAAGACTCCCCTCTCTGCAGCATTCCCCATAATGCAGCATGTGTCGTGAGCATGCGACCCTATAAATGGACACTGGTCACGTGAAAGCTGGGCTGAGCCACCTCCTTGTGCAGTGCAGTGAGTGTGTCAACCCGCCAACCCTCAGCACCTCTTCATAAGACCTGGGGAGGCCAGACGCTGCGTCTGGAACCTGCTGCACTGTGTGTGGAGTTTATAAAGTCGCTGGTCCCAGCTTAAAGAGGAACCAAGGCCAAAGAAACCAGGATGGGAATGCAAAGGGCAGGTGAGGAAGTGGGAAACCAGTTGGGTTACCTAAGAGGAGCCAGTAGAAATGAAATCATATCCTTTCTTGTCAACTCGACATCAAAGGAGAAGAAATGCTTATGTGTAGGCCGGTTCAGTGGTTCTGCAATTTCTCATCACCATTTGTGGGATGGCATGCCCTTCATCCCAGAGAAAAACATGTTGGGCTGTCAGGAAATGGTCAACCTAAAATATCCCTAAAATGCCTTTGATGGGTGACTCCCATGTGGACTGAAGGCGAGACCCCCGTGGGGGTTAGAACTCCCGGGGCACTGGCGGAGTTGAACCGAGGTCTCAGGGCCTCCGGGTTCCCCAGCACTGCAGGGTCTCAGGGCGGCGGTGCCACTTGTCCAGCCATGAGATGCCATGGTCAGTGTTTTTAAACACAGTGGACCTCAGTCAGTTCACTGTGACCACACCTTGTTAATAGAAGGACAGATTCTGGCATCAGAGCAGGTAGACTCTGGAATGAGGCGAGCAGTAACCCAGATAATTGTGTTGACATAGTGAATCCCAGTGGCCACGTGGAGTGCTGAGTCCATTTCTACCGGGGTCCTGATCACTGCCTTCCAGTTCCTTCCTTTGCCTGCCTGGACGCTACTGAGAGCAAGCTCGTAGGAGTCTGTATCGACAGGAGGGACGCGCTGTGTATGTTGTAGGCACTCAATAAATATTGTGGCACGAATGAATAAAAATCATTAGAACAACCAGTGAGTAGTTGGATAAGTATTATGCAGAGGAGCTTAAAACTATGACCACTGGGGCTGGAACCCCAGTAGCCTCTGTGTTATTGAAGTCAAAGAAATTGGCCCCATTCACCATCCAGATTTGATTCCCCGAATCTTACCATGGCTTAACATGGGAATCTTTTGGAACTGCAGGAACAGTTGCCAAAATTTGTTCTGGCGCTGTCCAAGATTAGAACTGCTGGCTGGAAGTTTTGGTGGAATGAGCAGAGCTCTAGGCATGAAAGGAGAGAGGGTGCAGCTTCAGAAAGAAAGCTGAAGTTCTTTATGTTAACATGCATTTTTCATATGTTTGTGTGTTTGCACAAATACGCTTCCCCTCTTTCATCCTAGACACTTAGCACAGGGTCTTGATCTACATTGATCACATTTTATGACTTGAGCTGGCAATTTCTCCCCTGGGACCAGACCTAACCAGGGTGTTCAGGAAGCCATTAAGGAAAAATATGTAACCACACTCATTCCCAAACTCAATTGTTCTGTCTTAGCAGTGCTCAGATAAGAGATTTTCAAGCATAATTAATCCAAGTACTATTTAACGTGGCCTTGGTGGTTCTTCTTAGCAGCTGTTGACCCAAACGCAGCATTGGGAGCAGCAAGAGGAGAAAGACCATCTGTGCCATTTTTGCTGAGTTGGTGAGGGTGTAATTATTGCCCACAGTCACTTGGTTCTCTGGGTGGCTTCTGGAAGGTTAAGGAAGTGTGAGCTCTTGGATCCTTACACTTCAAGAAGAAATTTTCCTTTGTTATTTTAGCTAACTATCAGGGCCGCTCTTTGAAGTGGCCAGTGGTAAGTATGTCTCAATATGGATTTCTTGATTAAAAGTAACAGTGCAAATAATGGGCTTTGTAATTACCATGTGGGATGGAGAAGGGGCCATGAAGAAGGGGACATGTGATCACGTTTCATGATCCCCTCTCTTCCCCCTGTACACCCCTCTCTCCTGATTGTATTGTATTTTATTTTGTTTGAGACAGAGTCTCACTCTGTCTTCCAGACTGGAGTGCAGTGGCACGATCAGCTCACTGCAACTTCTGCCTCCCGGGTTCAAGTGATTCTGCTGCCTCAGCCTCCTGAGTTAGCTGGGATCACAGGCGCCTGCCACCATGCCCGGCTAAGTTTTGTATTTTTAGTATAGAGGGTGTTTCACTATGTTGGCCAGGCTTGTCTTGAACTCCTGACCTCCAGTGATCCGCCCACCTCGGCCTCCCAAAGTGCTGGGATTACAGGTATGAGCCACCACACCTGGCCCTGATAGGGTTTTAAGCTTTGGAATTTGGAAGTCTTTCAAACAAACTCAGAGTGCCAGCAGAATCCATGCCCCCTTCAGTCTGTCTCAAAGCCCTTGCGTCCTGGTGGTAGTTCTTGCTGCCGGTTCACTTTACCCTAAGAAAGAGAATCGAGATAGGAGCAACTCTCTGGGCCTCTAGGATTTGAGGACTACTCATGATGAAATAAACCTCTCAAGCCTTCAGTCTAGTGCAGTGAGTTATCTAGGAGGGAATTCAGTGATGGGGTCTCTGTGCATAGCATGCCTCCACCAGATAGGAAGTTGGGTGGAAGCTTAGTACGCACATCCCAAAGGGGTCTCTCGAGGGTGCCCAGTCAAGGCATGGGGAAGACCCCGTGTACGATTTTGCTTTTGCAGTAGGCATCCCCTTTTCATGCCTTTACCAATGTCTCTACCTTACAGTGGCCATTACTGCTTTGTTGAGTGTCCCTTTGGCTTCCCACTGCTTGAAAAGCTCTTTATGCCAGCAGGCCAGGGATATCTGAAGAACTCGCTGTGCCCGTGTTGGTGAGAGGCTGTGTGTGTGTGTGTGTGTGTGTGTGTGTGTGTGTTGCCCTATCAGTGAGCCTCCAAAGGGCAATCCTTGTTTGTTTTGTCATGGTGCCAGTTCCGGAGCCTCGTGCCAGAGCAAGCTGCCGATGGTGAGCCCACCGAGTGGTTTTCTTCCTGCCGAGAGGAAAACACACTCCTTGTTTCAGAGTCATTTTGGAGATAACTGCTGTGGGAAACTTTCCTTCGCCCAAGGCCAGCTCTCACCTCACCCTTACAGGTTTTCCCCATTGTCCTGTGTGTGCCATTTGGCGGAATCATTGCGAGGACGTACCTCTGTCCAGCAACGTTGAATGGTGTTTCCCAGGTGCTCTAATTAGCTGCCACAGGCCCAGAGAAAAGCAGCTGTACCATGTTCTTCATTTGTTCTCAGGTAGATTCGATGTGAATAAAAGAAAACTTAAGGCTCCTGGCTGCTTCTGCCTGCATTCCCCAAACTGCCAAGTGCAAAGAATCTGACCAAGTTCATTTCTCTTGGGTTTGTGCAGCCTTGAATGATAGCACTTACTTCTGTTCCAATTAGTGTTCTGCTGACTAAGAGCTACCTAATAGGAACTTAGGAACCATAGTAGACTCATCTTTCTATTAAACTAGTGAACCCGGCTTTGATAGCCCTTCCCAGGAAGCGGGAACCCAGGGGTTCACTTGCATGTAGTTCATACCTGATTTTTTCTCCTTCCGAGTAGAGTTTTTTTTTGGAGACAAAGTCTTACTCTGTCGCCCAGGCTGGAGTGCAGTGATTTCGATCTCTGCTTACTGCAACCTCCACCTCCCAGGTTCCAGCAATTCTCATGCCTCAGCTCCCCAAGTAACTGGGATTACAGGCGCCCACCACTACGCCTGGCTAATTTTTGTATTTTTAGTGGGTTTCTCCATGTTGGCCAGGCTAGTCTTGAACTCCTGACTTCAGATGATCCACCCGCCTTGGCCTCCCAAAGTGCTGGGATTACAAGTGTGAGCCACCATGCCTGGCCAATAGGCGAGGATTTTATTGGCCAAGTACAACTTGAGCTTGTGCTTCTTTAAGGATATCCCAGGTTTGGATGAGTGTTGAGGAAGAGAAAGGCTATTCAAAGGGCCTGGGGTTGTGGGAACAGAGTTGATAATGCATCAGAATGCAGAGATGATGGGGAGGAATCCTAGTTGGAGGGAAACGACACAGGTGATTGAATGGTAGTGTTAGTGGTAGATCTTGGGGTGATTTGAAACCGCTCTGGAGAGTTTCAGTTTGAATGTGTTTTGGTAGTTGTTTCTTGGATGGGGAAGGATGGGGATGAACATGATATTGGGAAAGCCAGACTGATCTTTCCTTTCTGTTTTCTGCAAAGATGGCACCAAAAGTTCCTTCCAGAGAGACCAGGGCCGACAGTGAGGGGGCAGTGTCCTTTGGACATGTTGAGCCATGCTGAGTCTTGGTTGGTGGGACACTAGGCATGTACAGACATCTTCTGGTCTTCTGAAAGTATGAGACACATATTCAAGTGCCAAGTCAGGAATGGACATTTTTGCTTTGGGAGTCAGCTCGTAATTTCAGTAATTGAAACCGCAGAAGTAGTTAAGGTAGCTGATGTACAGAGTTAAGAGCAGAGAGCCAAGGGGGAAGAGTACAATGACGCTTAAATACCTACAGGAGAACAGGGAGGAGAGATGTCTGTGAGTTGAAATGATAAAAGAATTTTATCGAATAAGTGGAAAATGTACCCATGGAGAGCTGTAGGAATGGGGAGAGGACAGGCAATGTAGAGATGACAGAGGTGGGAGGAGGGCCAGAATATGTCAGAAGTGAAGTGGGGGAAGATTTCAAGGAGTAGAGGGGGAAGCAGTTTTGAATGCAGGGGAGATTGAAGCTTAAAGTAGAGGAGGAGGAACCATTGACCAAGACCAGGAGGACACCGATGACTTTGGACAGAGGACAGAAATCTTGGCGACATAGTGCCTTCCCACCCTCCCGGAGCAGATACCCAGCCCTTCAGAGAGCTAGTCTTGTGCTCTGGGCTGGGGCTTGACATCCATATGTATTTTTATTGTGCCGCATAGTTGGTTCCACTGCACAAGAAAGCTTGAAAATGATTGATGCAGTTTGGCCCTTTATAATCACATAAAGGAGGGGGACTTCACTTGAATACAGGAAAATTGATGTGGAGCAAATGAAGCAGTGGACAGAGTCCACTCTTTGGATGGAGTTGAGATCTGAAGGACAGAGAACATCTTCTGAACTGGCAGTGTAAGTAGGTCAGACTCTCTCCTGTCCAGGAGCTTATAGGATGGTGGACTGGTAGGAACTCAAGGGGGAGGGATCACCAGTCAAATTCTGCAAAACCCTTTCATTACTCACTCAGAAAAGGACAACACACACCTGCCATAGAAATAACAGGCAAGGCCGGGCATGAATGCTCACACCTGTAATCCCAGCACTTTAGGTGGCCGAGGTGGGTGGATCACCTGAGGTCAGGAGTTCAAGACCAGCCTGGCCAACATGGTGAAACCCTGACTCTACTAAAACTACAAAAAATTAGCCGGCCGTGATGGTGCACACCTGCACCTGTAATCCCAGTTGCTTGGGAGGCTGAGGCAGGAGAATCGCTTGAATGCAGGAGGTGGAGGTTGCAGTGAGCTGAGATCGCCCCATTGTACTCCAACCTGGGCAGCAGGGTGAAACTCCGTCTCAAAAAAAAAAAAAAAAAAAAAAAAATTAATAGGCAGTTCACAAAAGAAATGTAGACTGCCAGTAAATATCCATAGATGGGTTCTGTCTTATGAGTAAAGAATGTGAGTTAAAATGAGATGCCATTTCTTGCCTGTCAAACGGACTTTTAAAAATAACAAAGTAAATACCCACTGTTGATGAGGGTGCAGGAAAACTGGTGCTCACACACCAGTGCAAGCAGGAGTGGAAAGGACTTTCCTGGGGGACAGTTTGGCACGTTCCAGAGGGCCTTAAATGTTCCTAGCATTTGAGTCAGCAACTCTACTTCCAGAAATGCATCCTAAGGCAATACAGACACAACGTCATGAGTAAGAGCCTAGTTTTAGAGTGGTAAGGGAGGCTTACCTACTTTCAAAGGCCGACTAAACTAGCATGCAGCTTGGGCAAGGTACTTAACTCTCTAAGCCTCAGTTTCCTCACCTGTAAAGTGGGCTGCCGCAAGGATCAAACAAAACAACATGTTCAGAAAAATAGTGCTCAAAACCATGCTTGATTCAACCAGGTGGACAGTAATGGAGCTACTACTTGGTTTGTTGTTTTTGTTGTTGTTGTTATATGTGTACAAAGATTTAAGGGCCCTTATTGCAAAATGAACAGCAAAATATTGGGAATTGTTTAAATGTCTAATAATAGCATTTGGTGGAAATTATGCAATGTGTATAAGATATAGTATCTATATAGCCATTAGTTTTAACTTATGAAGAATATTGAATGGCATAGGAAAAATTTCATACTAAATTAGGTTAAAAGGGCGGCCTACATAAACAGCAGCGTGATCCGAGGTAGGTAAGGAAAATCTGTATCTGTAAACGTGCAGAGGAAAAAAGCCCGAAAAACTACCTACCAGTGGTTCTCTAGCTGGTGGAATTGTCAGTGATTTTAACTTTAGCTGCTGAGTCTTTTTGTACATATCCAAATTTTTAAAATAATGAACTCCCACAACTTTAATCATAAGACATGATTTAACATAAATTTGACATCATGACATGCCAGATTGAAACTGTAATGGGCCAGATGGCACGTTTTTACATTGTCTCCTAGCTTTTGCCCTATAATCCCAATAGCAAGAGTGGAGAGAGAGTAGAAATAGGATCTTGGAGAGGGACTTTGAGGAAATTGGGAGGAGATGAAAAAGCCTTGAGTGCTGGCAAAGGAAACACATAAGTGTTGGTTATGGTTAGTGTCAGAAGGTGTCCGGTTTAGCCGGGAAAGTGCCAGAAGATGGGTGAAGGTTGGGGTTGTGAGCTGCGGGCTTGCAAGGTAGGAGAGGTGGGTTGGTACAGTCAGGTAAAGCAATGGTATTTGGTGAAAGGAGGTTCTGCTGCAAATCCGGGAGGGGATCCGTGCTCTATGGTAATTAAATCCAAGTCAGGAGCACCAGTCAAGCCAGTCATGGGCACACGATGCTTGTCTTTCTTGTTGTGGAAATGGTGGAAAGGCCTCCACGTGACTCAGGGTAGAGACTTACGTACTCAAGTGTGAGATACAGTTACTATAGCTGTTTAAATTGCCCCAAATCCCTTTTTAGAACAAGGCAGAGCATAAATAATAGCTGGTTTGTCTTGCTTTTTATTATTATATTCATGGGTTTGGTTTTGATTCATGGTGGTTGAACTCTGAGTATGTTTACATATATAGTAAAAAAAAAAAAAATCTTTTTTAATTCCTCTAAGTACACACAGACTGGGTTCCTAGACCTGCCTCCGCTGTCACGACTCTCTCCTGTTGCCCTCCACGACTCCACTGTAACCAGAATATCATGGTGGTTGTGGATTCCCTGCAGAATGGGCTGAGCTAGCAGTTTTCACTTCTAGGCTGATTTATGTTCATGCTGGAAATAGCACAGATGCACTTATTAGCAAACATGGAGGCCCACGGCCTGGGCGATTCTCTGGGCCTTCTGGGCAGTGGGCGTCCGGCAGCACAAGGCGCCTGTTCAAGCACCTGTGTGTTCTCCGACCTGGCCACACTTGCAGAGCAATCCTGAAGGCTGCTGGGAAATTGCTACCAAGCAGATGGAATCACCTATGTATGGCTTAACACATATTGACTTCTGTGCAGCAGCAGTAGACAAACACTGTTATTGTAAAAAAACACAGAAGGGAACTGGGTATGGTTCTTCAGTGGATTCCAAGCTAAACAGATGCAGGTATTATTTCTTTGACCCTTGAAGGAGGTTTCACCTTCTCTTGGAATCTGGGTTGCCTTTGTTTTTCTGTTTTTGTTTTTTTAAGGAGGTGGGGTTAGTGAGGGGATAGTTGCTTCAGTGTAGTGTGTTTTTCTCTCTGATATGTTTTAGCCTGGATTTAACAATGCTCACACTCTGGGGGCTGCTGGAGTTCTCCTTTTCTCTGGGGGCTGCCCTCGTCCTTTTACTTAGAATCACTTTTCACAAAGTTAGGGAACTTTGCGAAAGTTCCCTAGGGAACTAGGGAAATCAGCCCACAGTCAGGATCATGAGTGTCACGGGGAAACGGCTCAGTATTGTATTACGTGAAGTTCTGCCCAAGTTGGAATGGCCATTTATTTGTCTTCTCCAACTGGAAGGCTCCACCTAGAAGCCTCTTGGCTGGAGGAAGGGGAGACCAGTTTTCAGTTTTTGTCTCTCTACACCTCTCTGTCCAGCCTCACAGCCACTTCCTTTTTTGAAGCTCTGCTGGGAGCAAATTTCACATAAAGATTAAAGATACGCATGTCAGGGTGGGTTGACTCTTCGTTTATAGTTTTGGGGGGTTACTATGTCGAATTTTTACTCTGGACAGTTTCTTTTTCTTTTAACAATTTCAAGTGTACAGGGAAGTTTTAACAGTAGAACAAAGAATTCTCGTGTCCTCCTTCTAGACTCCTCCTATGGTAACATCTCATATATTTATTCCTGCTGTATATATGTAGGTACATATATATGTGTGTATATATGTGTATGTGTATGTATGTATATACTGATACACATACACACACTTACACACTCACATATTTTTTCCTAACCCATTTGAAAATCGAGGCATTGTGCCCCTTCACCTCTAAATATACCAGTGTGTATTTTAAAAAACAAAGACATTCTCTTTTATAACCACACTGCAGTTATCAGAATTAGGAAATGAGGCTGGGCACAGTGGCTCATGCCTGTAATCTCAGCACTTTGACAGGCTGAGGTGGGCGGATCACTGGAGGTCAGGAGTTCGAAACTAGCCTGGCCAGTGTGGTGAAACCCTGTCTCTATTAAAAATATGAAAAAATTAGCCAGGCGTGGTGGTGGGCATCTGTAGTTCCAGCTACTTAGGAGGCTGAGGCAGAAGAATTGCTTGAACCTGGGCGACAGAGGTTGTAGTGAGCTGAGACTGCGCCACTGCACTCCAGCCTGGACGACAGAGCGAGACTCTGTCTCAAAAAAAAAAAAAAAAAAGGAAATTAACATTCATATGCCACTATTAGCCCATCTACAAAACCTTATTCAGATTTTGTCAGTTGTCCCAGTTATGTCCTTTAGAGGAAAAGAAGATCCCAGATTATGCATAACGTTCATTAGTCATGTCTCCTTAGTCTCTTTTAATCTGAAACAGTTCTTCAGTCTGTCTTTCCGTTGCATGGCCCTGACATTTCTAAAAAGCATAGGACATTCTGCAGACTGTCCTCAGTTGGATTTGCCTGATGTTCCCTCATGATTAGATTCCGGTTGTGCGTTTTTGACAGGAACACCAGGGAAGGGATGTTGTGTTCCTCTCGGTGTATCCTACCAGGAGGCACATGACGTCTGTTTGCCCCACTGCTGGTGATGGGAACTTTGATCACTCAATGAAGGTGGTGTCTGCCAGGTTCTCCACAGTGAAGTTATTGTTGTTGTTTTTTTTTTTCCTGCTATAATTAAGAAGTATCCTGTGGGGAGAGACTTTGAGATTGTAAATATCCTGTTAGTATTCAAACTTTTTTTTTTTTTTTTAGATGGGGTCTCTCTCTGTCACCCAGGATAGAGTGCAGTGGCACGATCTCGGCTCACTGCAAGTTGTGTCTCCCGGGTTCACGCCATTCTCCTGCCTCAGCCTCCTGAGTAGCTGGGACTACAGGCGCCCGCCACCACGCCCGGCTAATTTTTTTTTTTTTTTTTTGTATTTTTAGTAGAGACGGGGTTTCACCGTGTTAGCCAGGATGGTCTCGATTACCTGGCCTCGTGATCTGCCCGCCTCGGCCTCCCAAAGTGCTGGGATTACAGGCGTGAGCCACCGCTCCCGGAAGTATTCAAACTTTCATCCATTAGTTTGGGTACCCATTGATTCTTCCCTGAGTGGATGATGATGAAGATGATGATGGTTATCAAATGGTGATTTTCTAACTCCATACTCTTTTTCTACGTTTATTAGTTGAGTTTCTACCCTGTGGAAGAACTTTCCTTTCTCCCACACTTTTTTTTTTCTTAAAGTAGGGACTTGGGGATTGTTATGTTACACATTGGGTTGCAATCACTTACTGTCACTTAATTTTCTTGCTCACGTTGTCCCTGATGTGGCCACTGGGAGCCCCTCCAACCCACTCCTAGGTCATTTTGACACATCTTCCTTATTCTTTGAGCACAAGTAGATGCTCCGAGCTCATCTTGAACTTTTCCTGCTCCAGCCCAAGAATTGGCCATGTCTCCAAGGAGCCCCAGTTCCATTTTGTGGAGAATGGTTACACCAGACACGTCTTAAACTAAGAGAAAAAAAGAAAAGGAATGGATTCAGGGATCCTCTTTTTTCCTATTTCCCCCATTGTTTTATTAAGCACCTATTACATGTCAGATGTGGAGGACTCAGAGATGAATAGCACAGGGAACCTGATCTCATGCCACTCATAGCCTTGTGGTGGGGACAGACAAGCCCATAGATAACACCCAGGAATGAGAAGAATCTTCACCTTTCATAGGCTGCCTGATACAGCCCCCTGGCCATAGCACAATCCCCTTCTCCATTCTTGAAGCCACAGAGTGCAGTATTTCACAGCATAAACATTCCATTTGGGAACTGTGATAATCTTGAGAAAGATTTTCATTTATAGTGACCCCACCTCTCTTTCCTTATAGATTCCCCTCATTGCCCCTAATTCAACCCTGGAACTAGGTGGAACCCATAGAACCAAACCCACTTGCCTGTGGCAGGCAGGGTTTCATATAGCCGAGGATAGCTGCCTTGCCCTGCAACGGGACTTCTCTTCCCTGCACCCGTGAATGGTGTGTGTGTTCAGCCATTCCGATGAGGCTACAGCTTCTTTGTTGGTATCTCTCTTAGGAGATTCCCTGGAGTGGTTCCTAACATTATTCACGCAGACAGAGAAAGTGATGGGCTGTGGACCTGCTGAGCTCCAACAGGTACAGAGTAGTACTGTTGCCAAAGGCCCCATTATGGTCTTTGGCCACCATGCCAACTTCGGGCTTCCTCTGAGTTTGTCATCAAGTAAAACTCCTAGATATTTTGTTATTGTTGTTTGCATGAACTCTTATGACTCCAAGTCTCTTCCATCCTCTATTGGTTTAGCAGATTGCCTGAAGTTAAATGTAGGGCTTCATGTTTTTCCATCTAAAGTTTTGTTCTGTTAGTTTGGGCCTGTTGTTCCAACTCATGGAGATTTTTTTCCTCAGTCTTGATTCCACCGTTGAGCATTTTAATTGTTCCCTCGAGTCTGGTGTGCTCTGCAAGTGGACATGCCTGCATGGTCTTGTTCCTCAAGCTGTTGATTTCAGTCAGCCAAATAGGGACAAGACAGAGCCTTGTTGGCGTGTCCCGAGACACACGGACCTCTGTGTTGACGCTTAAAATAATGGCATCATTAGTCGGCTATAAAATTGGCCACAGTTTATTATCTGAAAGCCATTTTGCCATCCTGGATATAAAGAAATGATAAATTTTGTGCTACCTTATTAAGATAAAAAAGCAGACTTTATTGTATTTCTCAGATCATTAAGTCTAAGTAAGGGTATTTTTCGGTTTATTTTATGTGGGTTTTCTTACTGGACCTACAGCTAATCGCTAATTCCTCAGGATCATCCCACCCCTAAAATTCTTTTCCAGCAACTTGAATCTGTTTGAAAACTATGAAGAACTTACAGTATATGCTTTACAACATATTCTTGAAGTATTTCCATATCCATTAAGTCACTCTGACATTGTGACTTTCTCCAAAACGATGCACACACATCACTCTTTCCCCTTCTCTTGTTTTATATTACTTTATATTGCTTTTTATTTGAGTGTATTTGTGTGTGGTCTCTCTTCTCTACAAGAATGTAAGCCGAGACCTTTTAGCATGGATTCTGTAGCATCTGACTGACACATAGTACATGCTCAGTAAATGCTGAACGAATGAATATGTTTCCTGATCTGTAGGTTCTGGAACCTGCCTTTTGTCCTTCTTTAAAAATCAGGATATTGGACCTACATTTCAGTTCTTTGCAGCAGCTTCTCCTACCTCCTTTATCCTCTCTTGTCTGCCTAAAGATATCCAAGCAAATCAGTCTGCTTTGAACTGTTCCCCTCACCCCCATCACTCTCAAGCAAGAAAAGGGCGTTTGGGTGAGATGCCAGCGTTCTTTTGCATGAGCAGTCCTGGGATCCCATCACCTTAGGACAGTCCCTGGGTGCTTAAAGACTGAGTGTGAATGTGAGATGTAGGGATGTTCTAGTGTTCTCTTTTGAAAATTAGACATTAAAGAAAAACAGGCCAGGTGCGGTGGCTCACGCCTGTAATCCCAGCACTTTGGGAGGCCGAGGCGGGCAGATTGCCTGAGCTCAGGAGTTTGAGACCAGCCTGGCCAACATGGTGAAACCCCATCTATACTAAAACTACAAAAAGTTAGCCAGACGTGGTGGTGGTCGCCTGTAGGCCCAGCTACTCAGGAGGGTGAGGCAGGAGAATCGCTTGAGCCCAAGAGGCAGAGGTTGCAGTGAGCTGAGATCGCACCACTGCACTCCAGCCTGGGTGACAAAGGAAAACTGCCTGAAAGCATAGACTCCACACCCATACTCTCCGGTTTGTCAGTCAGGCTGCATAACTGGGCCACCTCAGTTTTCCCATTTCTAAAATGGGGATAAAAATAGTATCTATCTCCTAGTGTGGGTATGAGGATCAAAGTGATGCTGTACCCATGGGTCTTAACACAACACCTAACTCATTAAGTGATGACTTCCAGTATGATGGTTTTCAATTTTTTTCCTTTTTTTTTTTTTTTAAATAGACCAAGTCTCATTTTGTCACCCAGGCTGGAATGCAGTGGCCCGATCGTAGCTCACTGCAGCCTTGAACTCCTGGGCTCTAGCAATCCTACTGTCTCAATGATGGTTTTAATTTTAAAGAGCTTTGGGAAATAAAGGCACATAGGAGGAAATGAAGTCACCTATACCTCATTCCCTAGAATTCACAGTTGTAAAAATTGTAATATAAGTCTCTCCTGTTTTCCTCTCCATAATACCTATATGTGCTGTGTTCATTTAGCATCTGTATGATCATTTTCCCATGCTTATAAATAGTTTCTTTGAAGAAAGCATCTTTATAACAACATATGGAGCTCTGTGCACTGTAATTTATTTAGGGTCTGTTTTTGCCCAAATTTTTCCTCTTTTTTCCTGTTATGTTTTTCATGAATAAACTTAAATCTCCATGCATTGCTTGGGTTCTTTCCTTATGATGAATTCCTAGAACGGGGAATTGTTGAGTCAACGGGGAGGGATGTGCACTTCTGAGGCCTTTGATGTATGCTGCCTGGTCGCCTGTAGGAAGGCGGTATTCACTGCTTCTCCCTCCGGCAGAGCAGGGGATCACCCAGGGAATCAGGCATCCTTGCCTGCTGGCTGATGTCTCTTGAGTGATCCCGCATGGGATATTCTTGGAGGCAACAGTTTCTCACTGCCTCTATTCTCTCTTTGTTTTTCCTCCCTTCCCCTTTGTTTCCCTTCTTGGTTTCCTACCAGACAGCCTCTTGTGAAAGGACTGCCTAATTAACCCTGTGCTAATTAACAATTTAAAATTACACAGTGCGACTGTTCATGTTTCATTCTCCGGGAGCTGGAGCAACAGCAGGAGCCCCCTCCCCTTCGTCATAACTGCACCCCTCCCACCCCAGCTTCCCTGAAACTGTTGCATTTTACCCAGTTCTGCCTCAAGGGAACAGGATAAAACTGTCATCAGCACATGTTTTTAAAGAGGGAGATGAACGTTTTGATTAATAGGGAGATACAGGGTAACAGGGTAGAGTTTTATCCTTTTAAACAATCTTTGAAAAGTAAAGATTGACATTTGCAAAGATGCAGTGGGCTTTACAGGTGGTTCCAAGGGAGCTTGGAAGATGAGCAGGAGTTGGGGGATACTTGATGAAGGTGCTGGAATTCTTCTGTACAAGATTACCTTTCAGATGGCAGATTTAAGTGCTAAGCAGACAGTGAGCCAGCTAGGTCATTCCTATCTTCCCTTTAACTTTCTCACTGGAGAGATGTGCTCTATTAAAATCTAACTGAATTCTTGAAGCCCATATGTTGAGTGCAACATTGGGGGTTGTGAGCAGAATACCTGGACATTTTTTAGAGGGAGTTCCGGGTGCCACCAGCAGAGAAGCGGGCTGCAGGAAGGGAGGAGGGGTGTGAACCTGTACCAGCTAGCCCTGGCACTAGGGAAGTACTGGGAAGGGGCACAGAACGTGGAGGGAGCCTGAAGAGAGGTGTGCGTGTCAGGCTGGCAGGGCTGCTTGGAAAAGTGCGGGGACCCACTGGGTTCCCAGGCTGCCCTCTGTAACTGAAGATCATTGATTTTACGGGAAACCGTGTTTACAGACAGAGTGCTGATCGACCTGCCGAGTTGACTTCTGCCTCCTTAAGTAAGAACTACCTTTTTCTTATTGACTGGCTGATAAACAGAGCGAGAGAGAGCCGGCTGTTGCGGGGGAGTGGTAGATGCCCTGAGACCCTTGAGCCACAGGATGTGGCGGATTGGGGAGACTTCTTTACCTCTGTGCGCGCGTCCCCCTCTTCTCCATCTCCATCCCTGCACCTCCCAGGGACCACAGGGAATCTAAGACTGACCTTCCCTGGTTACCTAGCAATACAGGTACCAAGGACAGAAGAGCTGTGCTTGGTACCTGTATTGGTGAAGATGGAGTGAAGCAGAGAGTGTCTTAAGTTTAATGCATGGTCCCTGAGGATGGTGTGAAAATGCAGATTCTGATGGGGCAGGAGGAGACAGTGCATGTCTCTTAAGCTCCCCGGAGAGGATAATGCTTCAAGTCCACAAACCACGCTTGTTTGGCAAGGCTGCAAACGGGCCTGTTTGTCACAGCTGGTGCGCATGGAAAGGAGGCCCAGGGGAGGTAGCTTGGGTCCTGCAGTGGGTTCCTCCTCTCCGACCCGTGTCCTCATGGCTGCTGCTCCCCGTGAATGGGTGGGCTCTAGTGTCACCACCACAGGGTCACCAGCCACCATCATAGGTGGGTACAGTGTCATTCTTTCCTGACATCTTCCGCTTTGGAGTAGAAAACAAAGTAAGGGAGGTTTTAAAAGTCCCAGCCTCTTGGCTGGATAGTTTGTGGAAGAGGAGGAGGAATAAGAGGAGAACGGAGCAAGAGAAGCCCACCAATTAATTGGTAAACGCTTGCAGGTTTCTCTGGCCCAGCCCAGGCTGGAGAGGAGATTGGCTTTGCTGTCGATAAACAAGTCCCTGGTGCAGCATCAAAGCTGTTCTGCTTTATCAATCGTGGCCCCCCCTTCCCGCATGTTCCTGTAACTTACCAAGCATTTATGACATTGATTTTACAATCGGGCTGTTAACCCTCCCGCCCCTTCAGGCCTGCCAACCTTTTTGGCCCAAGCTATCAATCAGATGTCATCCAGCCAATCAGAAGCATCCCTAAGAAGAGCCGCCCTGCAGTCTCACCTGTATCCCGGCTCAGCCTTGCGAGGAAGTCCCATTGCGTTTGCTGTTTGGTTTGGTTTGGTTTGGTTTGGTTTGGTTTGGTTTGGTTTGGTTTACTGTAGTCATCTCTGTTTTAAGTCAGTATGTCCTTTCTAAGGCTCATGGAACTTTGTGGTTGCAAAATCTGAAGTTATAAATGGAGAGATAGGGGTATGTGTTTGCATGTGTGTATTAGACACATCATAGCTTTATTCTTCCAAAAAGTTATTTCTCCCTGAGACTTCTGGTAAACCTGCCTTCCCCAGTTTTTCCCGAGGGGGAGCTGTTGTCTCATTGTGCAGTCAATAATCAAGAAATGAAAAAAAAAAAAGATTGAGAAGATAGGGGCTGTCAGGGAGGGAAGTGAGATCAAACCTGGCCGAAACCTTCACCGGCTGAGTGTGAATGAGATGGTGGGTGGAGGAGCAGCCACATGTTCTCCAGGAGGAGCAGCAGGGGAATGGTGGCTGGGGACCTACGGGCAAAGGATCAGGGCTCTGCGAGGTGCTGAGCTGCCTGTAGGAGCAGGGCCAGACGGAATGATCGCCCCTGCGATGATATTACTGCAGGAGCAGAGCGGCCGTGATCCGATGCCTCCCTCCCCAGGGACATGAGGTCTCAGAGGGCACATTCAGCTCAGTGGCACTTTGGAGTCGGAAATGGAAAAGCCCCAGGGCTGAACGACAGCTGGTTGGGTAGCGACTAATAACTAAGAGGCAGGTGTGGAGCTGGGGCTCGCCGAGCCCAGCTGCCGTCTCGGCTTGCTGCTCAGATCCTTGATAGCAAAAACCACCAGGCACGTGGGGAACGCACTCCCTCCAGCCAGGGCCAGATAGAAGCTGCTGGAGGGGGTGTTGGCAGATCCAGAGTCTGGTCCATTCCTGCTGGAAATACCAAGCTCACGTTTTGCACCTACGTAGTTTTAGTCTGAAGTCAGCTAGAGTCACAGGCCAGGGAGCTTGACTGGTATGGGTGGAGGAGACAGGAATCTGGGGACCCATCTTTTCTTCTGTTTCATGGTGGTGAGATTAGCACTGAGCCAGTTTTTAGATTGAAGCCCCTCTGTTTTACTGCTTGTAAAATGGGACTGACGCCTCCCAGATCTGGAGAGGACTTTTCGGAGTGTGTCTAGTCCTGTACACCTGCCCTGTGAACCTCAGGGTCCTCACCCGCCTTCTTTGAACTTCTCAAACTAGAACCATGGTCAGTAAAAGCGACGGCTGCAATTGTTCTAAATCCATGAGCGTTATCCCACTTTACCGTCCTTTTTCCAGGGACATTGAACCTCCCTCTTCTCAGCCCTCCCCTGTGTTCCCCTGACCCACAGACAGTGCGCGGAGTCGGGGCTGACTTCGTGTGAGCTGTCCATAAGTGGTAGGGCTGTGGCTGTGACCTCGTAGAGGGCTGGAGAGATGACGCGTCCGTTCTCCACTGTGGCCCATCGAAGCTATGCTGGCAAAGAATGGAAATTCCCGCTAGTCTTCAGGGGCAGAGCGGTGACAATTCGAAGCCGAAGAGGGCTGTTCCTGGCCTTCTTTCCCCATATCCCTCGCTCAGGCTGTTGACCCGGCCATGCCACCCCTGTGTGCTGGACCGTGTGGGGCAGTGTCCCCAGGCCCGCCCTCCGCCCTGTGTCTCTGTGTTGTGGACAGAAGCCTCTTAGAGCGCTCCGTGCGGTAGGACCTCAGCCTCGGCCCTCCTAACCTCTTTCCTTTCTCTCTCTCTTTCCCCTCTCTCCCTCCTCCCCCCTTGCCTCTGCCCTTCAGGTCCGAGCCTCCGTACTGGGTGCAATGAAAGCTCCACGCAGGCCTTACCATGGAAGGCTGTGACTCGCCCGTCGTCTCGGGGAAGGACAATGGGTGCGGTATCCCTCAGCACCAGCAATGGACTGAACTCAACAGCACCCACCTCCCTGACAAACCCAGTAGCATGGAGCAGTCCACAGGCGAGAGCCACGGGCCCTTGGACAGCCTGAGGGCCCCCTTCAATGAGCGCCTCGCGGAGAGCACCGCGTCGGCCGGGCCCCCCTCCGAGCCCGCCAGCAAGGAGGTCACCTGCAACGAATGTTCGGCCTCCTTTGCCAGCCTCCAGACCTACATGGAGCACCACTGCCCCAGCGCGCGCCCCCCGCCACCCCTGAGAGAGGAGAGCGCCAGCGACACCGGTGAGGAGGGGGACGAGGAGAGTGACGTGGAGAACCTGGCCGGGGAGATCGTCTACCAGCCGGACGGCTCCGCGTACATTGTGGAGAGCCTGAGCCAGCTGACCCAGGGCGGGGGCGCCTGTGGGAGTGGCAGTGGCAGTGGGCCTCTCCCCTCGCTTTTCCTGAACTCTCTCCCTGGCGCGGGGGGCAAGCAAGGGGACCCTTCGTGTGCTGCACCCGTGTACCCGCAGATCATCAACACTTTCCACATAGCCTCATCCTTCGGGAAATGGTTTGAGGGCCCAGACCAGGCTTTCCCGAATACCTCAGCCCTGGCGGGGCTCAGCCCCGTCCTGCACAGCTTCCGCGTGTTTGACGTGCGACACAAAAGCAACAAGGATTACCTGAACAGCGACGGTTCTGCCAAAAGCTCCTGCGTATCCAAAGATGTTCCCAACAATGTGGACCTGTCCAAATTCGATGGCTTTGTGCTCTATGGCAAGAGGAAGCCCATCCTGATGTGTTTCTTGTGCAAACTCTCCTTTGGGTACGTCCGTTCGTTTGTGACCCACGCGGTGCATGACCATCGAATGACCCTGAGCGAAGACGAGCGGAAAATTCTTAGCAATAAGAACATCTCCGCTATCATCCAAGGGATCGGCAAAGACAAGGAACCCCTTGTAAGTTTTCTGGAACCAAAAAACAAAAACTTTCAACACCCTTTAGTTTCCACAGCTAACCTCATAGGCCCCGGACACAGTTTTTATGGTAAATTTAGTGGCATTCGAATGGAAGGGGAGGAAGCTCTCCCAGCGGGCTCCGCCGCTGGCCCCGAGCAGCCCCAGGCTGGTCTCTTGACCCCCAGCACCCTGTTGAACCTTGGCGGGCTCACCAGCTCGGTACTGAAGACCCCCATTACCTCAGTCCCCCTGGGGCCTCTGGCTTCCAGTCCTACCAAATCCTCAGAGGGCAAGGACTCTGGGGCGGCAGAAGGAGAGAAGCAGGAAGTGGGCGACGGGGATTGCTTCTCTGAGAAGGTAGAGCCAGCCGAAGAGGAGGCGGAGGAGGAAGAGGAGGAGGAAGAGGCGGAGGAGGAGGAGGAAGAAGAGGAGGAGGAAGAAGAGGAGGAGGAAGACGAGGGTTGCAAAGGACTCTTTCCAAGCGAGTTGGATGAGGAACTGGAGGACAGGCCCCATGAGGAGCCTGGGGCCGCAGCAGGTAGTAGCAGCAAAAAGGACCTTGCTCTCTCAAACCAAAGCATTTCTAACTCCCCCTTAATGCCTAACGTGCTCCAGACCCTGTCGAGGGGCACAGCTTCTACTAGTTCTAATTCTGCTTCTTCCTTTGTTGTCTTTGATGGTGCGAACAGGAGGAATCGTTTAAGCTTTAACAGTGAGGGCGTCAGGGCCAATGTGGCAGAGGGCGGCAGGAGGCTGGACTTCGCTGACGAAAGTGCCAATAAAGACAATGCCACAGCACCAGAACCAAATGAAAGCACAGAGGGTGACGATGGGGGCTTCGTTCCCCATCACCAGCACGCTGGCTCCCTCTGCGAGCTTGGGGTTGGGGAGTGCCCCTCGGGGAGTGGCGTGGAGTGCCCCAAATGCGACACGGTCCTGGGCTCCTCCCGCTCGCTGGGCGGCCACATGACCATGATGCATTCTCGTAACTCGTGTAAGACACTCAAGTGCCCCAAGTGCAACTGGCACTATAAGTACCAGCAGACCCTGGAGGCACACATGAAGGAGAAGCACCCGGAGCCGGGGGGCTCCTGTGTCTACTGCAAAAGCGGGCAGCCCCACCCCCGGCTGGCACGAGGCGAGAGCTACACGTGTGGTTACAAGCCTTTCCGCTGCGAGGTGTGTAACTACTCCACAACTACCAAAGGCAACCTCAGTATTCATATGCAGTCTGACAAGCATCTCAACAACATGCAGAACCTGCAGAATGGAGGGGGGGAGCAGGTCTTCAGCCACACTGCCGGGGCGGCGGCGGCGGCGGTGGCTGCGGCGGCGGCGGCAGCCAATATCAGTAGCTCCTGCGGGGCCCCCTCGCCGACCAAACCAAAAACCAAACCCACCTGGCGGTGCGAGGTGTGTGATTATGAGACCAACGTGGCCAGGAACCTCCGCATTCACATGACCAGTGAGAAGCACATGCATAACATGATGTTACTGCAACAGAACATGACCCAGATCCAACACAACCGCCACCTGGGCCTCGGCAGCCTGCCCTCACCCGCCGAGGCCGAGCTCTACCAATACTACCTGGCCCAGAACATGAACCTGCCCAACCTGAAGATGGACAGTGCTGCCTCGGACGCCCAGTTCATGATGAGCGGATTCCAGCTGGATCCCGCCGGGCCCATGGCCGCCATGACGCCTGCTCTAGGTGAGGATGACTACGTGTTTGTCTGTTTTCATGATAGGAGTTTAACCAGGGAGAATGGTGAATAGGGTGAGATAGTCCTGTGGATTCAGTTGACTCTGGTCTTCTCGAGTGGTTTTTGTGTAAACTGGAGTGTCTTACAATCAAGTATTCTCAAGAATCCCTTGAACTGTGTGTGTACATATGGAAGAGTTTATGCATTCAAAAGAGATATGCTTGTACTCTGGCTACGTGGGGCCAGGATTAAAATGTGAGTGTTTCCTCTAGTTTTCTGTTCCCATTCTCTCTTTCTCTGTCTCTTCTTTCAATTTGAAAAATCACTATAATCACCTAAAACTTTGGGGTTTCATCGAATATTTACTGAAACTTACAGGAAACTGTAGCTGAGGCAATCATTTCAATAAGAGGACTAGGGACAGTTACCTCAATGATTTAAGTAGAGACAATCATCTTAATAATAGGAATTCGGAACCACAGTGTACGTTATTCAGATAACTAAAGGCTGATTCTGTGCCGAGCTAGGGAACCATCCAGATAGACTTCTCAAAGTTCTCTGTATATTTATGAGGACCTCAATGAAAGAGATGTTTTTTTTTTTGCTTATTTTTGATGAGTACTTGGTGATTAGAATAGTTGGAAATTAATTGGGAATTAAATTCCCCAGTGGCACTGTTGTGAGGGGTGTGAGAGATGAAAAATGAGTAAGTTGTAAAAATTGTCCATCAAGGAAAGTTAACTTTTAATAGCAGTTAGATCCTGGTTAGCGGAGCCTTCGCTGCCAGGAAGAATGACCTCTGCTTTAGAGAAGCTGATTTGGCTCTGTTCAGGCTCCCAGTCTTACCAATTGGCTTACAATATCTAGAATAGGACCAAGAGTGTAGGATTTGGGTGCTAAAAACTTTGAGTTTTTACGTAGAACGAACCACAGCCACTTTGAGGATAGCTGCTGCTGCCAAAACAATCTACAGATGGGTTTCATGAGAACCTTCTGATAGTTGGGCCACTCGTGCCTCCACCCGGTATGCTTCAAACAGGATCCTGCCTGCGTCCCATCCCGTGACGCTGCTAATGGACTTCGTGGGACCAGTGACAATGGCCTGAATTAAGCAATATGCCATTATTGACATGGGAATAGGTTGTTCTTGGCAACAGAGTGTCAGTGAGGACTTTTTTTCCAGGATGGCTTAGATGACTGCAGGGCCAGGCCTCAGCAGTTGGCAAGTGTTTATTTGTGTGGTGTTTGAGTGCTAATTGTTGCCGATGAGTTATATTTCAAAGCATTCCATTGGTTTTTCTTGCTATGTATTCAGTTTTTAATCCTTAGTACTTTAATCTCATTTTCCATTTTGAAATATTTGCCTGTTGATCCTTTATTACCAAATGATTTGAGGGTATTTGAAACCAACTGGCTAATTGTGGATGCACAAGCACTGGTCGTCTTATTTGTCACCAGGGTGAACCATGCACACCAGGAGATGGGAGTGAGTACTCTAAGGTTTTCTTTAAGCCAGTAGGAATTAGAAGGAGTCATAGAATCTCGGGAGGTAGATCTTGGAGCAAATCAAACATAACGGAGGTGGAATGAAGACAGAACGTGGGAACGTGGGTAGGTTCATGTTGGGTCAAAGTGAGGGTTTTTTTTTTTTTTTTTTTGAGACAGAGTCTCGCTCTGTCACCCAGGCTGGAGTGAGTGGTGCCGTCTCGGCTCACTGCAACATCCACCTCCTGTGTTCAAGCGATTCTCCTGCCAGAGCCTCCCAAGTAGCTGGGATTACAGGCACCCGCCACCATGCCTGGCTAATTTTGTGTTTTTAGTAGAGATGGGGCTTCACCATCTTGGCCAGGCTGGTCTCAAACCCTTGACCTCAGGTGATCTGCCCGCCTTGGCCTCCCAAAGTGCTGGGATTACAGGCATGAGCCACTGTGCCCAGCCTAAAGTGAGGCTTTTTAATTACCTTAAGAACAGGTAACTAAGGCTTGTATTGAGAAGTAGAGAAATATTTCGCTTTCACACCAAGTGTCTGTGAGTCTTTGGGGCATCATGCACTGTCCTGGGCATTGCGGCAGATTCAGAAGGAGCAGAAGAATGAAGCCCTGTGTTGTAGACACACATGGAAGGGCCACACCATATTTCTTAGACTGGAGCTCTTCCTCCCAAAGGATTTATCCAGCTCAGTCACAAAGGGCTCTTGAATTTCCAGTGTCACTACTTGTCGGCCACGGGGAGTCCCTGGAAACCTGTGCCTTCCTTGGGCCGCGAAAACTGCTGAGAAGGTGTGAGAGCCACAAATCCTTTATGCCAGAAGCTCGAGTGGGTGTGGGGGCCATAGGAAGTGTCCAAAAGACTTGGAATTTGAGTTGTATGACCTCAGTAGGAGAAACCAACTTATGCAAATAAAAACAGCCATAACTTTCAGTTCTAGCTGTGGCTGTACTGGTTTTTTTTCCCCATGGTCCATTTATAAGATGGCTGTAGGTGTTATTAGATGTGACTGAGTTCTGCAGGGAGAAAAATGTTTTTGTGAAATACACTCCTCTTTACAAGGTGATTGTTTTCATACTTCCCTTGGCAGAGCCCTCTTTAGTATCATCAAACAGACACTGATTGTGGGGTTGCTTCTTTTCAGAAGCCTTTGAGGAAAGGCTTGGGGCTCCTTCGCCTAGTACAGTCGGATCTGCTGCTCTTTGTAGACAGCACATTAGATTTGAGGCCTTGTGAACATCCTCCCAAACCTTCCTTTCGACTCTGAAGTTTAGCATAGCACCAAGAAAGGGGTTGCTTGTCGGGGTGGCTGTGTGTTTCCCAAGTAGCCAGCCAGCCCCTGGACACCTGCACAAGGTTTAGCAGCTCCCTTCGTCTCCCTTTCATTCCAGAGTGTGCCTTTGAATCCATGCACCTTCCTGAGGATGTGCTGATGGGTGGGCTCACGTGTCAAGGTGTCAGTTCCAGTGTTAGAGTTAGGTGCATACCCAGAGATGGGGACCTGCTCCAAGACCACGTATCCAGTGTGGCTCAAGACTAAGGACCTGCCAAGTTCTTTTTTTCATTTCTTTTTTTTGAGATGGAGTTTCACTCTTGTCGCCCAGGCTGGAGTGCAATAGCGCAGTCTCGGCTCACTGCAGCCCCTGCCTCCCGGGTTCAAGCAATTCTTCTGCCTCTGCCTTCCGAGTAGCTGGGATTACAGGCATGCGCCACCATGCCTAGCTAATTTTTGTGTGTTCAGTAGAGACAGGATTTCACCACATTGGCCAGGCTGGTCTTGAACTCCTGACCTCAGGTGATCTGCCCACCTTGGCCTCCCAAAGTGCTGGGATGACAGGTGTGAGCCACTATGCCCAGCCCCAGTTTCTTATTTATAGGGGCCCTGCTCCTGTTTGTGAACTGGGTGAGATTCCCCCACTTTGTGGCAGCTGGATTAGCGGATTTGTAGGATTCTAAGCCCTGGGCTTGTTTCTCTGAGGCATAGTTCTCGAAGGGAGTTTTCACTTGCCTGTCATCCTCACTCATTTCAGCACTCTGCTGCTTCTGTCCTTTGCATTTCATTTTAACAGCCTAGAATGCTGGCCAGGCATGGTGGCTCATGCCTGTAATCCCAACACTGTGGGAGTCCAAGGATCACTTGAACCTGGGAGTTTGAGACCAGTCTGGGCAACATCTCGACAAAACATTTTTGTTTTAAGATCAGCCAGACGTAGTGGGGTGCACCTGTAGTCCCAGCTACTTGGGAGGCTGAGGCAGGTGGTTCACTTGAGCCTTGGTGGCCCAGACTGCAGTGACCCACTCCAGCCTGGGCAACAGAATGAGACCTTGTCTCTTGAAAAAAAAAGAGCTTAAAGTGGAAACTGGGACTTCGTTCCTCTGCTTATTCCAAGGACTTCTCATTTTCACTCAGGCATCAGCAAGTGACAGCTGAATTTCTCTTTAGAGCGATGTTGATGTGCCGGGGTGAAATCTAAAAAGTGGAGACGATTTGATGCTTCAGGTGGTTGGCATCAGAAACAAATATATGTTTGCTCCTTGTCTTACCCTCCGGGCAGTTTCTGCTTTGACTGAACACTGAGTATGTTTCCTGGATGTTGCCTGGCCTTCGTCCCCGTTAAGGGATGGAGCTTTTAGGCTTTTTTTTTTTTCTTTTTCCTTTCTGTTTTTCTTTCTTATCCTAAAAAGAATGACATAGTTATGGTTCCTCTCACCAGGGGAGATGGGAAGACAGACAACAAGCCGAAAGCTTCCTAAGCCTTCTGGAATGCATGTGCAAAAGATTTCTGTGGCTTGCTAGACTGTCCGTGAGCTTCAAACGCAGCTGCTGGTCTGCTTAGCAGAACCTGTACTGATCTTATCACTCGAGGTGACTTGTGTAGCGTCAATAAGAAAATCATAAAAAAAAGAAAAAAATATTTTCTCTGATGAGCCACTGACTTGGATTCTAATCAGTTGTAAAAAATAAAATAACCTCAGCCCAACCACACATAAAAGGTCAAGTTTAAATTTCACTTGGGGGGTGGGGCAGACCTAATAGCTCAAGTGCACGTGTGTTTAGGAAAGAGAAACTAGACGCCAGTGCCCAGCCTTCTGCTTGACCGTACGCTTCTAGGAACTGGAGGGAAGGCTGCTCTTTTTAAGCCATTCTCCTGGTAGAAATAAGCCCTTGCAGTATTAATTTACCATAGCAAATGTGAGCTTGTACCCGGTTTATGCAGGGCAGTGATGGACTGAAAAAGACCAGGGTGGGAGAGGGAGGAAGAGATCTTCGCCCGGCCCTTTCGTGGAGACGTGGAGCTGAGCCTCGTGTCTCACTGCCTGTCTCAATCCACTTCCTGAACGTGCAGCAGTCCCGCTCTTTTTTCACTCTTGTCTGGCACAGCAAACATTTGGGCGTCTGTGCACTCTGTAGAGGGCCAGCGAGGATAAGACTGGACCCCTGTCCTAGGGAGGTGGTGCCCTGATGGGGATCCCAGCTATGGTGCATCTCTGTAGGTAGGTGACTGAGTGATAAAGGGAAGGTGATTGGTCCTAGGGTAGCCCCACATGTCACCCAGGGCAGAGGATCAGGAAAGAGAACAGGTAGCCCTACTGAGAAGACATGGGAGGGTTGGCAGCATTGACTGACGGGAGGGATATTGACCAGAGGGCAGCAGTGAGGAGTAGAGGGATTACTCTCCAAGTCTTTTTTTGTTTTGTTTTGTTTTTGAGACAGGGTCCTGCTCTGTCACCAGGGCTGAGCTGAGTGGCATGGTCTCAGCTCACTGCAGCCTCTGCCTCTCAGGCTCAAGCCATCCTTCCATCTCAGTCCCTGAGTACTGGAACTACAGGCACACGCCACCATGCCTGGCTAGTTTCTTTTGTATATTTTGTACACCATGTTGCTCAGACTGGTCTTGAGCTCCTAAGCTCAGGTGATCT
This sequence comes from Homo sapiens, assembly GCF_000001405.40. NCBI lineage: Eukaryota > Metazoa > Chordata > Mammalia > Primates > Hominidae > Homo > Homo sapiens. Next base: position 72,952,025 of record NC_000016.10, on the reverse strand, counting down.
GCCTGCCTTGGCCTCCTAAAGTGCTTGGATTAGGGGTGTGAGACACCACGTCCAGCCCCACTCCCCAGATCTTTGCTTTAGAGATGCACTATCCAACCCAGGCGCCACTCACCACCATGTAGCTTCCTAAATTTAAATAACATTGAAAATTCAGTTCCGTAGTTGCACTACCCATATTTCAGGTATTTATTAGTCACAGGTAGCCAGTGACTGCTGCACCAGATGACACAGCCATAGATTGTTCTCAAGGTGGCAGAAAGTCATGTTGGTCACTGCCACCTCAGATACATTCTGGGCCCAATTCTGGTTCCCCATGAAGGCTTGGTATGTTACGATTGCAGCTGTGACTCATTTCCAATTTTGGAAGGTCTGCAGTTTGAGATTCTGTTATATCCAGTGAATGATACATATTTCTGTCTTTTCTTGGATCTCAGAGAAGGGATGAATTGAAATATTAAAGAGGTGGCTGGGCGCGGTGGCTCATGCCTGTCATTCTAGCACTTTGGGTGGCCGAGGCAGTTGGATCAGCTGAGGTCAGGAGTTCAACACCAGCCTGACCAACATGATGAAACCCTGTCTCTACTAAAAAAGACAAAAATTAGCTGGCCGTGGTGGTGGGTGCCTGTAATCCCAGCTACTTGGGAGGCTGAGGCAGGAGAATCGCTTGAACCCGGGAGGCAGAGGTTGCCGTGAGCTGAGATTGTGCCACTGCACTCTAGCCTGGGCAACAGGGCAAGACTCCATCTCGGGAAAAAAAAAAAGAAAAGGAAATATTAAAGAGGCTATGGCTCCTAACTTTTCTAGGTGTTCTTTTCCTAAAGAAAGAAAATACAAAACCTGCCAGAAATCTCAGAATGTCCGCAGGAAAGATTGAAACACATCAGGTTGACTGTGTTTGTTTGTTTGCTTGTTTTCCAGCCAGTAGCCCTTTGCAACACTTGAAATGTCATCTTCTCCTTTTGGACCCCAGTTGAGGGTGGCGGAGGGCTGGGGGGTGCCTCAGCTGTGGCCGTGACCATGAGCCTGGTGTCTGACTCTCTCCTTCTCTCCTTCCCTGCAGTGGGCGGTGAGATCCCCCTAGACATGCGGCTCGGGGGCGGGCAGCTGGTGTCAGAGGAGCTGATGAACCTGGGCGAGAGCTTCATCCAGACCAACGACCCGTCGCTGAAGCTCTTCCAGTGCGCCGTCTGCAACAAGTTCACGACGGACAACCTGGACATGCTGGGCCTGCACATGAACGTGGAGCGCAGCCTGTCGGAGGACGAGTGGAAGGCGGTGATGGGGGACTCATACCAGTGCAAGCTCTGCCGCTACAACACCCAGCTCAAGGCCAACTTCCAGCTGCACTGCAAGACAGACAAGCACGTGCAGAAGTACCAGCTGGTGGCCCACATCAAGGAGGGCGGCAAGGCCAACGAGTGGAGGCTCAAGTGTGTGGCCATCGGCAACCCCGTGCACCTCAAGTGCAACGCCTGTGACTACTACACCAACAGCCTGGAGAAGCTGCGGCTGCACACGGTCAACTCCAGGCACGAGGCCAGCCTGAAGTTGTACAAGGTAAGGCCCAGCTCCTTATGGCTCAGGCGCTCTTTCTGAAAGGAGGGGGTTGCGCACCGGGGAGTTAGGGAGCACTGGGGAGGAGTCGGACAGTCTCTGGCATGGCCTGCTTGGCTGTTGGTTGGGAACCTGGAGTTGAGAGGAGAGTCGGCGGTGTCCACTTTGTCACCAGGTGGAAACGTGACAGGTTCAGTGAGTAGCTTGACTAGCTGAAGGTTCTCTTTCTGGGTGCCCAATTTTGGGTCAGGTTTTGTTGACAGCGCCTCTAGGGTTGGTTCTTTTCTTTCTTACATGGGCTCTTTTGCATCCTCTGCTCCTGTGGTTTCCCTCTCTCCTTTAGGCTTTCTGTTCTCCTTTTCCATCTCTTTATTCCTTTTTTTTTTTTTCTATTTCTCCTTTCCCGGATGCTCCTGGGGTGTTTTGTTCCTCCCTTCCTTCTTTCATCCATCCATCATTCCACCAACATATGTACACTGGGTACCTTCTCAATGACAGGTACTGTTCTGGGCATTTGTTCACATCAGTGCATGAATCTGACCAAAAAAAAAAAAAAAAAAGAAAAGAAAATCCCTGCCCTCATAGAGCTTCCATTCTTTTAGCAGGAGATGGGTGAGAAACGATGGATAAATTTTGTAGCAGGCTAGAAGGTGCTAAATGCTGTGGGGAAAATTGGGTCCATGAGGGGCCTCCTTTGTGTGTTTTTTTTTTCTTCCCCGCTCTGTTGCTTCCTGGGTTCTGTGTCCTCTTTCTCTTCCTTATACTTTTTCTTCTTCTTCCTGGGCTTCTCCCATCCTCCCCCTCTTCCTCTGTCTCTTCTCCTCTTCCCTCTTTCCTGTCCATTTATTCTTTCTCTCCCTCCACCCTCCGCTTTCCCCCCAGCCCTTCCCTCTACTCCATAGACGGCAACCGAGGGGGAGGTGCTCCGGATACTGTAAATAGTCCTTTCACTTGCACGGCAGAATTGCTCCAGACGTCTCTATTGATTTTCACTGGACTTAAAGCCTCACCTTTTTCTCTAATCATCCCATAATGGCTTTAGTATGAACAATCAGGTACAAATCGCCATAAATCTCCCTGGCCTGATCCCACACACCTTCCACTCCCTCGCTCTCTCTTTTCATTTTCCTCACTCCCATTATCAGCCTCTCCTCCTGCCTTTCACACTGTTTCTCGCGTCTTTGGGCCCACGAGTGTTTGGTTTCTGCTGGCCCCGAGCTAGTTGAGTCCCTACTCTACTCAGAATGATTTTAAACGGAGATTCCATATAAGGAAGACTTCTAGTCCTTTGCCCATGTCGGCCTCTGCCGGGGTTGATAATTGTACTTCATTTTATAGTTGTTCCTTCTCAGGATGTGGGGAGGCCTGCATAACGTAGTGCTTAAGAAAGCACTTTAGGGAAAGGAGGAGAAAGCAGGAATGAGGTAGAGGGGATAGAATGTTCTGGAACTGACTGTGGACTCAGCTATGGTGCAGTGAGGAAGGTCTGGACACCACGCATCCAATCCCCTTATCTCAAATGAGCAAGAACCTTGCTGGACTGGCTTAGTTTTGCCACCATTAAAAGAAAAAAGCCCTTTGCAGTCAGTTTAAATTGGAGGTCTGAACTGGCCACAGGATGGTGCCGACGTGGTCAAGAAAACCTGATGGAAAAACCAGTGGAAAAAAGAATTTCCAAAGGACCCAACTGAGTAAAATTTGTACAAAGGACTCGGCGTGGCCATTGAAGGTTGCATGCAACTTTGATGAAGGTCGTTTAGAGGTGGCATGAAGCTGGCCTCTTGCATCCAAGGAAAAAATTGCCCTTTAGACTCTAAAATGCACACGGTGGCGATTAACTCTCATGCTGCATCCTCCGTGCGGCTGGAGTCTTGAATAAGAGTCTGTCAGGCACTTGACTTTGCTTCTTACGGGCCTGGAACTCGGCGGATTTGCTGAGAACATCCTGTTTTGGTCCCCAAACTGTGTCCACGGATCACACCCAGAGAGTCAGGGTGAGGTGTGGTTGGAAGAGACGAGGTTTATTTGCATGTTTCTGCACTGCTGGCCTGTCATCCTGGGACTTTTTTCTCATTTCTTTTTTTAAGGTAGAGGAAACTGTTGCTCAAAAAGATGGCGTGGGTAGAAGGGTCCTGAGCGTTGGGATGCAGGGTAGAACGTGGACCCAGCACCTGAAGGAGAGATCCTGAAATGGTGCATCTGGCCGGCACATCCCCGGAGTGACCAGCCTGAGGTTCAGGGCAGAATTGCCTCCGTCAGGAGCCAAAGGTCATTAGTCTAGTCTCATTAGTCCTTGGGTAATGAATGGCCCTGTGCCTGCCCGGGCTTCGCCACAGGGGGCGGGGAGCTCTCCCGCTCACTCCTGGATGACACCGCTGGGATTGTCATTCCAGTGCTCGCCCTCAGCCCTTTGGTCCCTCAGTACGACTAAGATCAAACTTCTCTTGCCACTAAGGAAGGCTCCCTCTCAAGGTTTCGTCATTCCACGGATTTGGGGTGGGGATTGGAGGTGGTTTGAGAGTCACTTTTTCTCTAGGCCCTGGTGTGGCCTGTAGTAAATGGAGATTGATTGCATGTTATTTTTCCTCTTGCTAATGTAATCCATTAGCCCGGCACATGCATAATCAGTTTAGAGCACAGTTAACTGGATGTAATCGAGTTCTTTACTGTCTGCTAGAGAAACCGCTCCAGATGCAGCTGACCCGGGGAGCTGACCGGGCTTCTCACACACAACCCTCCTTCCTCACCCCTTCCCCACCCCACCCTGTCCCGGTTCCCTGGCAAATTATTCATGATCAGCCAGGGCGGCTCTCCAAAGCTGCTCTCCGCGGCACCTAGTGAAGTGGCAGTGATGTATGTGGCTTCCCGGTGGCCCTCCCAGACCTCTCTTTCAGCCGAGGCTTTTATTCTCCTCCTGTTCCTTTTTCATGTTGGAGGAGACAGAGCTGCATTCTCAGGAGATTCAAGCAGTGGCATGGCTTTCGGTGTGTCATCTGACCTCACCCTGGGCCGGAGTCACTGCCCTTGCTGTCACGCATGCTAGTGCGTAGATTGCTGTAAGAGTGAACTTTCTGAAAGCGTGAGATAATTTTTAATCCAGAAATGAGAGAGGGTTGTGCTAATCTACAAAACCTGATGATATTGTCTTCGTTGCCTGGAATGGTGTCGTTTTGATTTTTGTGTGATACTAATGTTTAAATCAGGATTAGGTTCAACCTGTTTTTCTTTTGCACCTCCTGGAAGTAGAGTGGAGTAGGGGAATGCCGCAGGGCCCGAGGCATCCGGGGGAAGCCCCCTTACCTTGTCTCTGGGCCTCAGGTTACTTCTGCAAAGTGCTCCTGATTGAAATCCTTGGGATCTTTTGGGTTGAAACAGTGGCCGGCTCTGGCCTAGCCCCTAATGCTCACATGTCCACGTCCTAACATTTACCGTCTTGGGATCCCCGTGATTGGCTGACATAGCAAGAAGCCCAGAGGCTCCAGTGAAGCTTGGGAACTGGGCTCTTTCTGTCCTTAGTGTCACATCTGAGCCAGCATGGAAAAATGCAGAAGGCACTTGTCTCTCAACTGGGACTGAGCTCCGGGGTCCTTAATTCCTCATCCTTCTGCTTTCACATGTAAATGTATCACTCCTTTCTCAGAGGACTACACCCTGGCCCCACTCTCAATCTTCTCCACCCGTAGAGATGTGGGTGCCCTTGATCCTCAGAACTAGGAGAGCGGCTGTCACTGACACATGCTTGCCCTCTGCCCTCTCCCACGGCTAGTGTACAGCCTGCGTCTGAGGCGTGTGGGTTCAGAGCTGGCACCAGCTCTTCCACGTTTATCTTGCATTCCCAGCCAAGTGACGTCCATGGTGAGCTCTCTGAAATGTGTGCTGCTTTCTACCCGGAGGGGGCGGGGCACAGAAAGGGCAGTTGGAAATCAGTGCACACTCCCACCATCTCCCAGAATCTGTTTTTCACTTTGATGTTTTTCTTCACCTGAGAGTCATTGGAGTGGAAATCTGTCAACTTTAGCAGATAGATTAAGACCCTACCAGAATCTGTTACTCAAAACGGTTTCTAGCTGGGGTTCCTTTGATTGGACCAAGACTGAAGGTTACCTGTTAATCTTAAATACTGTACAAGGAGGGTTGTCTACCACGGTGTTGAGTCTGGGCCACATGTGAGCTGCTGTGGGCCAACAGGGCACACAGGAGAGGAGAAGCCAGTGTCCAAGCCAACTCTGCTTGGCCTGAGGTAGGAGGCAGAGTGTGGTATTGATTCATGCACATGGCCAGATTCTCCACATAGAGGATGTCTGCTCCTGCCATTCTAGGAGGATTGTGCAGTACGGAAGAATGTAAGAAAACTTCCATCAGACTTTGCATTGCTTTAGAACCCATCTTTTCAGTTCTTTCCCTGATGCATAAGAAACTCATTGGGATTCACACTCCCAGCAGGGCTATAAAATCATCGTATGGTAGACGGGCAAATCAGAAAATGTAGGTGAAGTCAGACAATGATCTGGTTTGAAATCTGCATTCTTGGTGCTCCTCTGTGGGTGTGCTGGGGGGAAGTGGGGGTCTTAGGAAGATAGCTACACATTTTACGTCCGTAGGTGGTGCCTGGAGGCCTTTGTCTTGCACTGAGAGCAAAAAGCATACATCCTTTGGGGACCGTCCCCTTCCTCCCTCCCGTCCTGCCTTCCCAGCTTGGCTGTGTGTTTGAAGCTCCGGTGAAAGTGTCATATGGTTTGCGTCGGGATTCTGGAGCCAGTTGCCTCAAACCTTGTTTTCTCATTATTAGACTATTTTTTTTGTTTGTTTTAAGTACATACTTCTGCCACCTTCTCTCCCTACCTTGATGCCTTCAACCAAAAAATGAAAGGAAAGGAATGTTTTCCTGCAGGTGATTTAGAAGGTGTGCAAGGCCAGATGTTTTGGTGAATTTTAGCAGATTTCGCCTGCATGCCCTCCTTCTCCTGGAGCAGCTGGAGGCCTGCGGTTCATTTCCGTGGCTTGATGGTTGGTGCTGGTGGGACGTGGGTCTCTGCAGCTGGGCTGGGAGGCTGCACGTGGGCCTGATGGGTTCTTACTGAGAGCCTGGGCTGACTCTGACAGCTCTTGTGGCCACCAGTTAACTTCAAGAGGACTCCAGGAGATGGAAAGACCAAATAGTTTGGGGGGCAGGGCTTGTGCTAGGACCAAGTTCATCCATCACTGCTGTGGGAACGTATGGCTCATGATTCACCAGTGGTGTGCGGCATGAAAGCTGGGTACCTTGCTGGGAGGTCCCTTGTTCTTTCCTCCTTCCAGAAGCTTCCCACCTATCTTCATCCACATTCGTCCAATAGGTTGTATTTCACACTCTCAGCCGATGGCTTTAGGCACAAGCTTTGTGTGGGTCACTCTGGTTAGAGCATTTTACACACCCTCATGTCAAGAAGATCAGGTCAGTGATATCTTTTCACTCCACTCTTTAGACACCACATAATGGAACTGAAATCTTATTAGTTGTGCCTATTGAAAAAAAAAAGTTTAGTACTTAAAAACCACCTGTTGAAAAACCAGTTTTGCAACCATTAACCATAGCACTTTTATTCTCTTTTTTCTAAATGCTTTTAGTGTTTTTTTTCTCTCTCTCTTTTCTGAGTCCTTTTTGTGGATAGTAAAGAACTGACCAGACCCTTTTAGAATAGTATTGTATTCTTAATTATTTCTTAAAAGGTTAGCATTCCATGTTTACCTCAAGTGTAAGCTAGTAATAAAATGTGGATTCCCTATTTTTTACAGTTAAAGTAATATGAGTAATGCATGTTCACTGTAAAAAAATTTGGAAAAATCCAGGAATAAAAAAGAAAGTAAATATATCTGGTTAATCCTACCATGTGATGGATTTTTATTTTTGCATGTAACATAGGAATTTTACAAAATTGGAATGACGTTGTGTAATACCTGAGACCTTTTTTACATCTTTAAGTATTTTCCAATGATTTTTAAAGTGGATGTCTTTTGTCTACTTTCTGACTTTACTGTCCAGAGGCAAACCCACTGTTACATGTAGTTGATATTTTGTGCTCTTTTCTGTGCTTCTGTAGATGAAAATGCATGTGTGTATGTATCTGTACACACACACATACTGTTCATTTTTAAAAATCTTTATAGACACATGCTGTGGTTTCAATTTTGCTTTATTTTGTTTTTTGAGACAGGGTCTCACTCTGTCGCTCACATGGGAGTGCAGTGGCGTGATCTCGGCTGGCTGCAACGTCTGCCTCCCAGGCTCAAGTGATTCTCCCACCTCAGCCTCCCAAGTTGCTGGGACCACAGGTGCACACCACCACACCCAGCTAATTTTTTGTATTCTTCATAGAGACAGGATTTCGACATTTTGCCTAGGCTGGTCTTGAACCCCTGGGCTCAAGCACGATCCACCCACCTCGGCCTCCCAAAGTGTCAGTTTGTTTTATTCAGGAAAATCTTTTAGGTCAGTAGATATAGATACTTTTAGGTCAGTACATATAGATACTTTTTATGAAAATCATTTTAGGTCAGTACATGTAGATACTCTTTTTAATGTCGACATAGTATTTCCTTTATTAACCAGCTCCTTTTTGATGTACCTTGAGGTTATGTGCAGGGTTTGGATACTGCAGATAATGAGCTAGGAACATGATTCTCTACACACACCATGAAGTGGGGTTGTTGGGTCCCAGGACCTAATGCCAGTAGATGCAGCACTTCCCAGTGGCCTTTCAGAAAGCAGGTGGCCATGTCATCCTTCCCCAGTAAGTGACGGCCAGACTCCCACACAGTGACCAACACCGTGTTGTTGTTTTTCCATTTTCATTGTCAGATTGACAACATTGTTCTAAAGTAAGTCCCTTTTCATTGTTCTAATGTAGATGGGGGAACATTTTTTGTCATGCAGTTTTTTGTTTTTGTTTTCTGTTTTTTTGAGACTGGGTCTCACTCTGTCACCCAGGCTGGAGTGCAGTGGCGTGATCTCAGCTCATTGCAACCTCCGCCTCTGGGTTCAAGTGATTCTCATGCCTCACCCTCCTGAGTAGCTGGAATTACAGGTGCCCACTACCACACCCGCTAATTTTTGTACTTTTAGTAGAGATGGGGTTTTGCCATGGTGGCCAGGCTGGTCTCAAACTCCTGAACTTGGGTGATCCACCCACCTTGGCCTCCTAGAGTGCCGAGATTACAGGTGTGAGCCCCCACGCCTGGCCCTATTTGTGACTTTTCAGGAATATATTTTTTGTATAGTTGTAAGACTATGCAGTGTGATTTAGGACTCTTTATTTTCCTTCAAATTCAATGGCTAGCTGTACAACGATTGCTTAAATAACCAGCCTTTCCTAGCTGGTGTGAAAAGCTGTTTCTCATTCTCCATTCTCTTACGTCTTGCAGAACCTCTTGTGAATGATCCACAGATTTAGGTAAATCAGAACATATTTACGGAATACTGTCTTCGGAGACACTGGGGAACAAGAAGAAGGGATGGAAAGGCCTGGCTCTCTTTCCTGGCATTTGGAGTCTGTGGACCAAACGCCTTCCTCTCACCTTTTCCTATTTCTCTCTGGCATGTTCCCCAAAAGAAAATTTCTTAGATTAGTTTGCCTTCATTGAACTCTCCAGGATGAGAGAGTTTCCAGAAGAAACAGAGTCTGCAAAGAGGAGCTGGGTTTTTAGGGCACCTTAATGGAGACTGTGGATCTCACCATTTATCTTAAAAAAGGGGTCAGGAACAAATTCTGAAAGCCATGGAAATTCCCTTTCCTGAAGTTCTTACGTAAATAGCATATAAATTTCATGACTCTGTCGACATATTTCCAGTATAAACTGTTTTCAGGTACTGGTTACAAGTCTCCTTTTGGATTCCAAAGGTATACCATGGCCCCTGACTTAGGCTGAGCAGCAAGGAGGTCTAATTTCAGAAAGTCTAATAGCTACCACTTTGTCAAAATATTTACGAATCCCCCCGATTCTCTATTTAGAAAGCCCTGGACCTTCTTATGAGAGAGAAACCTCAAACTTCCAGTACCTTCACCTACCCCCCACCCATCCAGAGGAATAAGTCACACCGTGGAATTCTTCGCATAAATGACATCTGCCGTCTTAGGGGTGGTCTGTAACCCTTAGGAGAATTTTGTGCAAATATTCCGTTGCTTCTGCATTCCAGGATAATGCGTTGTGTTACGGTTGTTTTAGGTAAACACACTCTGGCAGGAAAGCCAATATGGCAGGTGCCACATAATGGGGCAAAGGTGTGAACTCAATGTTGAATTCTTTCAACTTGCTGAGGACTTGGACTCAAAGGGCAGATTTGAATACGTCTAGTCCCAACAGGTGTTTCTGGTTTTTTTGTTTTGAAAGGGAAATCATAAGGGAACAATTAGGCATTGTCAGGAACATAGTCAGGAAAAGGCAAGAGTTTTTAAATAATTATATGATCCACCTGAACCATGTACTTTATTCTGTTTTACACATCAGTTGAAACTGTAAATACTAGTAAGTGTAGGGTGGGAAAGGCTGTTACTATGAAAACCATTTCGGTAGTATTGAGTAAGTATATATTTAATACTTAACAGAAATTGATTTTTAGCACTTACAGCAGCCGGGATGTAGAATGAAAGTTAAAATTTTCTAATGGCAGAAAATCTGTCACTCATAGAAATACTGGCGACTGTAGAAACTAGCAACATTAGGGTGGTGACTTGGGATGGTGTTGGCAAATACAGCAAAGAAAACTGTGGAATTCTCAGTGATGTGAATTTCATTCTTTTTCTTTGTATAAAAAGAAATTTATATGACATTAAAAAAAAATAGAAACAGGGTCTCACTATGTTGCCCAGGCTGGTCTCAAACTCCTGGGCTCAAGTGGTCCTCCTACCTTGGCCTCCAAACGTAAATTTCAGATAAGCAACAATGATGTTTTGTGTAAGTGTATCTCATAAATTATACTTACACTTACCTGAAATTCACATTTAACTGGGCATCCCGTGTTTTGTTTAGCAGCTCTACCTCTGGATAGCCTAGAAATTTGTTCATAATGACCTGCCAGCAGGCTCTATAGAAGTGTAAAGAGAGCTATGTGGCTTCCTTGTTTGTGAAACCCGTTTTCTTCCAGTGGTTCCCAACAAAAGAAATTTACAAATGCCTCTAATGATGATATCCAGTTTTTGTTATTTATAGAAAAGTGTCCTATCCAATATTCACATTTTGTGTGTTAAGTAAAATGCTTTCCTATAAAGAAATCTGAAATTTTCTCTAGAGCTGTTTGTTCAAACTTACTTTTCAGTCATTTTTTTCATGAGTCCCTTTTATTGAAATGCCTTTGCGTCACACAGTGGACATCAGGAGGCCTGGTTCGGTCACCAGCAACTTGGCCAGATGTTGAAGCTGCCCCTGGTTCACTCCAGGCCTTCTTGGTCTCCTCCTGCACTGGTTACTTATATGTAGACCATGAAAATTCACAGCACGTGAGCATTGCTCACAGTGCGTGGGAGACCCTGTGTGCCTATGGTGTATAGGTCGCTAATAGGGAATGCAGAGAGTAGGTTTAAATTGGGACTAATCATCAAGAATGATTAGGAGATGTTCTCTAGGGTCCCCCTCCTGGTTCTGTAAAAGGCAAACTAGTTAGAAGGTTAGAAATGTTTATCTACTGATAGTGTTTGGTTTGTAACCTGTTAATGAGTGGAGCATGTTCCCGGACTCAGGATGAGAGCCTCCAAAGCATAGCCAGTCTCTTAGGTCAACAGTGATACCCACATTGCCTTGGCAGGGCCGGCCTGTGCACTGGGGTTGCTGAAGGGGTTTACACCCACCTGCTGTTCCTTTTGAGTCTCTCTTCCTGTCTTCTGTCGCTGGCAGTATGCTCTTCCTGGAGGATGACTGGACCTTTCTAACCCCTTCTGAGCTGACCTCTGTGGAGTTTTCTTGGTGGCACGTGTCACACCGGGGCATCCGTGTCTTCCTGCTGCCCCTCAGAATGAGACAGAAGTCTGGGTTCTGGGTGGAAGGCATCCTTGCATTGGCTACCCTGACTTCTTCTCCTCCCATGGGTTCAGACCCCAGCCCTCAGGACCCAAGAGGCACAGGATTTCCCAGATTTCCCTGTGCAGCTTCTGGGAGACTGAAATCACTGGGAAGGGGTCTTCGTTCCCTGGGTCAACAACATTTGTGGAGTACTGATTTTGTGCTGGCCATTGAAGTAGGATTTTGTACAGACTCAGGCTCACGAATGTGTAATGTGTTACTAAAAAACTTGTTTGGGGCCATGGCTCACACCTGTAAACTCAACACAGGGAGGCTGAGGCAGGAGAACCACTTGAGCCCGGGAGTTCAAGACCAGCCTGGGCAACATAAACAGACCCTGTCTCTATAAAAAAATTTAAAAAATTAGCCAGGTGTGGCGGCACACACCTCTGGTCCTAGCTGCAGTGGGGACTGAGGTGGGAGGATCAGCTGAGCCTGAGAGTTCAAGACCAGCCTGGGCAACATAGCCAGACCTCATCTCTACAAAAAATAAAAAAATTATCAGGGTGTGGTGGTGCTTATAGTCCCAGCTACATGAGAGGGCTGCGGTGGGAGGATTGCTTGAGCCGAGGAGGTCAAGGCTGCAGTGAGCCATGATCACAGCACTGCACACAACCTCTGCCTCCCGGGTTCAAGTGATTCTCCTGCCTCAGCCTCCCAAGTAGCTGGGATTACAGGCGCCTGCCACCATACCCGGCTAATTTTTGTGTTTTTAGTAGAGACAGGGTTTCACCGTGTTGGCCAGGCTGGTCTCGAACTCCTGACCTCAAGTGATCCGCCCACTTGGGCCTCCCAAAGTGCTGGGATTACAGGCCTGAGCCACTGCACCCAGCCTGTATCTATGGGCCTTCGGGACAATGAGAATGATAATGTCGGGGTTTGGTGTTTGCTCCCAGACCCCTTTTGCCCTTGGGAGCGAGTCTGTGTCACTGCAGTGGTCCTGCAGATGCCTGTTGGCGCTACTGAAGATCTGGGAGGAGCTCCGATTGTGTTTATGGCAGGGAGTGTCTTAGCAGAGTGGCTCCATCTAGCTTTAGAACATGTCTTGCTGGTTTCGAACAGGGCTTGTTTGATTTGAATGTTTCATGTTCCAGATTCTTTACGAACTGCTCATTGTCGCAGGCCCAGGAAGGTTCTCTGAGCAGCATCGGATGTTTTTGCTCTGTGGAGGGTACTCTGTGCCTCGAGATGGGGGTGGGGGAGATCAAAGGTAACCCCACTGGCTCGTCCCCAGCTGAGGAGTCCCCTGCTCCAAGATGGTTTTCACTGTGGTCCTCCCATAGCTCCTGTGCCTTTGTCTTCTATACTTCCCCTCTACCGCCATGTCTCTTGTTTTCTAAAATAATTATAGATAGAGAAGCATGGGGAATATTCCTCGGCTCCTCTAGTGAGCCAGGCCAAGTGGCGCGGGTCCCAGGGCTATGTGTCCTAGACATGAGTCAGCAAGTGTGACTCCGAAGCCAGCTGTGCTTGAGGAAGCACTGTGGGGAGTGATTTGGCTGGAGACTTCTGTTTGTGCGTGGTTGTTCACTTTCTGGTTCTCAGATTAGGCTCTGACCATTTTCATTATTAATTTTTTTTTGCCCAGACTGGGTTCACATTAGTGATGGCTGCAGCTGTCAGCGGAGGAAGACCAAACAACTCCTCCAGGGACAAGAGCTCTGACCTCTGTCCCGTCTCTTTGTGTCCAACTCGGAATCCATACTCGGCTCTCTTCACCTCCAGGGTCTTGCCGCCCTAATTCATGTCTCTGAGTGTTTAGTGCTTTGGGGTTATCCAAAACTCATGCCTTGGGGGCGTGCCGATTTGCTCTGAGGTGGTGAGTTCTCGAGTGACACCTCTGTGGATGGCTATTCCTCCCTGATGTTCTAGCTAGCTTCCCGAGGGACCCACCAAATTCTCCAGAAACTCCCTCTCCCTTCCCGCTGCCTCCCGCAAACACATTCGGACGCCTGTCTTCTTTTCCTGGCCTGTGCTTTCTTCCTCTTGGAGTGTGGCATTTGGAATCAAGTCACCTGGGGAGATTTCAGACAACAGCCACAAAGCCCAGCTCCGCTGAGGGGAGACTAATTACACAGCTAATTAATCCAACAGATGTCATTTTAAGTGCTCATTTCTGTGTGATTTGGTTACACACGCCCTGCGTTGCTGAGATGGGCACGGGGCCCTGTTGGAAAGTATCTTTTATTTTTTAATCAGACTTTAAGGAAGAGCATATTTCCTGTCCATCTTTTATGCTCTAGTGACATATCCCTGGTTTTCCAGAACTGTCTCTCCAGCTGCTGTACCCACACACGGCATCTCTGCCCCACACGGGTGTCACACTGTTTGGCACCACGCTGGTCTCTGCGTCATGTGCTAGGTGGTTTCACCAACTGGTTCGTAAACCTCTTGAGGACCTGGATTGCCTTCAGTTTTGTGAGTTTCTCAAGAATGCAGCACAAGTAGACATCAGCAGGTGGTTATCCGTTTCTCTCCATTTACTCTCTTGTCTTTACTGACAGCAAGTTTCTTTGCAAGAAAAGTAGCTGAGGAGTGTCTGAAAGGTGTTGTTTTACAAGTGGAGGGTTAAGAAGTATAGGACACCAGTGATTGTTGGAAAACTGAAAAAGTCGTGCATAGGACAAACAAACCAAAAAAAGGCTCTTGGAGGCAGAGGAGGAAGGTCAGGAAGTGAGAGGAGATGGTGTTTTCCTTCCTTCCCTCTGCAGTGGTAGAAGTGGAACAGAGAGGATGGAAAGGTACTGCCTTCTGCAGGTGGCGTGGGAGCAGCTGCGGGGTGTAGCATGGCGGTGGCCCTGAAGCTGGCAGCCTGTACTCATGGAAGTCACCTGGTCCTCCATGGGGGCTGGCACCCAAGGCCCAAGGCCGCATTGCCCAGCAACCCCTCACTCTGAATCATGCCCACTCTGGGAGTTGACTCACCATGTCCCCTCCCAGTTGCTGGATCCAGAAGTGACACTTTTCACCACTAGTAGGACAGGTCGCCAGTGGTTTCTGTGTTGCTGACTCTGTCGGCTGTGTCCTAATTCGCCGGACCTTTCAGCCGCCTTTGCCACTCTTGCCCTTTGTCTATCTCTGTTGGCTTCTCTTCTGTGACTTCACGATGAGTGTTATTATGCCCCCAGGCTTGTCCCAGAGCCCCTTCTTTTTTCTGTCTGTAACTCTCCCTAAGTATCTCATTCAGTCCAGTGGTTTTAAACCCCATCTACTTTCTGATGACATCTGAATCTGTCCCTAGCCTAGGCCTCTTCCTGTATCCAGCTCCCCACCTGGCATTTGCATTCGAATGTCTGAGAATGAACTCCGCAGGCTTAGCATGGTGCAGAAAGGACTCTGTGACCAGAACCCCCAAATGCTTATGGGCTCCCCCATCTCGGTTAGGGCCACCTCCAGCATATCATTTGCTTAACCCAAAAAGCTGGGAACTATCTGTGGGGCTCCTTGTCTTTTGCTCCCCTACAGCCAAACCATCAGCAAGTTCTGTGGGTGCTTCCTTCAAAAATACATTTGCACCACCACCCTCCCAGGCCAGCCCCCATCGTCTCTCTGTATTTCAACTCTCCCCCGCCTCTACTCTTGCCCTTTACAATCCCCTCTCCATACAGGGATTTTACGAAGAGGAAAATCAGGTCATATCACTCTCTTGCAAAGACCCCACAAAGGCTTTCCACCTCACTTAAGATAAAAGCTCACCTTTGTACTGTGGCTTACAAGCTCCTTTGTGATCTGAACTCCTCCCACCATGCTGACCTCATTTTACAACCCTCTCCCCTTTGCCCCCTACACTGCAGCCACAGCAGCCTTCTCTGTTCATTCAACATGCTAAGCTGGCGCCTGCCACAGGGCCTTTGCACTTGCTGTTCTACTGAGTGTATGTACCTCCTTGACCTTGACATTCAGCTCTCATTCAATATCTGGTCGTCAAAGAGGCTTTCCCTGACAACCCAGTCTCAAGGAGCTACACCATCACTTCACTCAAGATAACTTCTCTGCATTGACAGTGATTATATTTATTTTTCTTGTCTGTTCATTAATTTAGTTGTCTGCCAAGACAGCAGAGACCTACGTTGCCCCATTAACAGCTCTGTCCCTAATGCTTAGAACAGTGTGTGACACCAGCTCAATAAATATTGAACCATAGGGTACCAGCAGAGCATGCCGTGCTTCTGCCCTGTGCTAGAACAGGTACAACAGCCTCATGCGCACACTTGGCATTTCATAAGGTAGAGCCCTAAGGCATATGTTGGTGTAAAGTGGATGGCTTGTGTGGACCAGGTCATTGCAGAGCTTCTGCAGCCCAGGTCATTTACCATCAGCTTCACACACAGCTCTGTTCCTGTACTGACCCCTGAGACACAGCCCTGGCAAGATCATGCAGCTGGTGTCAAATTACTTTGAAAATTCCCACGTGCTGCTGGCCACCCGTGAGTTTCGGCTCTGTCCGCCCAAATTCTGCCAACTAAAATCACTGCTCTTTCTCCCCAGCACTCTCATCAAAATGCCTTGTTCCTTTCCCATTCTTATGATAGACCATATTTTTAGTGGTCTTTCTTCTCTGCTTAGTTGTAAGATCCTTACCGGTGGGATCTGTTTATTCTCACCCAACTTTGTAGCCTTCCCAGGGTCTTGGGGATATTAGGTAGACTATCAGCAAGTGTCGCCTGATGATTTGATGGCAAAAGATGGATTTTTTTTTTTTTTTTAAGACAGAGTGTCACTCTGTCGCCCAGGCTGGAGTGCAGTGGCGTGATCTCAGCTCACTGCAACCCCCCCCTCCCGAGTTCAAGCGATTCTCAGCCTTCCGAGTAGCTGGGACTACAGGCACATGCCACCATGCCCAGCTAATGTTTGTATTTTTAGTAGTGATGGGGTTTCACCAAGTTGCCCAGTCTGGTCTCGAACTCCTGACCTCGGGCGATCCGCCTGCCTCTGCCTCCCAAAATGCTGGGATTACAGGTGTGAGCTACCGCACCCGGCCAAAAGACGGAATCTTAAACATAGAAATTTAAAGATTAGGGGCAGCCCCGAGTCGCCTCCTCCCTCAGTTTCCCTAGAGGCTCCTCTCCTGCTTTCGTTCCCTTATCCTTGGGCGAGCGTCTTTGTCTGAATGATGCTTACTTAGTCCCATATCTGATTGTCCCCCGCCCTGAGAACCACATTTTTGGTGGCAGAACATATTCCCAGTGAGAGAAGCTCTGACCTGCTTCTCTCCTCCTGTCCCATGTACAAGCCACACGTCCTTGAGCACCCGCTATGCGCAGGATAACGTCCTTGCTTCTTTAGGGCAGTGACTTTTAAACTTTGTTGACGATAATCTAAAAAGAAATGCATTTTACATGAGTGACCCAGCACATACATATAGCTAGATATTCTGTATATTTGACTAAAACAGAAATTGTGCAGAATGATTTTATCCTTACTGCAGGTGCTACATTCTGATGCTTTCTATTACATTCAATTCTGTTTTGTTTTACAAATGCTGGTTGTACTCACAGCATGGATTTCATGATCCCCTGACATGATCCTGATTTCGTAATCCAGCGACTCTTAGCCCAGGGGCCTTTAAAAAACTACGCCTGCCTGGCTTGACCCCCAGAGGTTGTGGTTTCATTTACTGTCGGATTCTGATGTGCGGCTGCAGTTTGAGAACCACTGCACTAATGGGTCATGATCCACAGTTTAAGAAACTGTATTACTGTGATACGTAATACAAAGAGGAATTGATCATTCAGTAAGAGCCGTCAAATGCGGACACAAGAGTTATGAAGGTGAAGGGAGGGAGCAGCCACACCCAACTGGTTAGATCCAAAAAGACCTCTGGGAGGGAGGGGCAAGCTGGAGTTTGAGCAAGATTTAAAGAGGGTAGAATCATATAGAAAGGTGAACTAGACAGAGGACAAAGGCAGATTCATTCTTGTACTTACTGAACCTGTGGCTATGGTACTAAAATAATTTTAATAACTGGAACTTCTTCTCACATACTTGTGGATACTACTCTGTTTTATTTTTTTGAGAGAGTCTCGCCTTGTCACCCAGGCAGGAATGCAATGGTGTGATCTCAGCTCAGTGCAAGCTTCGCCTCCCGGGTTCAAGTGATTCTCCTGCCTCAGCCTCCCAAGTAGCTGGGATTACAGGCGCCCGCCACCAGGCCCGGCTAACTTTTTTTGTATTTTTAACAGACACGGGGTTTTACCATGTTGGCCAGGCTGGTCTCGAACTCCTGACCTCAAGTGATCCTCCTGCCTCAGCCTCCTAAAGTATTGGAATTACAGGCTGAGCCATCACGCCTAGCCTACTCTAACTTTTAAAAGAAAGCTGTGGCCGGGCGTGGTGGCTAACCTCTGTAATCCTAGCACTTTGGGAGGCTGAGATAGGTGGATCACCAGGTCAGGAGATGGAGGCCATCCTGGCTAACACGGTGAAACCCCATCTCTACTAAAAATACAAAAAATTAGCTGGGCGTGGTGGAGGGCACCTGCAGTCCCAGCTACTCGGGAGGCTGAGGTGGGAGAATGGCATGAACCCGGGAGGCAGAGCTTGCAGTGAGCCGAGATCGCGACACTGCACTACAGCCTGGGCGACAGAGCGAGACTCTGTCTCAAAAAAAAAAAAAAAAAAAAAAAGAAAGTTGTGAGCTAAACATTTCATAATAACAACACACTGGAGTTTGGGTCTTTTTAGTGTTTTGCTAGTCAGGAAGTCTGCTCACGTGATCTATTAAAATAATAAAACTACAATAAAAACCCATAAACAAAAAGAAAACTGTAGTTGAGGCTGTGCATGCTGGAGTAGGGGGAGGGGTGGAGTGTACTGCTTCTGCAGTTTACTTTGGAATGAATAAAAGATGTAAGGCACATTGATAGCAGGATAAAGAGAAGGCTGTAAAATAGACAGCAAAGCATTAATTTCAGCAGCTGGGTGGTGGATACTTAAGTGTCTACTGTATGATTTTTTTTTCAACTCATCTCCTTGGTTGGAGATGTTCATAATGCAATGTGAGGGTAAAATACTAAAACCTAATGGTGAAATGTTCTCTCCTCTCTCGGCTCCACTGTGTAGAAGCTTCGAGGTCTCTTCTCAATCCCTGCTGTCCTCCCCTCCACCTTCCTACTCCTCTGGGAGAGTAGTAATGATGATCTGTTGTGTCTCTGAAGACAGGGCTCAGATTGGTTATTTCTGTTTTTGCAGACGAGGGCATACATTTCACTAGAGGTAGTAACATACCTGGTTAAGAGCGCTCAAGCTACTGCGGGAGAGGCCATGGAAATCTAATGGGATCTGACCATTCAGGAGGTGTCTGGATGCCCACGAGATGCCGGGCACATGTTGGTGTGGCAGGTGGAGTGGGGCTCAGTGGGTGCTGCAGACTAGAAAAATTTAAGATAGGATGTCCATGCGTCTTAAAGGAAACCCAGATAGCTCTTGGGGTTTTAAGGAGGGAGAAGATGCCTGGTGTCAGGCTGCCTGGGTTTGAATCCCAGCTCCTGGGACTTAATTCCTGTTTGTTCATCATCTGTAAAATGGGCTAATAGAATGACTTGCTTTGATAGGACTCTCGAATGACTTAAATGAGATAATACATGAAATGCACCTAGACGCAGTCTGCATATAGCATCAGAAAGGTGTTAAGGACTCTGCTTTTCTGCATTAGATTTCCCATCGTCTTCTTAGACCACACAACTGACGTTATTTTTATAATTTGGTTTTAATTAGCTTTGAACTTGACACGCTGTTGGTTTGGAGAATGGAAAGGTCAGTGGATTTTTTTTTTTTTTTTTTTTTTGGTGCGGAGCAGGGAGATGGAATTTCCCTGAAGAGAGATTATGACCGATGTTTAGTGAAATGACCTTGAGCCAGTAATTTAACCTTGGCCAATCTGTAGTGGCCTCATCTGAAGGAGGTGGAGCTTGGATTCCTCACTAAGTCTCCTTCAAGCACTAAGTGTGTGTTTGTAGGACTTTTTTTTTTTCCCAAAGGGATATCTCCATCTCCTCTCCTAAGTAATGGAGCAAAAAGTGATCTAGTGAAGTACTCAGGAAAATTAGAAAGTGATTCAAGTCCAGCTGCATTGTGGCTATGGCTTGCTCCACCCCTTCCCTGAGAAGTACCTAAGACATCATCCGTTGTGAGAAGGAAATGATGTTACCTTCACTGACATAATTTTATCATATTGTCCCACATAACCTGGGAGGTTTCAGTATTTGTTTGTTTCTTTTTAAATAGGACTTCCTGCAAGCATCAACACACATGTATTTCCCTTATGTGACCAAAATTAGATGCAAGTTAGAACGTAGGCTTGGAAACTGGCATAGAGTACACAGGACACTCAGGGGAACTATACTCCTTGGTAGTTTTCATTCCCTTACATGTATATTTTTCTGATTAAAGCTAGTGCATATTCACTCTAAAAAAATAAAGCCACAATCTAGAAATACACAGCTTAGAGGACAAAGATGGAAAAACGAGAATATATTTGACTTTGGTTCTTGTTATGGTTCGTGTTTGTATCTGTTTACATTTTGTAACCTTGGCAATACCACAGAATATCGTAAAAGGGGGAACAGCTTCTGGACGCAAGTGAGTGTTAGCTGGTGTTGCAAAGCTCACATACCCTCGTTGCATAAGTGAGTTCATTTGTATCGAAAACCACAGTGTCCGTGGCTCGGATGACTTAACATTGCCTTAGGAATCTCACTTTAATGTTCACATCAGTGTCCTTGCTTGTGGCTGTATCATCCCAATCTCCCTTCACTGTAGGGAGCACCTGCAGTCAAGTATGCAAAACTGTTTCCATGGCAACCCTTTGTTACCCATTAATTTAAAATATTCCAAAATTTTTCTCCAGCTGAAACTTTTTTTTTTTTTTTTTTAAATGGTGCATCCCTCCTCTTCCCTGTCGGTACGTTGGAAGTTAATCTCCTTGGCTACTGAAGTCATGATTGTTTTCTCCCTTCCCCCGACCTCTTTTGAAAGCTGAAGAGTGTGTGTGTGTGTGTGTGTGTGTGTGTGTGTGTGTGTGTGTGTGTGTGTGTAATGAAATAAATGGCTAATCCCAGAATCTCTGATTACAGCTCTGAGTCAACAAGTGGGAGGAAATGCCTCCCTTCTTGATTTGAAAGAAGGAGAACTTAATGCGAAACCGTCTTTAACATCTGAAACGATGTGCGAAGTATGTGCAACAGAAACAAAATCTCACCAAGCTCATGACCTGCCTGATGATTAGATGCATAAGTGGATCTGGAAAGTATACTTGAAAAACAGAGCAGCTCTTTGTAATGTGAATGGTGAATTGAATGGGTACTAGGAGGACTGAGTTTTGGCAACATACGTTTCATGCTGGTGTCAAGAGGTGTATAAGAAATAAGTCCACAGCTTATGTTTGGAAACTTTCACCTATGAAATGAAATGCAAATCAGTGGCAATAAACATGTTAAGGTTGCAAATTTGAACACAAATGAAGAAATGCAAAAGAAAGTTTTGCATAGCAATACTCATTTCACGTGAGTTAGTTATTACTATCAAATATGATATTGTAACGTCCAGGATGTGGGGTACGGCTCAGTGATGGCACCTTGTACCACATTTTACATTTTATGACTGTCATATACAAGTCTTTTGCATTTCTTACGTGTAGGTAATGATTTGGTCATTTATTCTTACCAGAACCGTAATCTTCCTTATTTTGGCAATGTACAGGCATTATTTTTGTTTTCTTCCGTAGTAGGTTTTATGAGTATTTCTAAATGTATCAGTTCTGATCTGTTATTCACTATTGGCAGTGGCTGAAAGAGCTAAGTGCTGGCTGTGTTTTATAGCTGTGTAGCTTTCAATTGCTATTGTCTGCTCCATAGCCCTTTAATTTCTGAAGCATCCTTGCCATTATGTCACAAGCGGGTTGTGTTCAGATCATTTCGGGTCTTAGGACTTTGGGCCTCGAGATACTTTGCACTTATAAAATCTGTCTGCAAGAGATCACACAGAATCCATTATCTCCTTATCGCCCGTCCTCTTTTTTTTTTAAGCTTATGTTTATTTTTCTTTTTTCCCCTCCAATTCCAAATAGTTTGGCAAAGATTTTTAGGTGCAGAAGAACCATAAAGGGGTGTTTTGATCAGATGCCGCTCCCCTCCCTTGGGGTGACAAAAATGGGCGAGAAGCTGTGTTTGTTAGGAGAGTATGAAGTATATTATTTTATTTTATTTTATTTATTTATCTATTGAGACTGAGTTTCACTCTTGTCACACAAGCTGGAGTACAGTGGCAAGATCTCAGCTCACTGCAACCTCCACCTCCCGTGTTCAAGTGATTCTCCTGCCTCAGCCTCCCAAGTAGCTGGGATTACAGGCGCCCGCCACCACGCCTGGCTAATTTTTGTAATTTCAGTGGAGACGGAGTTTCACCATGTTGGCCAGGCTGGTGTTGAACTCCTGACCTCCAGTGATCCGCCCACTTCGGCCTCCCAAAGTGCTGGGATTACAGGCGTGAGCCACCGCGCCCAGCCTGTTTTCTTTTTTAAGTGAACGTTTCTTTTCCTCTTGTCCTCCTTTTCATGCTGGGGGGCTGGGAGCCCAGCACATCCATGTGACTGCATTCGGTTCAGCATAATTGATGCGGTCTCCTTTCCCACAGCTGATGAGGATTATGTCAGCTTGGTTTAACAGTCTCATTTTCTGCTCCCAGTGCACACTTGTTTTAATGTGTTTCGGTTAATGAGGTAGAAGAGAGAATGAGGTGTTACTGTTTATGTACAGCCAGCTTGCGTGGAGGGCCCTGTCGCAGCCCGCGTGGCCCCAGGCATCCTCTGGGGCAAGAGCCACAGGGCGAGGCCACCTTTCAGAACACAGTTTTTCCTGGCTGAGGAATGCAGATCCTGATGATGACCTGTAAGCTTTGCCAAATAGTCTTATTTCTACCATTTGTGTTCTCTAGACATATCGTTCTCATGTAATGATGAAAAGATTAAACTTGGCTTAGAGCTTGGGGTGCATTTGAGGGAGCTGATCAAACACTTCACCCCCAGAGCTTTTTCAAACTTAGCTTTTGCATCCCTTTCACCAGTCCCTCACCCCCGGGTGGACCTCTCCCCAAGCAAGGGTCAGTTAATTTAACATATAGGTAGAACCAATATCAAAAATCCAGGTGGAGTTAAGCAGTAAGAATTTGATTTTTTACCTCACTCTTTTTTTTTTTTTTTTTTAGACAGGGTCTGGCGGCTCTGTCGCCCAGGCTGGAGTGCAGTGGCGCCATCTCGGCTCACTGCAACCTCCACTTCCCAGGTTCAAGAAATTTTTCTGCCTCAGCCTCCTGAGTAGCTGGGATTACAGGTGTGTGCCACCACACCCAGCTGATTTTTGTATTTTCAGTAGAGATGGAGTGTCTCCCTGTTGGCCTGACTGTTCTTGAACTCCTGACTTTTAGTGATCTGCCCACCTTGGCCTCCCAAAGTGCTGGGGTTATAGGCATGAGCTCCCGCACCCAGCCAAGCCTCATTCTGTTGTCCAGCCTGGAGTGCAGTGGTGCAATTTTAGCTCACTGCAGCCTCAACCTCCTGGGCTCAGGCCATCCTCCTGCCTCAGCCTCCTGAGCAGCTGGGACTACAGGCACATACCACCACACCCAGCTAAACTTTTTATTTTATGGTAGAGATGGGGTCTTGCTGTGTTGCCCAGGTTGGTCTTGAACTCATGACCTCAAGCCATCCTCCCTACTGGGATTACAGGCCTGAGCCACTATATCTGGCCTAAGAATTTGTATTTTATCTTACGTGGATCAGAACAGTGCTACTGGTGAGGGAGGTAAAAGAGATCAAAGAGTCTTCCAGGGGTAATCTTATATGAACAGGCATCTGGTTTGGGTCATGACTTGGTTCTTGCTTATCTGTGGAGCTTGGGCCTAGAGTTTGGGGGCCTATCATAAACACCGCTGACCCCTCCTTAGGGTGCCTTGGTGAGCCGGGTGCTGCCAGAGAACAGCCAGGAAACCAAGACTTGGGCCGAGGGGTTGTGGTGGGGGCGCTTTTGCATGTATTCAAATCTCCAGTCCTGGATGCATGGACAGCAAAGGGAATATCAGGGGTACAACAGCAACTTTCCCTCTTTGGGACCAACCCAAGCCATTTTGTCAATTGGGCACACATTGTGGAAAGACCTGTTCTCCTACCTCCTACCCGCTCTTTCCATCTTCCCCTTAAGCCCTTTCCTCTCTCGCTCCCCCTCGCTCCCCTTCGCTCCCCCTCGCTCCCCTCCCCCTCCCTCTCTCCCCTCCCCCTCCCTCTCTCCCCTCCCCCTCCCTCTCTCCCCTCCCCCTCCCTCTCTCCCCTCCCCCTCCCCTCCCCCCATCCTCCACATCATTGAGCACCCTAAATGGTTAAACCCGTTGCCTGGCCTTGGCACGGTGCCAGCCCCAGGGGGCACTGTGCAGCCTGGAGGCCTCTGGCGCATCCCAGCTTCCAAAGGCACAGTGGCCGTGGGTTTCAGCAGGAATTAAACAATTACTGAGTCTTAGTCCTCCCCACCTTCCGTGGATTGACTCTATAAATTGTCAGCCTGTTGACATTTTAATGCGAATTATGTCATGTGGTATCCCCTTTGATTTCGACATGCCTCAGTTTGTAAATACATGAGCCACTCAAAGGCTTGTGGTTAGTGTACACTCCGGAGGCCTCAGGGTTTTTGGTGGGGGAGAGCGCGCTGGAGGGAGCACAATGCTGGGAGTGTGCCTGGCGCAGAGAGGCTGCTGCAGCTCCCCCGGGCGGCTCCGGAGGGGCGGGGGGCTGTGCGGAGGGCCTGCTGCCAGCCCCAGTGCCATGCTGGGAACCTCCCAGCCCCTCGCGGGCCGCTGGGAAGGCCACTGCCTTTGAGTCCAAGTCACGAGATATTTTTATTGAGGGCATCGGTGGCTGAACGTTCCCCCAAATCCTCCTTTTGTGAGGTGTGATGTCACTTCCCCCATCACCTGCACCTGGAGAAGAACTGACTTATTCCAGATTCCAAGGCAAATCAGGAGGCCAAGGGGGCACGGCCTGGAGCAGGTGTTGCCCTCAGAAGAACTTGGCCATCCCAGCGGGAGAATGAATCGGGAGGATTGTTAAGGAAAGACTCGATGGGTATTGAGAAATTGAGAGAGAAGGAAGACAAGGAGGAAGGATTACTGTGACACAGGGAGAAGACTCATTGGTGTGGGTCTAAACAAATTTAAATAAAAATTTTTTACTACTGTTTAAAAATGGAAATTATTTTATTTTAACCAATGTCTGACCAAGTGAAACTGACCAAGTGAAATTCTCTGACCAAGTGAAGAAGGAGTGGAGACCTGAAGGTTCTGAATGTTCAAATTCTAAAAGTGAAATTCCAGGGAAGAAATATGGAAATAGATTTTTAGAGGTAATTTCAAGTGAGAACAGCTGAGAAGCCCCTATGCTGGGACTCTCCTCCAGCTCATGGTTCCTAACACCCTGTTCTCTGTCTCCTGACCTCTTGATTGGAGACTTTCCTATAAATTTCGTAAACCTGGGGGAGCTGGCTTCTTGGTAATCCTTTGTGTGTAGGATGTCAGTGGTCTAGAGAGAACTAGCCATCTGGAGGTCTGATGGGCTGTGCCCAGAGGAGGTTGGCCAGGATAGACCCAGAGAACGGGCCAGGAGTAGAAACATTGGTCTCTGCTTTGTGTAGGAGAGGCAGGAGCATGTAATCGCCCCTCATCTGAATACAGCAACTGCTGGGCCTGCTGTCTGTGTTGGAATTTGGCTGATTTACAGAAATGTCATGGGATCTTTGATGCCCATGGGTGGTCGGGACCTATCTCCCACGTGCTGAGCAATTCTAGTTTCATGTGCGAATAATGCCCATATTAAAACAATTAGTATCCATACTCCGAAAAGGAAGAAGGAACCCCAATTCATGTTGATCAGAGACACTTCCAGCTCATTTGAGAAAGGACTGGTAACTTCCACAAGGGCCCGAATATGTTTTTCAAAGTGGATTCTGTAATTCATTTTTAAAGAGTTGTAATACACACAAGTGTTTGGAAAGTGGAGTCGCTGTAGCTCTTTCACCTCTTCCATGGATTTATCTGGCTTTTGTTACTTGGGAAGGGGAGCGAGTGGGCGGGCAGGATAGAGTGAGAGTGTGAGAGAGACAGAGACGCAAAAATACACATTGCTTAGGGGAACTGTTTAGTTGGTTACTATGGGCAATTATATTCTAGCATCTAGTTTGAGTTTAGCTATAAGGGCATATGCAAAATAAAATGATAAGACATTAGAATAATCATGACCCATAACAACATTATTCCTTGTTAAGTTTTTAAAGGTTTCAGTTGATAGATGTGTTTCCAAATTAAAAGAAACAGTGACTTCCAAGATAAAAAGGGAGGCCTGTGCTTTTTAAATAGATCACAGAATTTTGTTTGTAACGTGAAAATAGGTCTCAGTTACCTGCTTCCTCTCTATTGTAATAATTATAAGTTAACTCTTGGGAACATGCTTTCGTGCACAAATATAGGGCCCTTTCAAGAAACTGACATGTGTTATATAATGAGTAGTGGGGGACAGGGGAGTAGCAGTCTGTGCCTCTTTGCATTTTCCTCCTGTCTTCAAGAGGACGTAAAAGCTATGGTCACTGCCCACCCTTGGCTGGTGCCCGTTCCAGCCCCTCTGGGCAGTTTGGTCAGGGAAGGAGTAGGCCCGAAGGTGACACTTGGTTTCCCAGCCCTATAAATTAGACAAATTCTGGACTATTGTAGATGATTGTGCGGGTCCATTTGCTTTCATTCATTCCTTTTTCCTCATTGCTTCAAAGTGAAAGGCAACTCAAGATAAGGGAAAGACACGGGACGGGGTTAAGTGGACACAGGTATGGGCTGCCTGTTAGCAAACCTGGGAAATGTGACCATCAGGATCACCTGTCCTTGACCCCACAGCGTGCGTATGCAGCATTGCTGCGGTGGTTGGGGACCATTTAGCCTGACCTGTGACATGCCTGTACCTCCTGAAATTTCCTGGCATTCAGGGGCCTCTAGAATTCTCTTGCCCTTTCCAGAGTTAGGGACCTCAAGGTTCTTTGTGTTGAACTTTGTGTTTAAAAAGTATAAGCTAGCTCAGTGATGGAACCGTTGACAGGGTAAAAGCGCAGTTGACTCACTCTACAGCTGCATTGACGGTGGGCAAGGATTGGTAGGAAGGAAGAAGTGGGCCAGCTTCTGGGAAGTGGGGGAAGAGTGGGCAGCCTCACGACCGATTTCGATAGCACAGCAATGGCTTTGTGTTAACTCCACATTCCAGCTTGCTCCAGCCCCACAGGTTATTTGCACAGCACACAAAGCACAGATTGTACAATGTATCCAGGTATCACTGGCATTGGCAGTTGACCGCAAATATGAATGGGACCTGTGTGTCCCCGTTGTAAGGCCTTCCCAAACCACCCCCGTGACTGCCTGGACAGAGTTCAGACTTGCCAGCTGGGGCGCCGGAGTAAGACCCATCTGCCTTCTCCGTTTTTGGGTCTATAGGTGCGTTTCTGTAAAGGGTAGGAGGAAATGGGACTGAAGTCCCATAGGACAGAAGTGCCCAGAGGAAGAAAACCCAGGAGGTTAGTTTAATAAGAAGAGAAAAAAGGAAGTTAAAGGGAGGCGGGGGCTAAACGAGAGTGAACGAGAAGGGTTTCTGACAATTAACTAATTCTCCTTGCTCTAACCCATGACAGAATTAATCACACATTAACACACTGACAGCAGAATTGATGTCATATGCAAATTAATAGTTCAGGCTTGGCATTCAACAGCCTGTTGGCTTCTTAGGGCTGGTGTCGTAGTTCTGCGCACCCAGCCGCGGCCTCTCTGTGGGCCTGGTACCATCTCACCCTCATTCGGCCTGAGAATATCCAGGGTGACTTTGTCATGGAAGCAGCATCTCATCCCATCTGCTGGCTTGAAACAACTTATGTCAAAACCCATAACCAGTTCCTTCCATGTTGTTTTCACTGTGGACACAAAGGCAGGTGTATAACAGGAGCCTGGGTTGAGGAACCCTTGGGCTGTAGTACTTTCTTACCTCCTCTTGTAGTTTTACAGTCAGTGACCGTCCTTGTAGGAAATCAGAGGCTGTTTTCTTGAACTATTCCTAGGAAGGGCCTGCGGTGTTGCCCCAGAGCTGCCCTGTTTAACAGAGGGAGCTGGGTTGCAGGGAACAAGGAGGGATAGCAGTATAGCGTCATCAAATCTAAAGTCGTTTAAGTTTTAGTTACATAATACAAAGTGAATTGTTTTATGTGGCTTCAAAGAGGTCTAACCTATTGCAACCAACTCTGAAAGACAAAATGTGAGCCTCTCCTTGATGTTAATAAATAAATAACAAGAAGAAAGAACAGTGTGTTTTATAGCATTTTGACTGCTGAACTTGAGTGCCTGGGGCAAGTGCTAGCTAGCCCGTTACAGCCGACGGCTAACCCACTTGTGAATTCGCCATCTGTGATAATTATTATTTTGACATGTAATGAGTAATCGTGTTGTGAACCAGGCATTGTACACAACTTAAAGACGTGGACCTGCCCAGTAGCCGCGTCTTGAACGTGGTAGGACGAGGCAATTCAAAGTAGGATGAAAACAGTCAACTGTGTATGTTGATCGGGAATGAGTATTGGCATTTTCTTAGTGGTGCTGATTTCCTTAGCTTTTTCATTAGCTCCCACTTCATCTACTTCATCTACTACCAAGGAGAGAGACTTGAGATTGATGAGGTCATGACAGAGATCTGGGAAGCGATGTTGTAGGCTGTGGAATGGTCTTAATTCCTGGGTGCTCCTGGTGGTGTCTGTATATGACATGTATAAAACAGGCTCAGAGACGCATCAACTATATCAGTGCCATGGAAATTAGGTCTCTGGGAAATCATTAACCTGAAATTTTGATTTTATAAATAATGTGAGGTGTTTGCCTCTATCAAGGATACAAGGCATATATATTCATAGCGTCTTTTTTTTTTTTTTTTTTCTGGTCTGAGACAGGTCTCACTCTGTCGCCCAGGCTGGAGTGCAGTGGTGTGATCACAGCTCACTGCAGCCTCTGCCTCCTAGGCTCTACAGATCCTCCCACCTCTGCCTCCCGAGTAGCTGGAACTATAGGCATGCACCACCCCGCCCAGCTAACTTTTTGTATCATTTGTAGAGATGGGCTTTCGCCATGTTGCCCAGGCTGGTGTTAAACTCCTGGGCTCGAGCGATCGATCCTCCCACCTTGGTCTCCCAAAGTGCTAGGATTACAGGCATGAGCCAACGCACCCAGCCCTATGTTCATATCTTCTATTCTTGTTGTAGACAGATAGATGCCAGCTTCTATTTATGTACACAACATATACATAGATACACATATACCTAAAAATATACACATATACTCTGATGTGTGTGTATGTGTGGATATACTTGCTGTAATTTTCATGTATAGTATAGTGCCTTAGATACTAATCATTTCGTCGAGTCCTTCTAGCAGCTTTACCATATATGGACTTAGTGCTCTAATCTGAGGAGCCTGGTATGGACAGAGCAGGAAGCAGGCTGGGGAGAGTCTGCTCTGTCCCCAGCCCTGACAGGTATCAGCCTCAGACCCTGTAACGTCAGCTGTAAAGTGAAGGTGTTTGCCTCCCAGAGTTTTTAGGATTAGATATCCTAAAATAGAATATCCTGTTCTAAAAACTGTACAGCATGTAACAATCTGAAACAAATGTTTTATGATTCATTTTTGATCACACAAGGCAATTTCAAAGGAAGAAAGCCAGGTACGAAGAGAGCGCTGGGAGTGACGGTCGTTCCATAAGGCTGTAGGTAGGTTTGGCCACACTCAGGTTCGTGTGGTACTGGCTGTCACCATGGTCCCTGGGTTGAGGGTGACAAGCAGGTGGATTTCTTTCTGTGACGCTAAAGCCATCCTTGATGGTGGCCCTTTCTGTCTGTGCTAGAGGTAAGGATTTGTCCTCTTCATTGCCACACCTCCCTCTTGACACTGGCATAATGGGTGGAATAGGATGAGATGAACTTCAGCTGATAGAGAACTAACAAGTGACAGAGGCCAAAGGGAAGGTTGTTTGTCTGGGACAGGGGGGCCTCACCGTCCTAATGCGGGGATGGTTAGGAGAGGATGGAGGGTTAAAGCTCCTTCAGCTGAGTGCAGAACCAAACCAGAGGGGCGAGTTGCAGTAACTGCAAGGAGGAATTGGGTGCAAAGAGAGGAGTAAAGATAGGGTAGTCTGGGTGTCACCCCCTGTGATTAAAGTTCTCCGCAAGAACCCAGGAGTGGGATTTCTGGTTCTGGTGCCCCTGCAGTGTGGAAATGCGAAGGTCTGCTGTTTCGGTGACTCAGTGGCAGAGTGTGGGCTTCACGGCGTGCCTACCGTGCTGCAGGGCTGAGAAGGAAGTGAGACCCCCTCCATGGCTGGTGCCCCCAGATGTTTCTCCAAGGAGTTTGGTGTGGGAGCTGTCTGGCAGGGGCCCCTGGTGCCTCCGCACCCGGCTGGGAGGCAGGCCTGCTTTCGTTTTGCATCTGTGCGTGTGGCCATTTTCATTTTTCCCTGGACAGCCTTGCCTGGGGTACTGCCTGCTGCCGGTGAGGGTTGCTAGGAAACCGGCCAAGGCCTGTCTCCTCCTGGCTCAGGACAAGGCCCCCGCCAGCTTCCTGGGGCCTGAAACCAGCATGCAGCACGCTGGGCGCCGAGCCAGGCACTGCCCCCTTTTCTCTCTGCCCCGTCCTTTCTCTCCAGACTCCTCGATCCCCTTCTGTACATGCAGTGATCATTTGCTGCACGAAGCATTGGGGGAAGGCGAGGCCACGCCAACTGTCTCCATCATGCTTCTCACCGTACTGTTAAGGTGCTTTCATCAGAGAATAAGAATAGCCCCAAAGCCAAATGAAAGTGAGATTCCCTCTGATTGTTTTCTGGAGTCTTTCTTGGCTAGCACCCAAGCATCCCAAATCCCCGTTCAGTCCTCTGCCCTTTTGCATTGCGCCGTCTTCCCACTTAGCCCTATGTATCTCCTTCATGCTGAGCGATAGTCGTGTCTGATGCCCTTTGAAGAACAGGAAAGCCGCAAGCATTTTTCGCCATGGGGTCTAGGAAGGAAGTAACCACGATCACATTTCTGTGAAGCACTTGTCCAAGTTCCTAGAAGCTGCATCTCCTAGAAGCTTCGTTGATGACACCACCCGGTTACCCTCCAGCTCTCTAAGCATGATGTAGGGTGTGGCGGGAGAGGGAGAGCAGGGTCTGTAATTCAGAAATGAGCTCCGTCCTTAAGTGAATGAATGCCTAGATGTTCTGCGAGGACACTCTGAGTATCTGAGTTTGGTTGGATTAGCTTTTTTTTTTTTTTTTTTTTTTTTTTGACAAGGTCTGGCTCTGCCATTCAGGCTGTAGAATAGTGGCGGGATCACAGTTCACTGTAGCCTTGAACTCCTGGGCCCAAGTGATCCTCCTGCCTCAGCCCCTCAAGTGGCTAGGAATACAGGCATACACCACCATGCCTGGCTAATTATTTTATTTTTTGTAGATATGGGGGGTCTCACTTTCTTACCCAGGCTGGTCTCAAACTACTGGCTTCAAGCAATCGTCCCACCTTGGCCTCCAAAAGTGCTGAGATTACAGGCATGAGCCACCTTGCCCAGCCTGGATTTGCTTTAAAAGCTAAAAAAGTTGTTGTCTTCCACTTGAGGAAGCTGGTCTGCAGATGACACACAGACAGGCAGTTTTTCCTCTAGGTGTGTTTTTTTTTAATTTTTTTTTTGAGACGAACTTTCACTTTTGTCACCCAGGCTGGAGTGCAATGGTGCCATCGTGTCTCACTACAACCTCCACCTCCTGGGTTCAAGTGATGAGTAGCTGGGATTACAGGCGCTTACCACCAAGTCCAGATAATTTTTTTTTTTCTTGTATTTTTAGTAGAGACGGGGTTTCGCCATGTTGGCCAGGCTGGTCTCGAACTTCTGACCTCAGGTGATCCACCGCCTTGGCCTCCCAAAGTGCTTGGATTACAGGCATGAGCCACTGCACCTGGTTGGTGTGTTTCTTTAAGTTGATTATATTCCTAATCATAATGGAATCCAGGGGCTCATGTACCCTGTTGGTGGCTGTGTGTATTAGTTTAATTTTTCCACTGATAGCTATCACAGTGTAAAGTGGGCTAATTCTGTGCTGAGGCCCAGTGACTTCTGGGTGTTGATATGTATGAGATGCTCTTCTTCACAACATTGTTTATTTTGGTTATTTTTTTTTAAGTTGGCAAATTCTTCAGTTGGACTAGTTAAGATAATTACAGCATGTTCTTGTGGCTTACAGTGCAGGTATTAAAAATGGTGATGCAGGGACCGGGCGCAGTAGCTCATGCCTGTAATCCCAGCACTTTGAGAGGCCAAGGCGGGTGAATCACAAGGTCAGGAGTTTGAGACCAGCCTGGTCAACATAGTGAAACCCCGTCTCTACTAAAAATACAAAAAATTAGCTGGGCATAGTACCGGGTGCCTGTAATCCCAGGTTCTTGGGAGGCTGAGGCAGGAGAATCGCTTGAACCTGGGAGGTAGAGGTTGCAGTGAGCTGAGATCGTGCCACTGCACTCCAGCCCTGGCAACAGAGTGAAGAACTCTGTCTCAAAAAAAAAAAAAAAAAAAAAAAAAAAAAAAAGATGGTGCATATACATGTTTTAGTTGGAAAGACGGCCTCTCTCAACATAGTATAAAAATGTTACATATACAGATCATTGCGTTTATGTAAAATTGGAGGTATATTTTAGATAGATAGACAGGAGATATCAAGATGGATATTGGTAAAAAATGTTCACATTAGTGATAGAATGTGATGATTTATACATTTCTTTCTGTACTGCCTTAAAAAAAAACAAAACAGATCTTTCTTAAAAATAAAGATACCACCTGGCTCAAGGATTCTTAAACCTAGCTGTGCGTCAGAATCAGTGAGAGAACCCTTTGAAGTACAAAATATGCTGGGCACACTGGCTCACACCTGTAGTCGCAGCACTTTGGGAGGCCAAGGCAGATAGATCACTTGAGCTCAGGAGTTCAAGAACAGCCTGCGTAGCATGGTGAAACCCCCATCTCTACAAAAAAATACAAAAATTAGCCAGGTGTGGTGGTGCACGCCTGTAGTCCTAGCTACTTGGGAGGCTGAGGTGGGAGAATCGCTTGAGCCTGGGAGTTCCAGGCTGCAGTGAGCTGTGACTATACCTCTGCACACTCCAGCCTGGGCAACAGAGTGAGACCCTGTCTCTAAAAAAAAAAAAAGTACAGAATCTGAGCTGAGGTCCTGCCTGAGAGACTGATCCTGTGAGCCTGGATTAGGGAAATGCACAGAATCTGTGTTTTTAACAACCTCCAGGCACATCTACCCGCATTTAGGGAACACACTGAACCCAGCAAAGGAACATCGTATAGAAATACCTCTAAACAGGCCGGGTGCGGTGGCTCACGCCTGTAATCCCAGCACTTTGGGAGGCCGAGGCAGGAAGATCATGAGGTCAGGAGATCGAGACCATCCTGGCTAACACAGTGAAACCCCATTTCTACTAAAAATACAAAAAAATTAGCTGGGCATGGTGGCGGGTGCCTGTAATCCCAGCTACTCAGGAGGCTGAGGCAGGAGAATGGTGTGAACGCGGGAGGCAGAGCTTGCAGTGAGCCGAGATTTCACCACTGCGCTCCAGCCTGGGAGACAGAGCAAGGCTCCATTTAAAAAAAAAAAAAAAAAAAGAACTACCTTTAAACAAAGGTCATAGAGATTCTCTGAACATTTCCATTTCTTTATACAAAGGAGTCCAGGGCCACCTTTAATTATCATAAAGCCCATCCTTTATGTTGAGTTACTGGCTGCCTAGTTACCTGCAGGGGTAGAGATACTTTTGTCCTGTTCCTCTTCTAGAAGAGACATCTTCCTTGTGATATGATGATTTTGTAAGTGTTTAAAGGATACTGGTTTTTGTGACTTTTTAAAACTTTGCAATATTTGATTTTTTGAATGTCACTATTTTTTCCATCATAATTTTTAATAGCTGCGTAGTATTATTGTATGAAGATGCCATAAGCAGTTTAGCTAATTGTCCCTCCTTTTCTTGTCTCTTGTCTTCATGTGTATGTACCGTCCCCATCCTCCTGAATGCAAATCTCAAGCACTTGTGACTATTCTTTATATGGTTTCCAAACCCCTTACCATCCTTGCCCCCTGCTTTTGACTTATTTGCTTGTTGACAGGTCCCTTGAATGATGATGCCTTTGATGGGACGTGGTCTTTTGGCGAGGCCTCACTCGTGTGGATCACAGGGAGTCTGTCCCTTTCCTTGATATAGACACCAAGTCATTAATGTTCTAGTCTTTTATTAAGCAGCCATCTCAAGCCCTCATGGAACTGACAGTTAAACCAGGCCTCCTTGTCCCCTCAACCTGGGGAAGGAACTTGACATTTATTGCTGTTTTTCTTCATCGTGTTTATTCCATTGACTCAGTGGGCTAGCTGGCTGCCCTCTCAAGTTTATAATATCTGAAAATGTAACAGTAAGGTGATCGTCTTTATATACACACATATATATTTCCACTTAATTATTTTTATTAATTTTGAGTTCAAAAGTGCTTCATGTTTATTGTATGTAAAAAAAATTTTGGAAATGCAGAGACACACACACAAAAAATCATCCCTAATTTCACTACCAAGATGCTTTAAATTTTAAACATTTTGGTATATGTCATTTTGGCCTCTTCTGTACAGATGTGATATTATTATTTCGTAGAATTGAAATGATACTGTGTGTATCTTGTAACTGGCTTCTAAAAAGCTTTACAATGTGTGACCTTTTTTGGATGTCACTAGATGTTTTCTACAACATGATTTTTGATAGCTGCACCAAACACCCCGTGGTATGAAGGTGCTGCAATTTAGTTACTGGGCGTTTGATAGTCGGCTTGTTTCCAGTTTTTCACTGTTATAAATTAAACGTTCATAGATGGATAATATAAACAAATTAAAATAGCTCTTTCTCTATCAAAGGTGTTAAACATGTATTTATGTATTTGTGTTACTGTCTACCTTTCCCCCAGTTTATCATTATCTTTTGCTGTTTATGGTATGTTTTGAGATTCCAAAGTTTCGAAATTTTACATGGCGAAAACTTCTCATTTTTGCTTCCTTCTCCTTTGTTTGTTTATTTATTTATTGAGACAGGGTGTTGCTCTGTCACCCAGTCTGGAGTGCAGTGGTGTGATCATGGCTCGCTGTAGCCTCGGCCTTCTGGAATCAAGTAATCCTTCCACCTCAGCCTCCTGAATAGCCAGGACTATAGGCGCGTGCCATGATACCTGGCTAATTTTTGTGTTTTTTTTGTAGCGATGGGGTTTCACCATGTTGTTCAGGCTGGTCTCGAACTCCTTGGCTCAAGCAATCCACCTGCCTGGGCCTCTCAAGGTGCTGGGATTACAGGTGTGAGCCACTGCACCTGGCCTTCTTCTGCTTTGTTAAGCTTAGAACTGTCTTTCCCCTGCCAAGATCACATTCACTCCATCCCCTTTTAGTCTTTCATGGTTTCATGTTTTGACACTTAACTCTGTTATCCATCTGGAGTTTATTTTGGTATATACTGTGAGATAGGGGTTCCTCTATTTATTTTTTTCTCAATTATCTGTCCCTGCCATGTTTATTAAGCAATCTACCCATCCTTTGCCGTGGTGCCTAGAAATGCCACTATATCATACATGAAGTTCTCATTTGGATCTGTTTCTAGACATTTTCTTTTTTTATTAATTCGCCTTTTCTTGGGGCCATACAGAACTGTCTCCATTGTTTAGTTTTGCACTGCCTGGTATTAAAATATAATAATCCTCGTTAGTCAATTCGTACAAATGATTTACATTTCACCTGTTTCTTCCCCATATGACTTTTTGACTAACTTTGTTGGGTGATAGGCATGACTTCTGTCTCTGTTCACATCTTATTAGAAACGCTGGACAGGAGAGGTCCACCTGGATAATTATATTTTACTGCAGGCATTTTCCTCCATGTTGACTTTGATTTATCATCAGCATTCTCTGGGCCAACATTTTTAAGTACAGAGACCTCTTACCATAGTATAATTAGATCCCCCCATTCCAGATTGTTCACAAGCATATCATGAGATACAAAATCAAATGTCATTAATCTTTAATAGTCCCTGATCTCCCAGTTCGGTGTTAGTAATAACAGCAGTAGTCACCTTATTTGAGAAAAAGAAAGGCGGAGGAGGGGGGGGAAGTGAAGAGTCAAGGAAGAAGTCAGTCTCTTGCTCTGTAAGTGATTCACTGCTCTCTTTTCTAAGTGCTTACAAACATCTTCTTAATTATTTTAGATTTTTGCCACGTATACTATTCCAGTCCGTCATTTCCAGCTTCTGATGCCATTAAAAATCAGAAAATATGCCTCTCTTCAATGCTATTTTATGTTTTCTGGCTGAAGTGAAACGTTGAAATGCATGGAAAAGAATACTTTGAAATGTTAAGTAGTTACGTCTAGAGTGGGTGATTCTTAGAATGGGCGTTGGAACTGTGCCTGGCACATAGTAAGCACTCAGAGATTAACTTATTAATAACACTTTTCTGCATTTTATAAAATGATTATATGTGCTTTTAAAATCACAATGAAATTCAGCCTTTTTTTTTTTTTTATGACAGAGTCTTGCTCTGTCACAGAGGCTGGAGTGCAGTGGCACAAACACGGCTCACTGGAGCCTTGACCTCTTGGGCTCAAGTGATCCTCCTCCCTCAGCCTCCGGAGTAGCTGGAACCACAGGCATGCATGTACCACACACCTGGCTAATTTTTTTTATTTTTTGTAGAGACTGGATCTTGCCTTGTTGCCCAGGCTGGTCTCGACTTCCTGGGCTCCTCTTGAGCCTTGGCATCCAGGAGTGCCGGGGTTACAAGTGTGAGCCACTGCACGTAGCCTCAGTCTTGAGAGGTGGCAATTCTGTTTTCCTCTTGAGATCTAGTTGGGTGGACAGGTTGGAGCAGAGGCCCGCCACGCTGATCCCGGACACTGGGTGTCGAGAGCCTTCTGTTTGATGTGTTCTGCGAGTCTAGGTGTTGATGGAAGATCTGCTGTCTGCCCAGTCACTGATGGGATCAATATAGTATTAGAATTTGTATGGTGTGATTCTTTATTAGTGTCATTTTTTTAAAGGCAAATTTTTGCAGTTGACACAATGGGAAAACAAAAGACAGGGTTAAATGGAGGAGAAATAAATGCCAGATATTTGGAGAATCCAGTGTGGGGCGGGTGTGCAGGTAGGGGACATTTGTTGCTTCCTACACACTTCATCATCTTTTCTCTGTGGACAGGATGATGGTAAAGATCAGTACTGGAATTTTGAATTTTGAATAACGTAGGCTACTTGTTAGCCTATGTGTTTTTGTTGTTGTTGTTTGTTTGTTTGCTTTTAGATGGAGTCTCACTCTGTCGCCCAGGCTAGAGTGCAGTAGTGTGATCTCAGCTCACTGCAACCTCTGCCTCCCAGATTCAAGCAATTCTCCTGCCTCAGCCACCCGAGTAGCTGGGACTATAGGCGCACACCATCACACCCAACTAATTTTTGTATTTTTAGTAGAGACAGGGTTTCACCGTATTGGCCAAGCTTGTCTCAAAGTCCTGACCTCAAGTGACCTGCCTGCCTCAGCCCCCAAAGTGCTGGGATTATAGGCATGAGCCACCGCACCCAGCCTAGCCTATGTTATTCTTTTGGGTAAGAATGCAGCAGTTCTTACCCAAACATTCCTTGTTCCTTTCTTGTTTCTCTAGAAGCAAGAGCTTCCTTGTTTCTTTTTTAATGTCAGAACATCAAATGTTAGGATTAAACAAGCCCATGAGTAAATATTTGCAGGTTGTAGATCGGGGGTGTTGTGGGCCAAGTTTCTCCCCCAAGTCTGCCTGCTGATCGCTTTTTTCCTGACCTCTGAGCTTTATTGCTTTGTCACAGTGAACTCTAAATGTTTTTGGAGACAGTTCCAAGTTTGTGTCTGTAGTAGATAGGGGCTGAGATGGGAGTAAGTATCGTGGTCTGTGGGTTCTGAGCTTCTTCCATACCTGTTTGTAGAGAGGGAGGTCCTTAGCCAAGCTAATGTGTTCTGGATTCTCTGCCACACTATAGAGATGAAGGCGGACTGTCTTCTGTTGAAAACCCTCCAGACCATCTTGGTTTTGTTGGGCCTCCTTAGCGCTGTCACTCACAGTGCCACTGTGGGAGTGACATGGTGCTGCCGCATTTTAACTGCCCTGAAATTTCAGAGTTGTATATCAAGAAGCAGGATAGCAGAGAGGTCTCTAGACAGCATGATCTCTAGAGCCAGGGGGCCTGGGTTCAGATCCCGCCTCTGTCCCTTCATAGCTGTGTTAACACGAGCAAGTGATTTAACCTCTTGGTTCCACATTTCACCTACTGTCATTTGGGAGGATTGTTGTAATCTTGTGCCATCTCATTCATCTGGCTGTGGTGGGGATTAAATGGGCTAATATCTATAGCTACACAGCACCTGGCCTGGCACTGTGAGGGCCCTGAATCTCTTGGCATTGCTTCATTTCCATTGTCGAGAGCCCAGGTATGCAAAACAAAGACAACAAACTCTGACTTTCTAGATAGACATTTCCATTAGCCACCTTTGTTTGCATAAAGAGAAGTTTATCTCTTTTACGAGATGTTTTTATTTTATTAACAGCGTAATAACCAGAAGGTGGAGCTTCACTCCCCTGCCCTTAAGTGTGGGCTGGGCTTAGTGACTCTTTTTAATGAGTAAAGTCTGGAGAAAGAAAAGTGTTAACTTACCCTTGGAGAAACCCAGCAGATGTCACCTTAACAAAGTGATCAAGGTCAACATCACCAGTGATGGGTCATGTTGATGTCACATAGCCCCTGATGTGATACGGTGGATGGGAAGGGTCCTTCCCCTTGGTGGCATTCTCTCCAGAAATCCATAATCTCAATCTAATTGTGAGAAAACATCAGACAAACCCACACTGAGGGGTCCTCTACTGACCTGCCCCTGTCAGAAGCGCCCAGGTCTTTCAGGACAAGGAAAGACAGATTGGAGGCGATGGAGGAGAATGACATTTCAGTGCTATGCAGGGACATGGTTTGGATCCTGGACCAGAGAAAGGCCTTGAGTAGAAAAACTGGTGGCATCTGAATAAAGTCTGTAGCTTGGTCATAGTATTGTAGCAATGCTCATTTCTTTGCTTTGACAGTGTCCCAGCTGTTAAGATGGAAGATGTTGACATTAGAGGCAGCTGTGTGAAGGGCACATGGGAACTCATTGTATCTTTACAACTCTTCTATAAATCTAATGTTATTTCAGACACAAAAATTTCAAAATCAGAATTCAAAAACCAGGCCTGTTTTACAAATCTTTAATTAGGGCTGGGCGTGGTGGCTCACGCCTGTAATCCCAACACTTTCGGAGGCTGAGGTAGGCGGATCATGAGGTCAGGAGATTGAGACCATTCTGGCCAACGTGGTGAAACCCCGTCTCTACTAAAAATACAAAAATTAGCCAGGTGTGGTGGTGTGTGCTTATAGTCCCAGCTACTTGGGAGACTGAGGCCGGGAAGTCGCTTGAACCTGGGAGGCAGAGGTTGCAATGAGCTGAGATGGCCCCACTGCACTCTAGGCTGGCGACAGAGGGAGACTCTGTCTAAAAAATAATAATAAAATAATAATAAAAATCTTTAATTCATTTAGAAGAAAAGGAAGTAAAAGTGCAAGCCCCATCCCTGCTCCCCATTCGCTCCTATCCTCCCTCCCAAGGACAGCAACCCTTAGGAGCTGCTGTTTCTCCCAGACCTCTAAGTGCACGTAAACAGTTTTATTCAAAGTCTTAAAAAGCCTTTTTGACTCCCATTCTGATCATACGCCTTAGAAGCTTCCAACCTTTTAGCTTTCCTGCAACAATTTTCCAAATAAGTTTCTTTTCAGATGTATTTTGGCTCTTCCATAAGACTTATTTAAGAGCAGCGTTTGGCCAGCGCTTAATGTTATTTCCACTCATACCTCCAACCC
This sequence comes from Homo sapiens, assembly GCF_000001405.40. Classification (NCBI taxonomy): domain Eukaryota; kingdom Metazoa; phylum Chordata; class Mammalia; order Primates; family Hominidae; genus Homo; species Homo sapiens. Next base: position 72,912,381 of record NC_000016.10, on the reverse strand, counting down.
ACCCAGGTCCCATTTATATTGCCACTGCCCTTGCCAGTCTTTCTAAAGCCTCCCAAATTAGCATCATCTGAGAATTTAATTAACTTGCTGTTTACTAACCCTCTCCTTTCAAGATAATTAATGAGGATGTTAAGTGACACTGGGCCTGACATTGCTCCCAGCGGCACCTGAGCAGGCACCTCCCCGCGCGGAGCCTGGCAGGGTCGAGCTCCTGCCTTTGTCTACCCTTCAGCCAGCGTCTGGGCTGCATGGCCATGCTGGGTACAGGCAGCAATGGCACATGTTTGCTGAAAATCAGCCTTTCCTGCCTCGCCTTTTATCCTCCCGTTTTCTGCTTTGTTAATTAAAAAGCCTCATTTTACTTAGAATGGAATGCTTATTTTTTATGTTATTCCCTAGACAGCGTCTACATTACCGGGCTTGAAATTAAACTAGCTGAGAGAGTCCGGAGTTACAATTCCCTTTTGTTTCTAAAGTGGCAGTGTGACGTCTCCCGCATCCCTCTCCCCCTGCCCTCTGCTTTCTACTTAATCCAGGTAACTAGATGTGATTGTTGGTCTAGAATTCAGCACCGTCCACTAGAACTTTCTGTGATGATGGAAATGTTCTGTGATCTGTGCTGTCCAGCGTGGTGGCCACCAGCCACACGGGGCCATCGAGCACTTGAAATGTGGCTAGTGTCACCGAGGGATTGAACTTTTCATTTTATTTAACTTAATTTAAATTTAAATAGTCACATGTGGCTAGTGGCTGCTATATTGGCCAGCCTCTGTGAATGATCTTTTATCTGCCCTGGGTTATCCGCGGAGGGTCTGAAATGCCCAGCCGTTTCCAAACCTTCCCCGACACGTTGTTTCTCTGACCGAGAAGGTAAACTGATTTCGCCACTGCATTCAGCAAGCCCTAATTAGGAAGGTAAGTTTTCCGAAGGAAAAAGATGTTACTTTCTAAATCCAAATGTAAGTGACTTGGATTATCCGTGTCACTGAGCGCTTCATTCATGCAGATAATTGAGAATTGACAGTGTCCTTTTCCCTCAATTACTTCCTGATAGTTCCATGTGTTACAGTGGGGGAAACATGGAGCTGTTTTTAAATAGCTATGCTAACTTCCTCATTAATTTTACCTTTTTCTACCAATTAACAAATATTAACTCCTGTGGCAGAATTAAGCTGGCTTCCCTTGTGAAGCTACACTCATTCTCGACTCCCTTACTGCCCAAGTCTGGTGAAGCTGAGCTTCTCACCTTCTGTTTTGCAGTGTGCAACCCAGGCAGCAACATGATGTTTTGTAGGGGAATCTTTGTGCTGGGTTATTCACGGAGTAGCACAGCACGGGCTGACAAACCCCAGCCGAGGAATGGTAGATCCCAGGGTTGACTTCTGTGACTCCTACTTGCCAGCCACATTCTCTTTCACATTCGGACCCAGGGATTGCAAACCCAGATGCCTGCAGGGGCCATACAGGTATCAGAAGTGGGTAACTGGTGTGGGGCTGGAGGGCTCCTGCACCATCTTTTCTAGGTAATTGCTGACATGAGGGAATGTACAGCCAGAAACCCTGTTTTTTTGTTTTGTTTTGTTTTTTAATGTCTAAAGAGGCAAAAAATCTTGATTGTATGGGAAATTGGCAGATTTTTAAATGTTCACCATTAATTAAGCATTTTTAAAAACTCCCGAGGGTTATGAAGCTCCCACCTGCAGGCTTCTCAGCCACTGCCAATTTGCCATCTCTAGATTATCTCTCTCCTGTGTCCATTAAACAGAGGAGAAAGCCATCTGCCACGCTGCCATCCACTGCCTAATGTCTCAAGGTGCTTATGAGAATCATTTGAGCTGTGTAATGGCCAAACCCTTTGAAATCTACGCAGGACTGTGTACATGTAAGATGATGTTATTGAGAAAACACCTAAATACTTCATTTTTCTCAATCCAGATTTCCTGATCACTTGTTCTTAGATGTCAGGATCCAAGATTCTTGGATGTCCTAGCGTCAGCTCTTAAGAGCATCTTAGGAAGGAAGCAAGAGCATGGCATGACGCAGGGATGATAATGACCTGATTTTTCACCTTCTCATTTTTTCCTCCCTGGCTGTTTAAAACTGGATTGTTTTCAGCTACTGGAAGGCGTAGACTCAGAAGGCCACATTTTTGTTGTTGTTAGTAATTCCATCACTAGGTTCGTTCAAAGTGGCGTCAGTTACAGGTATTGTTAAGCTCTGAATAAGTGTATAACCTTAACCCTTATTCCTGTGGTGGTATTTACCTTGATTGTAGAGTGAGATGCAGAACCTGAGAACCAGTGCCCTGTGACTGAGCACACTGACGAGAAAGTTAGGTTCGAAAGCCTTGAAAACAAGCAGTGAAGTTGAATTGTTCTGAATTCATTTCGTAATTGAAAGTTAAATGGCTCTTAAATAGGTGTTGACTTTCACGTTGAAACAGCTTATTTGCATATGAAGTTTGCAAGCCTGGCTTTTTAATTTTTTTTTTTTTTTTTTTTTTTGAGACACGGTGTCACTTTGTCACCCAGGGTAGAGTGCAGTGGCACGATCTTGGCTCATTGCGGCCTCAACTTCCCAGGGTCAAGTGATCCTCCTGCCTCAGCCCTCCAAGTAGCTGGGACTGCAGGTGCACGCCACCATGCCCAGCTAATTTTTGTATTTTTTTGTAGAAACAGGGTTTCACCACGTTGCCCAGGCTGGTCTCGAACTCCTGAGCTCAAGCGATCCTCCCACCTCAGCCTCCCAAAGTGCTGGGATTATACCGCACCCGGCCTGAGCCTGGCTCTTAACTTGAGTTTCAAAAATTGTAAGAAACTTATTTTGCTTATCAAAGAGTGTGTTTAAGAGGGTGTGTGTGAGAGAAAGATAATGTATATGTTCCCTTTATTGAGAGCAGGCGCGTGATTTTTCTAAATGATTGTATAAATTTGTTACGGGGTTTTAGGTCAGGGAACAGCATATCACTGCCAGAGGAGGGAATACAGCCAGCCATTTGTCTCCATAAATAAAGTTTTATTGGAACACAGTCATGCCTATTCTTTTATGTGCTGCCGTGGCAGAATTGAGTAGTTGAGACAGAGATGGTACGGGCCTTAAAAACCTAAGCTTTTTTACCCTCTGAATATTTACAGAAAAAGTTTTCTGACCCCTTGCCTACATTTTAGAAACGTGCCTTCTAAGAGGCTGTATTCTTATGAATTCTAGGAAAACTGGGACTAAGACATTATTCTCCCCAAACCGCTTTTCATGCAATTGTTGTCAGCTCGGTAGGCTCTGGCTTATTTCTGTGATCGTAAGAATTTGCTTATTAGATGTTGAATGCAATGGCCCTGGTTTCATGGTAACTAAACCTGCATCCGCTTCTCGCTAATGTACTGCTAGTCATTTTATTCAGCAGACTGAGTAGCTTTCGCCGTTTCTATGGGAAGGACAGTGCTCATTAGTGGATGTGCTCAGCCTTCAGTTTAGCTAAAATCTGAATGCTTTCTCAACCTGAAACAGTGGGTATTATTCTAAATGTTAAGTAATATGGCTCTTTACAAAGACAAAGTGTTTCCCAGTCATTATTAGCTGCTTCATCATCGTTCCTCATGATGATGCCTTGAAGTAGGTTCTCGTATCGCCGTGCTGATTTTAGCACTGGAGCAGGGACGGGCGGGTAACTTGCTGAAGGTCACATAATAACAAAGCCCAATGGCAATTTGTGTCATCGCATGAGTCATGTTGGCATTGGGGATGCAGCTGGCACCAGCGGGACTGACACCCAGAGGCAAGCCAGTCCTCCTAACAGGTTCTTCCCCAGAAAAACCCAATGATTTCATTAGCAAGGTAAGTGAACGGACGATCAAGTAATCAATTCCTCTTTGTGTAGTCAGTCCTAGGACCCTGATGAAATCAGATGGCAGGGGAGGCGTCCTGAATCTTCAAGTTCCCCTTTCCACCCATTGTCGTCACCTGAGCAGCTGTTTTGTTTTAATTTTGCTTTATTGTTTAAGGAAGTTCATTCATACTGATTTTCTCACTCAAGCCTCATGGCCCCTGGTGAGGTAGGTGGCCCTATTCCTCCTTTTACAATGGAAGAGAAAGCTCAGCGTCAGTCCTCCCTCTTCTCCACGGCTGCTCACTCCCATTCCCATGTTCTCACTGCAGAATGACGTGGCTCCTGTGTGTCAATCCCCAGGGAGGAGGGCATAGCATCTCTGCCCTCAGGAACCTTCCAGTCTCACTGGGGGGTGTGCCACATACATAAAGCTGATTACCAGCACTCAGGGCAGCAGTGCCCATAGCCGTGCTGAGAGCCCAAGACTTGGAGTTCAGAGGAGAAAGGATCGCTGCAGACAGAAAAAGGGCGGGAGGTGAGATGCTTAGAAAGGAGGATAGAATTTGGAGGAGCAGGGGCTGGGCACGGTGGCTAATGCTGTAATCCCAGCACTTTGGGAGGCCGAGGCAGGTGAATCACTTGAGGCCAGGAGTTTGAGACCAGCCTGGTCAAGATGATGAGACCCCATCTCTACTAAAAATACAAAAATTAGCTGGGCATGGTAGCACGGGCCTGTGGTCCCAGCTACTCTGGAGGCAGAGGTGGGAGGATCACTTGAGCCTGGGACTCAGAGGTAGCAGTGAGCCGAGATCCTGCCACCTGCCACTGAACTCCAGCTTGGGTGACAAGAATGAGACCCCATCAAAAAAAAAAAAAAGGAATTTGGAGGATCTAGCATGGACTTGTACACAGGAGGAAGTGGCCTGAGCCTGCACCTGTGTGCATACACACAACACACACACACACACACACACACACACACACACACACACACACACACACACACACACACAAATAGAGGAAACCTTTGGAAACCGAGAACCGGTAGAGCTGCTGGCTGGAGACAGGGGTGGTACAGGGGAGTAGTGGGTGATAAAGACCCTTTAGTGAAAGGCCTTTCTCACGTACAGAGAATGATGAGGATAATTTTTAGAGGTGATTGATGAACACTCATTTTGGGGAGAGATTAGAGCGTGAGGAAAGAAGCAGCAGGAATGTAGACAGACACACGGGGAATGAATGAATGAATCAAAGCCGGAAGAAAGACCATTATAAAAATACCAGTGCTACCAGAACCTGAGACTGGCTGCTGCTGTTTCCTCTGGCCTTATGCTATTATAGAGTCATCTGGAAAGGTCATCGAAAGATTTGTGTTTTAAGACTTAAGCCTTTAAAATACCTACTAATATAAAAGCGTCCATAGACTGACTAGATTAAGGCTAGCAGAGCAGGCTACTGGATTTGAGATTCCAAAAAGACATCACTTGCCCACTGGTGTGATGGTGAGCGATTGACTGCATCTTAATACTGTAGCCCCGGGAGAAAGCACGGCCAGGTCTGTGTCCACATGCCACTGTGCACGCGTCACATAAAAACTTGTAGCATGCGTGATGTGTCCTGATGCTTTCCACCTGGCAGGGTCTGGGCAGTCCTCTCTCTAGTCCTCGCTTCCACCCACCTCCTTTGCTCCTCCCCAACTCCTACCATTTTGCTCAAAGAAAATTTTCCCAGTCATTAGTTTTTTGAGGGGGGGAAGGGGGGTGGACAGAGTCTCGCTCTGTTGCCCAGTCTGGAGTGCAGTGGCATGATCTCGGCTCACTGTAACCTCCAGCTCCCAGGCTCAAGTGATTCTCCTGCATCAGCCTCCTGAGTTGTTGGGACTGCGGGCGCGTGCCACCATGCCTGGCTAATTTTTGTACTTTTTTGTAGAAACAGGGTTTTACCATGTTGGCCAGGCTGGTCTCGAACTCCTGACCTCAGGTGATCCGCCTGCCTCGGCCTCCCATAGTGCTGGGATTTATAGGTGTGAGCCACCATGCCCGGCCAGCTTTTTTGGTGCAGTTTTCTGAAGACTTGATTTTTACTGAAGGAAATTCCTCACAGTTCTCCAGAAGGTTTTGTAAACTATCATCTGTCTGGAATAAGATTGGCGATGCTCCCCACCCCGGTCCCATGCCCCCCCAGTGCGATCATCGACCACGGCTTCTTCCTGTGTCATCACTGTTTCTTGGGCCTGCAGTACAGTGAACTTACTGAGTGTAAGCAGGGGATGTTTTGGCCAGTGTGGACTGGCTGGTGAAAATTCTCCCTGTATTTTGCCACTTAAAAATAAGTTTTAAAACGTTTTCCCGGGCCGGCCTTCCAGTCTCATTCCACTAGGAGCTGGAGAGCTGACCAACCAGGAGGCGGCATCTTTGGATCGAATTGCTTGGATGTCCCGGGAGGGATCTTATCGGGGGGTTGGCCAGTCAGAAGGCTGGAGATCCCAGAGTTTGGGCGTAGCTGGAGAGGGAAGGAATCACATCTGAACATGCAACTCTGACCCCATGTAGAGAATGGTCCATTCCTCCTAGGTCCTAGAATGGAGAGTAGAGGAAGGTGAGAGCCTTAACCACGTGGGTTATATGACTTGGGGATCCAGTCAGCAGCAGTCCCTGGCAACAGTTAGATTAGGAGGACAGGAAATTCAGGAAGAAAATAAAGTTGTACGTGTGATGTGTGTATTGAAAAGATGTCCCCCTCATTCTGACTCATCGGAGCTGTAGACAAGCTGTCTTATGTTCTAGGAATGCCTGTGTGGCCACTGCCTTCCAGGTATCTGAACACTTTCACACCACTCTGTTGGCTTGGGTGGACATTTTATGTTTAGAACTAAAATATGTACCACATTCTTTTTATCTGCAAAGGTGTGTGTGGTGAACACTGCCCGCACACATGTAGAATTCTGACAGCCTGAGTTACTCCCCCTGGGAGGCATCTGCGGAGTGTACTCCCTCTTCCTTTCTTCTGTGGTCTTGATCGTCTCGATGGTGCTCAGATACCTGAATCTTGCAATTATTTGTCAGTTTAATAGTAAAGGAGCATAGTGATAGTAAACCTATGTAAATAACATAGCTAGGGATGTAGAAGAAATGGAGGAATGGAATGAGGAGGACCAACTCAGTTGTCCTCTGGCTGGGGGACATTGTGGCTGATTGGTGGGGAGGGGCGAGCCCTTTTGTGATTCACATACTAAAAAAATTCAAGTCACTGAATAAAGCCATTTAGTGTAATTATCTCCTGTCATTAAATCTTATTTAAACAAGCAATAAATATTAGCAAACATTTTTATTCTCTTCAGCCCCCAACCTCCCATCTCAGTCATTGAGGGACAGAGAGCCCCGTGTAGAAATCAAGTGAAGCATCTACACAAAAGAAAGGGCCGGGTGTAGTGGCTCATGCCTGTAATCCCAGCACTTTGGGAGGCCTTGGTGGGCGGATCACTTGAGGTTAGGAGTTCGAGACCAGCCTGGCCAACATGATGAAACCCCGTCTCTACCAAAAATGCAAAAATACAAAAATTAGCTGGGCATGGTGGCGGGCACCTGTAATCTTAGCTACTTAGGAGGCTGAGGCAGGAGAGTCACTTGAACCCAGGAGATGGAGGTTGCAGTGAGCCAAGATGGCACTACTGCACTCTAGCCTGGGTGACAGAGTGAGACTCCCATCTCAGAAAGAAAGAAAAAAGAGAATGCTTTGTGGTGGGCCCTGATCGGGACCACCTGGTGCTGTGGGACCCCCCCCACAGGCAAGGAGCCACTGTTTTAGCTCAGGTGCAATGCATAAAGCCTTCCAGGCGCAGGTGCCACCAGCCTGCCGTAGGAGATGTGAGGCATTTCAGCATGGGTCAGAGTTATCTGGGAGGGTTTCCCAGCAAGAAAAGGCACTGAGACCAGAAAGATCATAGTTGGTGGGGAAGGTGGGAACTGACACAAGTCTAATTGCAAGTGGAATGGAGTGGAGGATTGAAATCTGAGATGGGGGAAGTGAATTTGGACTGGATTAGATAGGTCTTGAAAGGCAAGCTGAAGACCCAGGAGGAATAGTGGAGCTTTAGAAGGATTTTCTTCATCTGTTCAAACTTTCAGCCCACAATTTTTATTTATTTATTTATTTATTTATTTATTTATTTATTTATTTATTTATTTATTTTGAGACAGAATCTCACTCTGTTGCCAGGCTGGAGTGCAGTGGGTTGTGATCTCGGCTCACTGCGACCTCCACCTCCTGTGTTCAAGAAATTCTCCTGCCTCAGCCTCCCAAGTAGCTGGGATTATAGGAGCCTGCCACCACGCCCGGCTAATTTTTGTATTTTTGGTAGAGGTGGGGTTTTGCCATGTTGGCCAAGCTGGTCTCTAACTTCTGGCCTCAAGTGATCCACCCACCTTGGCCTCCCACAGTGCTAGGATTATAGGCGTGAGCCACTACAGTTTTTAAGTCCCTGCCATGAATCAGGAGCTGTGCTGAGAACTGAGGATAGAAATATTCGACTTGGTCCCAGCCTGTGGGATGCTGTTGATGGTGTGGCGGAGGAGCAAAGGTGGTTTGCAACACGCACAGCATAGGAGCTGCTTCCAGTGGGCTGAAGGGCCCAGAGGAGGAAGCGATGGAGCCTGGGGCTTGGGGACAGCTTTGGAGTAGGAGTGGTCTGTGAGCTGGGTCTCTGCATAGTGCAGGGATCTGATCTTTCTAGCGGTATATTTATTTTCTCTTAGTCTGCTGATCCCTTAGAGCTTTCAAAAGACCCAGTTATTCTCGTTTTTACTTCTGTCACAATATGAGACTGTTAACTTCTGAAATTCAGTAGTGCGACCCATTTCATGATCTTTCTCAACTAATAAAATGGAGTTGTCACAAGGGCCTCTGTGTTCTTTTGGTTTTATTTTTCCCGGGGGCCTTGCATTCTGGAGCAGATGGGTGGTGGGCTAGAATAATAGTTCCTCCTCTGAGCCAAACCTCAGTAAGAATACGGTTTTCTAGCTATATCTTGGGCATCTGGACTATTTCCGATCCAGAAAGGTCCAACTCCATGTAACATATGAGGAGGTTATCCCTACTAGAAGCCTGCCTTGTCTAACCCCCACTGTAAGACAGTGGCCACCAAGTGAGCTTGCCTCAGAATCGCCTAGAGGGCTTGTTAAAAGCCACATTCCTGGCCCCATCCCTAGAGTTTCTGTCGATCTGGACAGGGTCTGAGAATTTGCACATCTGACATTCCCAGAGGGTGCTGTTGCTGTTGGTTGAGGAGCCACACTTTGAGAACTCCCTGCTCTAAGCCAAGCATGAAAGGAACTGCTGGATTCTTGGCGGGACCTGCCCTTAGCATGGGCCTTTCTCAACGACCTCCACAGTGGGCACCCTCCTCGAACTCTCGCAGCAGGAACAAATGCACAGCGGCCTCTGAGGAAGGGAAGATGGTGTCCCTTCCTCATGGGTTCCCCATAGAGCCCTCTCTGGTTATCCTGGTGAGAATTCAGACTCCTGCAGTACCGGGCTGGGTGCAGTTGCATTCAAGACTCCTGACTTCCCACATCCTCATCTGGAAGGAATAACCATTCTCAAGACCAAGACTTGGCCTCAGAAACTTGGACATCAGCCTCAGAGTGGCGGTTTTTGTTCCTGTCCAACTTTAGCCCCCGGCTGGCCTGCGCGACTGTCAGACTTTGAGGTTCAGCCTTGTCCTCCATCTCTCTGGCTGTTTGGTGCTAAGGCCCGTCCATGAAAGGCTCCTCAGCCCCCCGTCAGCCCCTTTGTGCTCTGAAAACGGTGTCTCAAAAATGAGGGTGCTCATATTCAGGGACAGCTTGAGATCCTCTACCCCAGGGGATGCCCATAGGTCTTTGCGCTCAGGCCCATTGGAATGATTAATTGGTGTCCTCCACTCTGCTGGACAATTAAGGAAAGCAGGAAAAGGAGGGAAAAGTCTTCAGTGAGACCTAATTTGGTACCATGTTGTTTTCTGTTAATCTATTTTGTTTTCTGTCCGTCTGTCCCCAGGGACGGGTGCCTTGCTGCTTGCTGAAGCATGCATAACTAATGTCCTCATTAAGGGCTGATCTGTTTATCAGGGCCATGCGAGGAAGCCAGCCTGCCAAACCCAGGCGCAAGCTGGGGGCTGTTACCTCCCTCTGGGCCTCAGCCCCACCTCATTAAGCTGGTCCGGGCTATTGATTGGGAGCCTGTGTTTGGAAGAGTCTTACTTACTCCATGCATTATCTTGACAGATTGATCAGACCTGATTGAGAACCTCTTAAAGGAACGAACAGCTGTAATGGGAAAGTTGGACTCTGTCATCCGTTAGGATGATTCTGGGAGCAAGAAGAACAAGGCTGACATCTTGGAGCAATTGTATTTACAATTAACATGGTTGAAAACGATTGCCTCTATTGATCCCCCCTTCCTGCAATTACAGCCCCATTGTTTACATTCCAGCACTTCAGTTATAAAAAGGAAATTCAATAATTATTGCATTATTTAAAGTTAAAGTGCCACAGAGTTTGCTGGCTGCGCTTGCTGGTTGATTTAACGTTCAGTAAAATCCATGCTGAGCTCTCCATCTTGAGGCGGAACAATATCGGCTTTTAATGAGACTTAAAAAGGGGGTGGGGGAAGGAGGGCAGAACCCAGTGCATGGGGTGTTTGTCTGGGTTATTTATGGGGGAACCCAAAAGCAGAGCTGGGAAATGAGCAGTGTCATCGTTTGCAGAACTGTGGCCCTCTCGCCACGTGGCCGTCCGTTCTGCATACAGCCATCTCCTGGCCTCTTGAAGCAGACTCTTCTGTCCTTCCTCAAAGAACCATCTTTCTCATTTCACTGTTGGTCCCTTGCTTCCCTCCGACAAGTCTGTCTCTTTCAACCTTCCAGAAAACAAATGGAATTTAAGGAGAAAAAGTGAAATGTCTGCATCAGCCAGAGTGATCGACGCCAGAAGTGTTGATTTAGAGGGAGTTTTTCTGCCTCGCCCCGTCACTTTCTCATTCTCTCTTTTAAGAGAAGAATAAAATAAAAAATCAAGCCCCTTGTACGAGGCAGAAGGCAGCCTTGTGGGTGCTGCTTACCTCCTGCTTGTGTTGCGCCGGCTGCCCTGTCTTCTCTCATTATGAAGGTGATGAATGTATTTGTCAGCAAATAGTAGGAACTCAAGAGGAGCCTCTGGGTTTGAGCACCAAATTCATGCTCTGCAGCAACAACCAGAAAGTTGAAGAGCATGGGAGGAGTTTTAAAGAGCATTTTCCTCTCGCATTTGGTTGAAATTCTTCTGTAGGCTCGGTTCCAGCAAGACATCTGGGCAGGTGCACTCAGCGGGCTGCAGAGCAAGGGAGGAAAAAATGATGCCTCATGCTTTCCCATCAAGAGCCACGCTGCCAGCGACAGCCCTGGGAAATTTTCGAGTGCAGGTGTGAAAGGGGAGAGGAAGATGAATAGAGCCAATTCTGACTTTTATGAAGTATCTGGAGCAGGCCAGTAGCAGGCAGCTGCTTCCGTGTGACTTTTTCATTAAGGAGGTGAATTCTTGTGTGCAGGCATTGCATGATTTATCAAGTGCAGTTTGCTAGAATTTAAGATACTCTTTGGGAAAAGCCAAGTGCAGAGATTTTTGGTCTTGGAAATTTTCCTCCCTGCAACAGAACATCTCCAGGTATTCCGACTTGGGTCCTTTTTCCGTGGCCATTGCTGTCCTGGCCAGAGCATCGGTTCTCAAAGTGTGGTCCCAGATCGGCGTCATGATGACCTGGGAGACTGTTAGAAATGCAGATTCTTGGGGCTCACTCCAGACCCTCTGAATCAGAAACCCTTGGGATGGCCCCAGCGATCTAGGGCGTAGCATGCCTCCCAGGTGCTTCCGATGCACGCTCAAGTTAGAGAACCACTGAGCTGGAACACCAGTGGCATCATCCATCACCAAGCCCACCTGGCTGTACGTGCCCATCAGAAGCGACGAAGCAACATCTGGACTTACAGTAGAAAGACCATCACTGTCTCAAATATTTGGGTAGTTCTTCACATGTTCCGAAGGATTTTCACATATGTGGAAGTTTTCTCATGCGGTTTTTAAAATTGCTTTGTGTAAGACAGGGCAAGTAAAATATCTCCAGGTTATAGATGAAGTAGCACACCCGTTTTGACCAGTAGACACGTGTTTTTTTCTGCTGGATTGACTGTCATGGGATTGGAGATACAAATAAGCAAATTCTTGAGTGGATTTGGAGAATCGGGGAAGTGTCTTCCAGGCATTTCAGCCGAACTCTCCTCCCTTCCCTGCTCCTCACCCAGGATATTGGCAGACATGAGAAAGAACGTGGTCCTTGCATTTTATTACATTGGTGCCCTGATGGGCAAACAGACCCAGTAAACACTTCTTGTTTTTTTTTTTTTTTTTTTGGCAAGGGCATGGGCTTAAGCTTTGGATCTGGGCTCTGCCTACACCAACAGCCTGACTTTGGCAAGTTTTGCACTTCTTGTAAGGGTGAAGGCAGCCCTGTGTGTGTTCAGTATCCTCTGTCCATGTCATAATTCCTATATATCAGTTTCTTTATTGTCAACCAAGGATTGCCTTTTGGAGCCTGGGGAGGAGTGAGGGTTGGTTGTAAGGAGAGAAATAACAAATAGGTATGTTCAGTAGATGTTCGTTTCCATCCCTAATCCTGAAGATTAACTGATGAAAAATAACATTAGTAATAGCCTCATTTATTATGAAGGCTAACCGTGTATCAGACACATTTTATATGAATTATCCCATTGAATCCTCCCAGCAGTGAAATGAGGCTCTGTTATTGTCCCTGTTTTGCACACAAGGAAACCGAGACCCAACAGTGTATGTGACTTGCCCTACGTGGCACAGCTAGTGAGATTCAGAGTGAGGGTTTTCAACTGGGCTGCTTAATCTAGAGTGCCCCACAAACCATCATTATTGGCAACAGTTTGACGTGGAGTTGGATGAGCACAAGCTAGAGTAATGTGTATATGGCGGTGTATTAGTTCGTTCTCACGCTATTAATAAAGACATACCCGAGACTGGGTGATTTTTAAAGGAAAGAGGTTTAATTGACTCACCATTCAGCATGGCTGGGGAGGCCTCAGAAAACTTACAATCATGATGGAAAGGGGAGCAAACATGTCCTTTTTCACATGGCAGCAGGAAGAGAAGTGCAGAGTGAAGGAGTGGGGAAGCCCTTTATAAAACCATCAGATCTCATGAGAACTCGCTGTCACAAGAACAGCAGCAGGGGTAACTGCACCCATGATTCAGTTACCTCCCACCAGATCCCTACCATGATACATGGGGATTATGGGGACTACACTTCAAGATGAGATTTGCGTGGGGACACAGCCAAACTATATCAGGAGGCTTTTATTTTTGTATGGGGACCTAAATTTGGGAAAGCTGGAAAATAGTGCTAGGGAAGAAGTACATCTTACAAATGAAGAAAGTTGCTGTTCCTGATATGATATCCTAGTGAAGAGGTGATTGTCAGATTCTGGAAGCTCTAGGTTGTTTCTGGAGAGTAGTTTGAGGTTAGCTTGGTGGGACCCACTTTGTTGTTTTATCCACCTACATACCCCCCTCAGCTTCTGAGCTCTGTGCACACTCACTCAGCCATTGTGGAAACCAGTCCTCATTTTGCTTGTGACATTATGATCTGGTAGGCCCCTTCCTCAGGGTCCTACCATGAAATAAGGAAGATGTAGGGGGTGTTCATTCACCATCATATGCATGCATAGCATTTACTATGGGCGAAGCACCTACACACACTTTTTTTTTTTTTTTTTTGAGACAGGGTTAATAATTTGCTCCCATAATGGTAAAAATGCATGCCTGATAAATTTCCTCCCCATGTATAAACAGTGGCTCCACACTCCTTTGTGGAGTTCTCCTAGCAGAGGGAAGTGAAATCTGTTTACATGGAGGCGTCGACATTCCACAAGGATCCATGTTTGTGTTTTTCCAGGAAAGAGTCAAAGCCAAGGCAGGTACAACCTATAGACAGCTATAGACTTAGTTATTTTCCTTCTAGAACTTAACTGTTTTTCTCAAGGCCACTAATGTTGAGAATTTTGAATCAGGAAATGTGATTCGTGCAAGGGAAAAGATAGAGGAACGGGAAGTCTCCGCTCTGGCCTTGGATACGGAGAGTGAGCAATCATGGCTTGTTCCACGGCCTAAGGAGCCTGGCCTAGAAACCAGAAACTAGGTCAGAGCAACCCAAATGGATTGATCTAAGGGAACATTTTTACTTCCTTTTACTTTTTTCTTATAAATCATGGTTGGGGCTTCTATCTTATGGTGTCTGCAGGGATCCTACAATGAAATAGAACTAAATTAGCATGCGTCAAGGACGAGAGCTTGAGCAGATAAAAAGCCAGCATTGAACAGAATATACATATATATTTAGGTTGACCTTCCAGGAGTCTTCCTAAAAATGTGACATTACATTTGGAACTATAACGCGATCTGACTGATTAAAAAATTAACCTCCCCCACTCCTGGTTGCGTTACCCCTGGAAGGATTTTCTTTTTAATTTTAGGCATTCAAGGTGAACACCTGGGTCTGCAGAGTCTCATGTTCCAGAACCCCCTGCAGTCTGTGCAGCGTAGCTTGGCGGCTGTGGACTTGGTACTTGGACTCAAGTCTCAGGCTCTGGTCCTGTTTCCTCCATGCTCTGTGTGACCTTGCAGGAGTCATGTGGCTTCTTTGAGCTTTGGGCTCCTCCAAGGATGAAAACCAAATGTGACCCACCTCATGGGGTTGTAATGTGAAAATTTAAAAGTGTGTGTAGGCTGGGTGCGGTGACTTACATCTATAATCCTAGCACTTTGGGAGGCTGAAGTGGGAGGATTCTTTGAGCCCAGGAGTTTGAGACCAGCCTGGGCAAATTGGTCAGACTCTGTCTCTACAAAAAATTTAAAAATTAGCCAGGCATGATGGCACGCACCTATAGTCCCAGCTACTCAGGAAGCTGAGGTGGGAGGATCACCTCAGCCTGGGGAGGTTGAGGCTGTAGTAAGCCATGATCGCACCACTGCACTCCATCCTGGATGATAGAGTGAGACCCTTTCTCAGACAAAAAAGAAAAAAAGTATGTGTGTAGATGCCGCACCCACAGTAAATGCTCTGCATGCATATGATGGTGAATGAACACCCGCTATGTCTTCCTACTTCATCTTATCAAGTTGAGGAATTAGCAGACTTACTGGTCCCCATCTTCTCCCCATCCCTCTCACCAGGTTTGTTAGTGAGATTACATAGTCCTCTCCCTGAAGCGAGAAGCTGAAGCTGTTGCGTGCTGTGGTTGCTGTCTTTCCCTGGACAGGGGTGCTGTAACGGGCAGCTTCTTCCATCATGGGGCCTCCAGTTCAATGGACTGAGAAGAGTTACAGACAGGCTCTCCTGCCTGCCTTTGGCCTGACAGGTGTCTCAGGGGTTTTCTGGGACATTCCACCATGGGGTTTCTCCTCTGCTGGGCAGGAAGCACCTCGCATCTCCTGGAATAGCCCCCTGGCTCAGAGGGGCTGCTCTGGAAATGGAGTTGCCGTGTGTGCCTGTGTGCACAGCACAGTGTGCCGAGAGGGCGGCCACGGGTGTGTCTGTAGTAACAGGTGGTACTCCTGAGGAAGCTTTGTTTGTGAATTGTGCATGTTTGTGTGTGTGTGTCAGAATGTACTTTGTCTGTTTCTACTTTAAAGGGCAGGCTTTGACAAAACCTGATCAATATTTTGCATTCCATGCATGAGGAACCAGATGTTAGAAGTTTCCTATCGTTGGGGAGGAGGAGGGAGCTGGGGCCCCTCCAGATTTATAGAAATCAATGTTCTCTGACAGAAGTTGGTTAGTTTTCCCTGGGAAACAAGTAACAGGAACACGTTTTTTTGATTTTCACGATGCATTATTTTCTAACAAGAGCCCTCTTTTCGTCTCTTTGACTTTCAGTGTTTGACGAGGCTGAACAAGCACAACATACTAATGGGGTAGAATCCCACAAAGTCGCACAGCGGAGCCTCTGTTGTCTCCCTTCTTTTAAAATGATTAGTTTGCTTTTTGTGCTTGGTGTTACGCGCCAGCCCCTTTATCCGAGGTGCCTCTGGTTGCAGGGAGGGCTTTGCTGTGTTCTTCTCAGTGAGCCAGACCTAGAAGGGAAGGCACAGAGACAGATGGGGGCCGTGAGATGTTTTCGTGTCAGAAGCATTGGAGTGTCCCCCTTCCAGCGAAACTGAGACGGGATGAACATTTTAAAACATGAGTAGCCCTAATAGGATTAGGAAGAGGTGCAAGAAAAGGTCTCTTTGACTGACGTGAGTGAGCCCTCGTATGAACCCTGGCTTCGTTTCCAGCCGTAGCTGTTGACCCCCGAACGTGTGCCAAATTTCCAGTTAATCCAGATGAGGACAGTCTGTTATCCGCTGCACAGCATTTGGAGGACTTGGAGATCGTTGGGTTCTTTTTCTGCTCCCATTTATGACTCAAACTAGATACTTCCTTCCTTCATCATACTTCTCCAAGATTTCAGAAAGTAAATTCAATTGCCAAGCATAGATGTTTCTTTCTGTGAAAGCTACAGTACCTTTGCAGTTCTTATGATCCAGTCTTTTGCAGGTGCTATCTGTCTGTTTTTACCTATCTATCCGTCTATCTATCTATCTATCTAGTCTAATCTACCTATCTGTTTATCTATGTAGTCTGTCTAATCTATTTACTGAGACAGGGTCTCACTCTGTGAGCCAGGGTGGAGTACGCTGGTGTGATCATACCTCCCTTCAGCCTCCACCTCCTGGGATCAAGTGATCCTCCTGCCTCAGCCTCCCAAGTAGTTAAGACTACAGGCATGTGCCACCACACTTGGCTAATTTTTTATTTCTTTTTATAGAGACGGGGTCTCACCATGTTGCCCAGGCTGCTCTTGAACTCCTAAGCTCAAGTGATCCTCCTTCCTTGGCCTCCCAGTGTTGGGATTACAGGCGTGAGCCACCACGCCTGGCCTCCAGGTGCTTTCTAAACAAGCAAGTGAGTTGGAGTGGGAGTGATCAAGGAAAAGTATAGTCAGATTTAAGGTTATAGGGAGAGGTTGGCCCAACCAAGTGAGTTTGGGTAGACCTGAGTTCTCACTCTTTTTTGGTTAGCTAGGATGACCTCAAGATACTGGTTGGTCTCGCTTTCTCATTAGTAATTTGTGGGGAGATACTGGATTTTCTTGAGTTAGCTAGGAGGCCCCTGTGTTTTATAGTATTCCGGGAAGTATATTCTCAAAACAGTATTCAAGCCAAAGGGGGAATGCCCTCATTATACCCTTCCTTATTTTCTTAGAGTTGCTGCTGACACTGCCTGCATCACCTGCAGGTTAAGTCCCTGGGGTTGGGCATAGTGTGTGTGCATGTGTGTGCTCACATGTGTGTGCGCGTGCATGCAGTGTCTCGTGTTGTAGACACTTAGACTCAAACCGAAACAAACCCCCGCCAAATGGGCTCACCAGCTGGTTTTCTTTGGGTCCCCGGTTGGCATGCATCCCAGCACACTGCCCACAGTTGGAGCTGTTGTTTTGTTTTCTTTTTAAAATTACACTCCTGACCCAACAAAGGAGAGTAGGTAGGAATTGTGAGCACAGAGTAAAGAAAATGGAAAAAGTAAAAACAGAACCCGGTTGCCCTCCTCCCCAGCGGGTGACTCTGTGATAGAGGCGGAAGGGGTTGGGGAATTCAGGATTTGCGTGGGAGAAAAATTTCCTGCCTGGCGAGGAGAGCAAGAACTCTGAAAGCAGGCAGCTCCTTTCTTGAGTGCACCACTGGGATTTGTGCCTTGGTGGATTCTTCATATATTACAGTGAATTTAATTAAATACATTGTGATCCCAATTGAGGGTATTCTAATTAGCTGGGTCAGGAACAAATTATTCTCCCTCCTCCTCCAAATGAAAACATCCACTCCCTTCTGCGGGGAAGGCATGTTCTTGGCTGACTGACTGGCCCCGTGGAGTGCTCATGGGCCTCTTAGCACACTCCCTACCACTGCTTTTTATTAGGCAGGTTCCAAGGGTGGGATTCTGGGGATGAGGCCAGTGCCACTTGGGAGGAAGGGAGAGAGGATCTGACCAACAGGGTCGCGGGTTGAGCCGCTCAGGGCCTAGGAAATGGCCGAATGATGTGGAGAAGGTCACAGAGGTCAGGACCTTGCTGCTAGCTTTGGGTCTCTGTTTACTTCCAGTTGGACAACTTAAGAAATAACGAGACACTTGGAAAATCTGGGGAGAGCAGGACTTGTCACATGCAGGTAGACATAGTAGACCCAAGCAGAAGTTTGGGTTGGGATGTTAGGTTTATGCACAGCTGTTTCCTGGCAACCAAGATATAGTTTATTCTGGATTTTTTTTTTTTTTTTTTGAGACAGAGTTTTGCTCTGTCGCCCAGGCTGGAGTGCAGTGGCACTATTGTGGCTCACTGCAACCTCTGCCTCCCAGGTTCAAGCGATTTTCCTGCCTCAGCCTCCCAAGTAGCTGGGACTACAGGCACCCACCATTATGCCTGGCTAATTTTTGTATTTTTATAGAGACGGGGTTTCATCATGTTGGCCAGGCTGGTTTTGAACTCCTGACCTCAGGTGATGTGCCCACCTCAGCCTCCCAAAGTCCTGGGTTTACAGGTGTGAGCCACTGCATCCGGCCTATTCTGGATTTTTTTAAGTGTTTTGGAGAATAAACTTGGAATACAAAGCAAGCTTGGAATTTTGAATGAATCTTTCATGAATTTTCTAGGAGAGAACCCTAGGTGTTCACTGGACCAGGTTAGGTGGGAGCAGCCGTGGCTTCATTTTCTTGTTTCCTCTTATTCTTTTCTCCACTATTTGTAATGCATGCCCAGTTTCTTGCTAAAATGGCTCTCAAAGTGGCAGACAGAATAATTCATGGCAGTGTAAGAGATTGTAGTTTACCAACATGAGCTAGAGTGTGGAGTGGATTTTAGAATATCTTTTATCATATCCATTTTTTAAAGTGTGAGTACCCGGTATGATGTTTATTTCAATCCAGGGTTTATACGGTCCTATGACCCAAGAGCCCATGGATTTGGACATTTGACATCGCATTTCCATCCAACTCTTCTGGCCATGTTATTCCTCTCTTGTGGCTCAGAGATTGAAGACTCCAGCCATTTGGAATAGAACTCTCACACATCCATATTCAAATTTGATGTTTGAAATTCAGTGCCTTATTGTGAGGAAATCCTGTTTCATAGGGAGGTAGTGGGGGGATTGGAGGTAAGGCTTTAGTGATTCTTGGTCTGATTTCATAGTTTATTCTACCTCCAAAATCTCTTGATGGAACGTATTTCTTTGAATTTCATGGTTATTGTCTCTGCCATCTTTTATTCACTCAGTTTTAGTTGAAGCTTTAATGAATATCATTCTTTTGGTCCTGGTGACCTAAGACAGCAGTTCTTGGCTCCCTTACAGGTTTCCAGCTCCTCGGTTTTAGGACAAACTCTTGCTGCCTGGAATATCCTGGTCCTGTTTCTGGCTTCTGAGTTCTGAGGGGCCTCGGGGAGTAGTTGGGGGAAGGGACGTGGGCTAGCTCATCTTCTCCCTTCACTTCTGCCTTCCTTCTCCCCAGGATTGTAACCTCCAGAAAGCACTGCCTCAGTGCATCCCATCCTCCCAACATCCTCTGAAAGGAACCTCATCACAGAGAAGGCAGTGAGGTTAAATCATTTTTTAAAAGCAGCTCAGAGGTCAGGTGCGGTGGCTCACGCCTATAATCCCAGCTACTTTAGGAGACTGAGGCGGGTGGATCGCTTGAAGTCAGGAGTTCGAGACCAGCCTGGCCAACATGGTGAAACCCTGTCTCTACTAAAAATACAAAAATTAGCTAGGTGTGGTGGCTTATGCCTGTAGTCCCAGCTACTCAAGAGGCTGAGGCAGGAGAATTGCTTGAATCCAGGAGGCAGAGGTTGCAATGAGCCAAGATTAAGCCTTTGCACTCCAGCATGGGCAACAGAGTGAGACCCTGTCTCAAAAAAAAAAAAAAACCAATAAATAAAAAGTAAACAAAAAGCAGCTCAAATTTATCTCCAGAAAAGTAGCTTTTTATCACCAGTTGTAATTTTTCTAATAGGTAACATTGCACTCACTGGTTCTTCCAATACTTTCTGGTTGTAGAAATTTTGCTTTGTCCAAGGTGCTGCATATGAGTGTGTGAATCACCCATTTTGGGGGCAGAAGGGATTGTTCTTTCTTGGTGCCTGTGAAGCTCATCCCATTCTTACGTACAAGTTGGCAAGATTTCCTGTGGGATACTTTAGCCAGTTTATGTCATTGAGGGCTTCAACCCCCCTCCCATGAGTTTTCTGTGACACTTAGTTGGTGCATTTATGTTTCTTCTTCCAGCAAAGTACAAACATGCTTCTGGATTTTTCACACGTGATCAGTGAACACAGGACGTGTGCATGTCAGTACGTGAGCGTCAGGGCAGTGTCCCTTGATAGGAAGCACTCACAGGGCCACTCTGGTATTTTCAGGATTGCGTGGAGTGCAGGGCATTCTAACCATTCTAGCTTGTCAGTGTCTTGCATTCTAAGCTGGACAAGGATGAGACATCCAAGCAGGACTAGAAACCATTATCCTGGCATAAACATCAGACAGAAGCAGTGTGGGTCAGAAAGGAGACAAGCAACGTGGGCAGTTCTGAGACGTTTGTTGTGTGCCTGCCATGGCTCCATGGGCCAGGCTTGGCTGACTGGGCTGGGGGTTGGGGACAGGTGGTGAGGAGAAAAAAGGAAGGACACGTAATCACAGGAGCACATAAAGCACTCACATGACCTGAATTTCCTCCTTCAAAAGGATGCTGGGTACATGGCTGGAGGAGACAAGCCTCAGCTTCTACATCTCTCTCTCCCCCTAACTAACTGGGTTACCTTGGGTCAGTCATTTAAGCTTTTGGGGAGTGTTTCCCTTGCTTCATGTGTACCCAGTGGAAGAATTCCCTCTTCCCCTAAAGTGAATCATTGGAATGAAGGAGATGGCCTTTCTACACCAGGTGCACATTCATTCTCTGTTAGTCAAAAAGGGTCCATAGCTATCATTACATTCCCAGGAGACTCAGAAACATTGTGAGTTTTGTTGTTGGGTCGTCTTTAAGTCTTCCTAGCCACAGAAGCCTGGGGTCTGCCACCTGTCTGCATCATGACCTCTTCTGTTCTGATACCCCAGACATGAATCCTGTCTGTGCCTGCCTCCTGGAGGCTCTTAGGCTGCCATGCTCTGGGATCAATACTGTGTCTACTAAGTACAACAGAGGACGTAATTTGGACCATCTGACCATCTGATACACCAACTGACCAATGATATTGGCCAATGATAAGCCAGGGGACTTTGAGATATTGACAGGGAACTAGTCTGGAGAAATTTATTTTTCTGGCATTTTTTAATCTAGGTGAAAACCTAATTTGGGGTTCTCCCAGTAGACTGTGGTTTTAAATACAAACACTGGAGTTGTCTTGTGAAAAAGCCAGATACCAGCTCCGGCTCCATGTTCCTGACCTAGGGTGCCATACAGGCAGGATGACCAGAGGCTATTACCTGAAGCAGGGGTTGGCTTAACTTTTCCTGTCATAATTTAGCACATTTCTATAGTAATAATCTAGACTTTGTGGACTATACCATCTCTGTCATAACTGTTCAACTCTGATGTTTCAAAAACATCCATAGACAGTATGTAAATCAATGGACGTGGCTGTGTTCCAATAAAACTTTATTTACAAAAACAGGCAGTGGGTTGAATTTGGCCCGTGGGCCATAGTTTGCCAACCCCTGATCTAACAAGAGCAGGACACTTTAGAGAATAAAAGGGGAAACCTTTAACCTTGTGCCAGGAAAGCCGGTGTTGCACTGGGAGGGCCCATGTGATCAGGATTATCAACATTCTGAAAAGCCACATGGCTGGGGCCATTTGGGGGAGATAGGAATGGGTATCAGCTTGCTGTGTTTTTTCAAAGAACTGCTAGAGAAGGGTGCTGGGTACTCTGGGGGAAAAAAAAAAAAAAACCCTCTAAGGAATCTCACAGTTGAAGACCTCATTAGTCCATTACCGTGCTGCTACTAAGAACTGCCTAGGACTGGGTAATTTACAAAGGAAAGAAATTGACTCACAGTTCTGCAGGGGTGGGGAGGCCTCAGGAAACTTACAATAATGGCAGAAAGGGAAGCAGGCATGTCTTTCTTCACATGGCAGCAGGAAGGAGAAGTGCTGAGTGAAGTAGGGAAAAGCCCCTTATAAAACTATCAGATCTCATGAGAACTCAGTATCACAAGAACAGCATGGGGGAACCACCCCCATATTCTAATCACCTCCCACAAGGTCCTATCCCCAACACGTGGGGATTACAGTTCAGATTAGAATTCAAGATGAGATTTTGGGCGGGGACACAGCCAAACCATATCAAAGACTGTCCTGTTTGGCTGTGGAGATGTGTCCCCTGGAGGCATGCCTCTGGCTGTGACCAGGATGGTGTGGGCTGATGCCAGTGGCCGCTTCGAGTGGCTTACCCAAGGCATGTCTTTCTCTTTTGTTACTTGCAGCACCTGCAGCAGCATGAGAGTGGTGTAGAAGGTGAGAGCTGCTACTACCACTGCGTTCTGTGCAACTACTCCACCAAGGCCAAGCTCAACCTCATCCAGCATGTGCGCTCCATGAAGCACCAGCGAAGCGAGAGCCTGCGAAAGCTGCAGCGGCTGCAGAAGGGCCTTCCAGAGGAGGACGAGGACCTGGGGCAGATCTTCACCATCCGCAGGTGCCCCTCCACGGACCCAGGTGAGTGGTCTCACAGGCATGGGAGGCCCAGGTTGGGCCTGGGTGTTCACCTCCTTGAGACCTCCAGAGGACTTCTGTTTGAGGGAGACGTTACTGATCCAGCTGGTCCTCATGTTCCTTACTGACTTCACAGGTGAGCATTGTGTTTTGGAAGGAACATGCAGGGATTGTTGCCTGCCCGCCTTTCTGTCTTTTTTTCTTTTCTTTTCTTTCTTCTTCTTCTTCTTTTTTTTTTTTTTTTTTAAAGGAAATTGGCAGCACTTTTCTTGGAGCAAGGCTCAGTCTTAGGGAAGTCACAAGCTACTACCCAGGGAGCAGGCCAACAGAAGATACTCTCCTCTATTCTAAGATTCCTCCAGTACATACTTTAGATTCAATTTATTGGTTCAAATTGACAAAGCAGATGCTACATCGTGTGTCCTGCCCAGTATTAAGAGTAGTCAATTTGTGGCCTCAAAGTCTGGTCTGTAAAACTGAACTTTAGAGAGGAATAAAATAAGTGCTTGTTATAAAAATTTCAGTTGTATTTGGGAGTGATTCTGGGTGTTTCTTGGGTCCATGCTGCTTGCTGCTTCAATGCGTCGAGACCTGCTAGTGGGAGCTTGCCTCGTTTCTACCTCCCCATGTCATCTCCCTGCAGCCACCTTTTTCCCCACCTCCCTCCCTCCCTCCACCCATGACTCCGCCTTCCATAGGGACTTCATTGGGTAGAATCACCTCCTCTTTTCTATTTTTTCAATTTTCCAGTCTCTTGCTCTCCACTTAGACACACAAGACAGTCACTTACCTCTTTAGAAACCAAAACTTTCCAAGAAAAGCTCTCCTTTCATCCTAGGCCCCACACTGTCTCTACAACAGAATCTTCCAGATTCTTGAGAGAACCCTGTGAACTGCTCACCTCTATTCCATGTCTCAACCTCCTACAACCCATTTCCTCTGTCACCAAGCCACTCTTGGGAGGGCGCTGCTGATCTTTGATTGACACAGCCCAGGACCTGCTGGGCCTGACTGTTTTCTTTCTGCAATGTTTGAAATTGTTGCCCAGCCCTTTCTTGAAGCTCCCTTCCCCTTCCCTTGCCTTCCCTTGGCTTCCGGGGTGTTTTTCTCTTGTCCTCTGACTTCCCTTGATAGTTCTGCAAGCCTGACTCTGGCTGGTGGTTCTCAGCCTGCCCCATGTCCCTGGGCACAGGGCACTGTGGCCTGGTCCTCGGCTCCCAGCCTCTTGAGCTTTTGTGTCCTGGTGCTGCCAAATGCCTTTGTACAGCTTCCTGGACACCACTGGTCCCACCTCCCAGATGCTGAGCTTCGTGGACATCTCATTGGTCCCACCTCTTGGGCACCTGGCTCACCACTTTCTCTGCCACACTTCTTTTTCTTCTTAATGGCAGCTTGTCTAACGGCCTGGCCAAGCCAGAGACCCAAGGCCACTCCTGATCCTACAGTCTCCTGCAGTGCCTTCTCAGCCATTCAGCCATCATGGATGTGTGCAGTTTTAACCTTAATATAATCAAATTACACATTTTTATATTTTTTAAAGGCAAAAAGTTACATAAACTTTATGGAGAAGAGCATGGCCCTCTCCCACCCCCTTTTCCAGGGGATCAGCTTTCAACTTTCAGATATTTCTTTTGTTACTTATTTCCATGTTTCTTCTCATACTTCTACGACTGTTTCTTGTTTTTAAGTTTTAGATGTTACCTCTTGGCTTTCTACCTGGGCAGATGAGAATTTCACCAGTGTGCTGTTCCACAAACCCACCCGTGTACACACCTACACCCATACCCCAACCACAGACTCACGCAGACGGCACACACACCAGCCCGATACCTCATACACGTTCTCGCACGTGCGCGCACACACATACACTTTCTCTGCATCCTACACATTCCATCCACGCTCACATACACAGCCCACAGACAAGACACCATACCCACATACGTTGTACACACACACACCCCCTGTATACACTCACACACCCACACAAGCCATATACTACACCCACACGCCCCATCTGCGTGCACCTCCCCCACATACACTGCACCCCCCACATGCAAGCATCATAAACACATAGACACTGTACCCCCACACACCCCACACACACTGACATGCATCCCACACGCACCCTCACTCTACCCACAAATACACAGGCACTGCCCCGCACACTCCTGCACCCCCCACACAACAGTTGGACTCCCTCCCACTCCCCAGCTCCCTCCACACTCAGTCCTTCCTCCCTCCACCTTCCATTATGATTAAATAATAATTGGGGGTTATATTAATATTCAGTGTTTTCATTATTATAACTATAAATATTAATCGCAGCTGAGCCATGTAGAGTTTTATAATTTCATTTACCTTCTTGTACAACTTATTGTTTTCTCTGGTTTTCTAGGTACCTATGATTAATTCATGGCGAACCTTACTCTGCCAGAAGTAGACATTTCCTAATCTCTGAACGCTCTGCTCTATCAGTTTTTCTGTCAGCTTCATTTCCTCCTGGAGGCGTCCCTCCTAAGCCCCTCCAAAGCCCTCTGCCCACCTGCTCCTCTCTGGATCATCTGACTGCTCCTTCGCTGCCTCCTCATATAAATGAAACAGCAATTCCCAAATGATGGGATAGACCACAATTCAAGAATTTTTCTCCTTGCTAGAGTGGTTGAGGTTTCGACAGTCAGTAGAAATTGTTTGTTCAGGAAAGGGCTGTTGGGTACCGGGATAATTTTTGTCACTTGAAGGTCACTGCAAGACTGTCCCTTCCATGTGTTTTTCAAATGCCTCTTCTGGTTAAAGTTGAAACACCTTAATTGGTGGAGCTTCTGCTTTGCCTCTGATCCCATCCGTCTACATGGGAGCACTCTCAGGAGTAAGGGACGAGGATGGGCCTGAGGCTGAGGCCCCTGGGCCATCTGGCTGTAGGGGAGCCTGTGCCCCACCCAGGGATTGTGGCCTCTGTTTGATCCGCTGCTCTGCATTAGTGCACTGTTGAGTCATTCCCCGGATTCTCCTTCTTTCTACCAACACACCTAGACCTGTTTCTTGCTCAGGGTTTGTGCTTTGTTTGGGGTGTTTTTTTGGCCAGCTCTGCATACATCATTGTTTTAATCATCTGTTAAAAGCTGGTCCATTTCACCCTTCAATTCTTTCTTTTACTCTGCTCAGAATTCCTTTTGTATTAATGAGGTGCCCCACACTAAACAGTGTACAGCTGCCATTTCACCCAGAGTCGGTGACCTGGAACAAACAGTTCCCTGTTTTGGAATGTAGTGCTTCCGTGGATGCAGCCCGGCACCAGTGCCTTCGAGGTTCCTCTCATTTAGTGCATACTAGGGGTTTTTCCCCCGAGAAGTGTGTGAGCAACTTCAGTGGAGATGATAGACTTCCCTTCCGTATGTCAAGATGCTTTGGGATTGGCTTTGACCTGGAGTCATGTTTTTGCTCTCTCCCCTACTCCCTCCCTACACCATACTCCTCCCCTCCCACACACAGGCTCCAGTTCGGTCCATATAACTGATGACAAAAGGGACAAAGTATTACGTATTATTTATTCATATTGACATTAACAAGAACTTGGTTCCGTTTTAGGAACCACTTTAAGAAAACTCATCTTAAGATGTATCTTCCCTCTCCCCAGGGGTTGGCTCTTCAAAACTTGAAAGGATATCTTCAAGAGAACGGACATTATGGACCTGGTAGAATTGAGATGTTTAAGATGATCAACTTCAAATTTTGTAAACATCGACTTTATAGACTATTCCCAACTCTGTCCTCTTTAACATAAGGGTCAGGACATGATTTTTCAGCTAGAAATGTCATCCTGTGGCATCAGGAGCATTAGGAAGTCTTGGTGCACCTTTTAGGAGCCCCACCCACTCTGACCAGAAGCTCCCCATCCATGGCTGTGCTGTCTAGAGTTGGAAGTTCTGGCTTTCTGTCATCATCCTGCTAAGTGATGACATTCCTTCTCCTTTCCTCTTCTCCTCTGTTGTCCACATGCCACAGAATATTACACAAAACCCTTCAGAAATAACCCCTTGTCCTTTCTGAGTTCTGGACCTCATCCCCAGTCTCATGTCACCTCCTACAGGTATCTAGATGTCTCCTCCTAAGGCAGGAGGGGTGAACTCTGCAATAGTTTCTGCCCTGTGGATGATTCTGCAATAGTTTCTGCCCTGTGGATGACAAAAAATACCTATTCCCAGTTTACCTGTTACTTAAGTCACTTGTTTGCCAGTCGGTCCAGTTCATCATGTAGCCTGCCAACCCATGTGAACCTGTGGGTCTGGAGGAAGGAGTCGAGGTAGAAGAAATTGCAAAGGTCTCCTCCATCCCTTCAGAATCTTCTGGTAGCAGCCAGGATCTATATCTGCCATGACTGGCTACGTAACTCCTTGAGAGGCCTCGTGGTTGGGCACGTACATCTAAGTCCTGCCCTGCACCAGTGGACAGAGCCTTGGCCGCCAGCTGTGTGCTAATAGTTAGGCTTCTGTGCCCATGTGGCCCTGCCATGGCGGAGCTCTGCCCTTATGTCAGTGGGCAGGCCGAGTCCTGTGGTAAATTGTCTTTGGTTCAGTGTGATGGTCTTTGTCGTTACACTTTTCCACCCCTACCCCACAATAGACACAAGCACACAAGCCTGCTGGGCCTTCCTGTTTTAAAAATGGCTTGGAAATACATCTCTCAAAGACAGTAACTAACCAGGTGAGGTTCCTCTTCCAATCCCCACAATTTATTTTTATTGGCTTGAGTGTTTTTTCTGCAAGACCAAGTAGTCTCTGGAATTGGTTGGGATTTCGTCTCGGCATTTCATACTTACCCACCCACAGGTAGAAACCACTCGTCATCACTGGCCAATGCACTGGGCCAGAGCTCTGAGTTGCTGGCATCTGCCATTTGCTTCCCTGGTTTACCAGAAGCTCTTGAAAAATGGAGAGCTCTCAGAGGTGGGTCATGTGTAGGATCAGCTTCCCTGTTTGCTTATTTAAAAGGCATTTCTGGCTCCTGGGTGAAACTGTAGTTAACTTCATTCTATCAAGTGCCCTGGGCTTTGAGAACACAGGCCCTTTGTGTTTCTGCTGTCGGCCTTTCTCCTTCTCCTCCTCCTGTTTTCTCTCTTACTCGCCTTGTCCTAAGTACTTTTTCTTTCATGTAGACATAGACCTCCAAATTTTACATGCATGTAATTAAAGTTCAACAATTCTTTATTGACGACCTATTATATATAAGGCTTTTTATGAGTTGGAGAACATAGCTGATCACTGATCTCCTCTGCACTCTCAATATGGACACACTGATGACTAGACCAGCTCAGGCATTGGAAATAATTGGACCCGGACTCAGTTTACAGAGGGTGCACGATCATTCAGAATTTAAGAGACTTGTTTTGCTTGGAGCAAAAAGCAGTATCCTCCCTTTACAGATACGTCTTTGGCATTCATAGTAGCGAATTTCTGGGGCCAGAGAGGTGCACACAGCTTGCCAAGTGATAATGTGGTTTTGGTGACAGCCTTTACTGCAACACTCACTGGCCTCATTTGATGAATCACTTTTTAAACCAAGTTTCAGGGTGTTGTGCTTAATGTATACAGCTTAAGAGTTAAGAGACCAAGAATATATACTGTCTTCAGCTTTCTCACTTGATTTTGTTTTTATTTTGCAAAGTTGGTGTAAGGCTGCCCTCTAAATATAAAGTACATCTTTTTTTTTTTTTGTAAATAGCTAAATTATATGCAATTTCAGTGTAATTTTTCTGATAGCACTAAAATATGTTGTGGCCAGCTCTGAATTTCTGAAATATTGTTTTTATAAAATCAGCACACCCACGCTCTTTCTCCTTTCCTTTTTACTGTATGTCTTGTTTACCGGGTTTGGGGAAGGTATAGGAACTTAAAGTATTTTTAACTAGAGAAGTTAAATGTAAAAGTGCATCAAAACAAATGGGGGTGACTGAAATTTTAAGCATTGATGGAGGCATGGGGAAAACATGACTTTATCTGTCTAAAGGACATTCCCTGATGAAGGACTGTTTGGACAGGGATTGTAAATTTCAGCAAGCTTTTTAGAAAGATGCTTTACAATGCAAGGGTAAAGAGAGGTCATTATGTATGAACATGAAAAGAGAACATAATGTTGTTAAATGAAAAATGGAGTTTACAGGATAACATAGGTTGATTCCTTTTTGTAAGTATTTTTCTTACAGCTTTTAAAATATTCAAGCAAGGAGTTAGTGACTGGTGTCTCTGGCTGTTTTGGCGGTGGGATGTATTTATATGGACTCTAACAGAATGTCAGATGTGTGGCAAGGGCTCAGAATGGTGGTGGTGCTTGTTGATAGAGATTTTAGCAGAATCACTAACAGGCTACGAAGAAGTAAATCTTGGTTGTCTTTTGTTCATGGAGATGTTTTTTATTTGCCAATATTCGTAGTTTGATTACTCTGTGATTCTCCTGCATTTTGCATTTACATAGAGAGGATAGGAGTAGTTCTCAGGGTGTATACTGTCTTGTTTTTCTGTTGGAACAGAGTTCTTGATTTGCCTTAATTAGTCCTCTAACAATCTGCAAAGGTCAGTGCCAATTGCCTGTTCATTTACATTTGTAATTGTGATGGCTTCTGATTACATATTCCTTGTCTTAGTCCATCCTAAGTATATGCTAGTGTGTCCTCCCCACTACCCGCTACACACACACACACACACACACACACACACACACACACACACACACACACACACACACACACACACACACACACACCCCAGAGTGGTGTGAAGGCCAAAAATCTGACTCCTCATAGAAGAAACCTTTGTAGCGACTGCCCAGCCTCACTGGCACTTCAGTGTCTGTTCTGGAAAGCCATCTTGGAGACGCTATTGCTTCTAAGTTAGGGATATAATGAAGCCAGAGTCAGGGAAATTACGTCGATACCAGGCAAGAAATCTGAGAGCCATTATCTAGGAGCCTTGTTGAACTGAGTAATTAAGGGCAATTAAACTTTTCTGCTTGCTCTCTGCAAAATATGCTAATGATCTGGTCTGCTGGAAGGTGGACATATGCAGTGCTGTTTCACTGCTGTCAGACGCTGCTGCCCTGGAAGGTCCCCCTGGAGAAGGTGTGGCATCACCAGGATGGTCAGGTGGGCAGTGGGTTGAGCGTGCAGCCTCGTACCCAGCCTCCTGTGTCCTGGCTGGCTGTTCCAGGACTTGCACCTTTTCAGCAGTTATCTAGACCTGGCCGCAGTGGCCTGAGTTGCAGTGATTCGTATTCACTCATTCTTTGATGTTCTAGATCCACCATTCATTCGTTGCGTTATTTTTCTGGGATGATGAAGCTACCAGGGTTTTGTGCGTGTTGTTTCAGCATATGACACGTGGCACCAGCTGTACACTGCCCTTCTGGTTAGTGTTGTTCTTGGTCAAGGGCTCCAGGCTGTCTTCCATGCTATCTTCATGAGTGGGTGGCAGCACGTGCCCAACGCTGCCCACTGGGAGAAGCATTGATACTGTGGCCACTCACTGCAGAGAGGGTTTTTTTTGGCACAGCAAAAAAAAAAAAAAAAAAAGGAAAAAGGGGTACCTGCTGATGGTTCCTGGAATTAGGAGAGACAGTATATGGGTGTGTTTGCATTTGTTGAGGGGTGAGCATTGGGCGGGGGTCCTCTTTTTAGGGGTGTGAGTATGCCAGAGACCCCCGTTGGCTCATCAGAGCCCAGTGACATGGGGACCCCCAAGGGAGCCACAGGACATCATGTCATACCAAGTGTTCTTTCTGTGAAACCTTTATTTCGAAACATCCCAAGTCACCTTCGAAAGGTGTATCCAAGAAACTTGAAAATCTGAAACTCCACCCTAAAGTGAATATGGATAGCTAGCCAGTCAGTGGGTGTTTGTGCTGGGCTGGGAGTTGGGGGTGCTGTCCCTGGATTTGGGGGTGCTGTCCCTGGATTTCACTGGAGGGGAGAGACCTCCTAAAGCCGACAGTGTAGCAGGAAGTGGCAGCCGTCCTCTGCTGTCTCCTGCCATGTGTGCAGACCCCTCCCATATGGATCCCCTATCCTAGCCTCTGGAGTTCACACTTTCTCCACTGCCTGAATGGATGTTTCTCGAGAAATAATGATTTGTACCTGTACCGTCTTTAGGAATGTCCAAAGAATCCATTTCTAGGGCTACTTACATCCTATATGAAACTTGTTCCCGACCTTGGTAGGGGCCAGGGAGGAAATAGAACATGCATCTATCTCTCTGCGTACAGAAATAGCTCAAAGGCTTTTTCTCAGAGTCACAGATGTTAAGGAACCCCCTTCAAACTGTGACCCAATTATAAGAATTATGGTTCCAAATTATTTTTTTCAAACATTGACGAGCAGTGGAAAGTTTTGTGGCCTCAGTCTAAGTGCTGCCCATACCTCCCTGGTTCCTGGGCTTTCTGGTCTCCTGAGAGCCACAAGGAAGCTTCTCAAAATTCTCTGTTAATGCTAAATAAAATTTTAAATCCAGTTTCTGCATCATATTAACCAGATTTCAAGTGCTTAATAGTGCCATGGGGCTCATGGTTAACTTAGACAATACAGATTTCTAGAGCAGTTCAGAAGGTTCTGTTGGACCATGCTCAGCTCCTCCTCACTGGGTTTCCTCAGACTTCTGGTAGACCCAGGCTAGGTTTGGGGCTACATTTTCCTTAATATTTTTTGGCTTGCATTTTAGAGAAGTGTGGTTCCCGCCAGCCTGGATAGGGTACATCTTTTCTTGCTGATCTTTCTCTCTGTTTCACAGTTTTTCTCAGTTTGGGAGAACAGTCTTCAAATAAGCATTTAATTTTGCTTTTTGCTACTTATGTCTTATTCCATTAGCAGTTTTGAGGGACTTTGAAAGGACTTTGTAAAGATGTGTTTTTCAGAGTGGATGTTAAATGGGTTTTTATAGTTTTATGCCTCAAGACTATCTTGAGACCTTTTGTGTATATGTTAATAAAAGGAGCCATTTATTGCTTTTAAAAGATCTTTGACCTCTGCTCTAATTAGAATATCAAAAATCAGACAATGTGTGATTTTCCTGGTACAGGGCCATCTGTTGTTTCAACCCAAAATTTTATCAAAAATTGTCATATTATAAAGTCAAAAAAGAATGTGTGTATTTTTCACCCCCCGTTTCCATTGGTTGGCTGAAACAAAAGAAGTGTATTTTCTCACAGTTCTGGACGCTAAAGGTTCAAGATCCAGGTGCCGGCAGTTTTGGCTTCTCCCGAGGCCTTGGTCTCATATAGCCTGGTCTCTGTGAGTCCCCCTGGTGTGTCTCTGTATGATTAGGACATACCAGATAGATTGGATTAGGGTCTACCCTAAAGGCCTCACGTTAACCTAATCACCTCCTTAAAAGTCCTGTCTCCAGTCATAGCTACATCCTCAGGTACTGGAGGTTGGGACTTCAACCTAGGACACTGGGAGGACCACAGTTCAGTCTATTACCCAGACTTTCTGATATCTGAAGCCAGTTTCTTGTTTCCTTTTCTGTGGTCACTTTGGGTGGGGCAGGAGGGTAGGACAGAAGGTGGTGGGAGAGATGAAGGGAGGTCATGGAGATCCTGGAAGTCGCCTCGGACAGAACTGTCAGCGCCCACCAGGCCTTCTCTGGTTTCCTGCTCGCAGCACACGGTTCTCAGTGCTGGCCTTGGCATGGGATTAACTACTGCGACCTCGCTGGAAGGGGACTCCAAATGAAGCCGGAAGTGCTCAAAGACACTTGTTAGGACAGGAAAAGGGGTCAGAGCCCTGTGTCCTCTGAGCCCATTTTACCATGACTCTTTCCTTGCCTGTTCTCACACAGCCCTCACCGAAACCTTCTTGCTGGCAAACACCAAGAGGACTGACAGCCGGCCACGTGGAGGAAGGTTCTTGTGCCTGTGAAATTTGATGGTCTTAGCATCGAGAAAAGCTGCCTTTGCTGAAGGTGCTCCAGCAGGCTGGCCTGTGTTAGGCTCCTGTTGGAGGGATTTATAGAAATAAAAACTCCTTAGCTGGGCATGGTGGCTCACACCTGTAATCCAGCACTTTGGGAGGCCGAGGCGGGCGGATCACTAGAGCTCAGGTATTGGAGACCAGCCTGGCCAACATGATGAAACCCCACCTCTACTAAAAATATAAAAATTAGGCAGGTATGGTGGCGGGTGCCTGTGATCCCAGCTTCTCGGGAGGCTGAGGCAGGAGAATCACTTGCACCTGGGAGGCAGAGGTTGCAATGAGCAGAGGCCGCGCCATTGCACTTCAACCTGGGCGACAGAGCGAGACTCCGTCTCAAAAGAAAAAAAAGAAATAGAAACCCCTCCTTGCTGCCCACTGTGCTTTTAGGGACTAAGCAGATCTCCCTGGGCTTGTGTGTGGTGTTTGTGCTCTGGTTGGGGTAGATGCTACCTAGAGCCTTACAATTTTCTATGACCCATTAGGGTATAGAATTCAATAGGGGGCCAGCTGATTGACTGGACTTCCATCCAAAGGATTTCAGTTGCTCGAAGTACCTGAAGGACTTTTAATTCCTTGGTTTTTCCTTACCCTGTGTTATATACTCCAGGCTGGACATAATATAAAGATCCCAGTGTGTATATTGTTACCTTGTGTAGCTTTCATTCGGAGCCCGTCCTTCACTTGCGCTTCCAGGGCAAGTCACATCCTGCTTCCCATGGCTGGTCTTTCCCAGATTGAGCCTGTGATGTGAGCCTCGAGGGCAGCCTCCACAGGGCCGTTCCTGTCCTGCACGAGCATAAAGCAGAGGCGAACTCGGACCCTTCCTGGCAATCTTGGATGTCTCATGTCGCTAGGTTCCCATTGCAGCGGCCCATCTGTCTCAGTGCCATGTGGCTAGTGGCTGCTGTATTGGATGTGCAGACAGAAGCCATTTCCTTCCCTGGAGAAGGTTCCTGAGGACAGGGCTGCTGTAGACAGCAGCAGAGTAGGGACTTGGTACAGAGGCCCAGGGCCCAGGGCTGTGCTCTTCCCACTGCGTCTGGCCTCCTTGCTGCAGGCTGACAAACTCATCCACGGGACAAGTAGCACTTTGCCCCAGGGGTGGGATTCTTTGTGTCTAGATAACAGTGTGATCCATTGCTGGATTCTCTCCAGGATAGAAATGAAGAAATCCTAAGACTGCGGTGAGCAAAGCAGCAGCAGTTATCTGTGACTCTGCACACTCCAGAGCGCGTGCCTCGGGTTGCTCTGAGAAGTGGAAACAGTTTGCATGGTTTTCCTAATGTCCAAAGCCCTTTGTGACTTCCTTGTGTGAGTCCATTTCAGAAGCATTGAGAAGCCCCACAGCATGGGGAGGGCAGCCCTGATCTGATTGGCCCTGGCAGGGGTCCTCACTGGAGTGGCTTCTAGCCTGTCACCGGCACTGGCACCAGTGAAGTGCGTGTGTGATGAGGATGTAGCCTGGCCATCTGCTATGCAGCCTTGAACCCAGCCCACATGTTTTTATGGCAATAATGGGAATTTTGTAGTAGATGTCAGCTGGACTTTTGGTAGGTGAGTTTTTTTTGTTTTTTTGTTTTTGTTTTTGTTTTCTTTTTTTGTAGAGACAGGGTCTTTACACAGGCTGGAGTGCAGTGGCACAATCATGGCTCACTGTAGCCTCCATCTCCTGGGCTCAAGTGATCCTCCTGCCTCAGTCTTCCAAGTAGCACAGGCATGCACCACCACACCTGGCTAGTTTTTTCATTTGTAGACAGGGTCTCACTATGTTGTCAGGGCTGTTCTTGAACTCCTGGCCTCAAGTGATCCTCCTGCCTCAGCCTCCCAAAGTTGTGACTTGCCCTGTTCAGGTTTACAAGCCCACTATAATTCAGGTGTGAGTTGCCTCCTTCACCACTCAACCCGTGGCCCCCAGTTAAGGGGGCTTCTTTGGGCAGGAAATAGAGGCGCCATGTCTCCAGCAACCTTGAGTACAGGGCTGACTGCAAGGAGGAGGGGCCTGAGTTGACCTGAACTTTGAAGAATCCACGCACGTGCTTGTCTGGGATCAACATAGCTCTTTGGGGCTCTCTGTTTTAGCCCAGGGATCAGAAGTTTTTTTTCTAAAAACCAAATCCTTTCCTAGTGACTCACCGCCCAAGTATGAAACACAGGAAAGACTTTTGTCCTTTTAACTTGAGGACGAGTCGTCTCTACTACAACATAAACACCAGACACGAAGAATGAGAAACTTACTGTGCTCAGGGTGTGTGCTATGATGACTAAGGCAAACTGAGATTCTCCTCCTACGCTGGACACTCTGATGCGTGGTCACTTTCCGCAGACCATCTTCATACAGAAGACCGTGATGTTTATTTCCACAATAAGAATTTGATCTCACTATTAGATATTGTAACAACAACACCAACAACAACAACAGAAAAACCTACACAGTGCCTTAACACCTTTGTTCTCTTGGTGGCCCCAGCGCTGCGAGTCCAGAGGTCATTATCCGATTCTTGAGGGCTGATGACCTACTTCTGATTTCCATATCTAGCTGGCCTTGGACAGACAGGCCTGATCGAATTCTGCAGCCATTTGATTCCCTGCGGACCTGTGCCCAGACCCTGGGCGGATCTGAAGACTTCCTCAGAACACATAAGACCGGGGAGATTTGTGCCATACCGGGCTGTTTTCTCTGAGCTTTGCTTTAATCAGGAATGTAGACTATTTTTTGGTTTTGGTAGATGGCGTGCAGGGGCAGGGCATCCAGTCATTCCTGTAAGGCATTATTACAGGGCTAATTGGGAAATAGTGATTCTTTTTCAATAACTATTTTGGAATCACCCCCCTTTCTCCCCCGCCAAGTCTCTGTTCCCCTTGGGATTGTCAGGCTCACGTTGAAAGACCCCCAGAGGGAAGGATGTTGGCATATATCATAGATATCTGGAAAGAATGTTTCAACCACACCTGGCTGCCGTGTGTGAGGACAAATTTAATTTATTTTAAAAATCTGGCCACAGGCGGCTTTTTCTGTTTGTTTCTTTAGGGGGGAAAAAAATTGAAAAGCAGCAGCAAGCTATGGTTCACATTTGTTTTCTTCCAGATTGGACCAGCCAGGAGAAGAGAGATTATCTCTAAAGGATATGAAAGGTTTAATCATTTTAATTTTGTTTTTATTAAAGTATATCATAACTTTTTTTTTTTTCAACATGCCTGGGTAGAACAGGAGAGAAGAGGAGGTAATATAAATATACAGAAACCCTCAAGCATTTGGTTAATAAAACTTTCCAACGGGCGATGCCTCGTGGGGAGGAAGTGGTTGGATGGCTGGGGATGGTGGGCCGACTGGGGAAGGCGGTGACTGCGCTGAATCGTAGCCAGCATCTTGCAAGCTTCCTGTCCAGTTCCAGCAGACACTTGTGGGAGCTCAGAGCTTTCATGAAACTGAATGAGAAGAAGCTCTGACTGTGGGCTTATTCCATCATGTTTCTCAAGCGAGACTGGATCCCTGAGCCATCTGTGGCTGAAGAAGTCTGAATTTACAGAGAACAGTAAAATTTGCTTCTATAAGATTCTTCCACCCCTACCATCTCAATGAAATATTTGAACCCGGTTATTTTGAAAACTTGCTTTAGGCCAAAACCTCTGAAGTTGCATGCATGCACGTGTGTTTTATGAAGCGGCGAAGTTGGGATAAAAATAGCCTTAGTTTTTGGATAGAAAAACTATCCTATAAATTATGGTGAAACTGAGTAACCAGGATGCTAGATTAACAGGATTTTAGGCTCGTTTTCCCTTTAGGACAGAAAAATAAGCTCATTTCAACATTAATTCAATTGTCAAAAATCACCGGGGCATGGGCTGGAGTTATCATCACAGGTGTTCACTGTGGCCTCCCCTCTCTTCCAGGGCTGTAAAACTCTGCAAAGGCGTGACTGTTTGGAATTCCAGCCCTGGGACCGGGCAGGTTGTTGCATCACCTGATAATGATGAAATTATCTTTACCATTATGTTCTTACAAAGGCTTGAAATTTGACTTGCACATTTTAGACATCGCTTTAAGCAGCAGGATTAAAGCATTGTCATCTCGTTACACCTGACTTAACGTGGCAGTTCAGTTAACCCTATACCAGTCTTTAAGTTTTTGGCTGCATTAGCGTTTACAGTACTTTCCACAGCATTTTTATGGGCGGAATGGTTTGTTCATCAAGGAGAAGCAGCTCTTCTAGTGAAAGCTGCAACTCCAGTTCCCTGAATGAAGTAGAAACTGCACTGAGGCTTCAACTTAGCCGTGTGAGCAATGATCTGGCCTCTAGCAGGCTGTGTAGATAGTCACATGTTTTATGAAATTTCCCTCAGGGATTCCCGGGGCATCTGGGCTGTGCCTCCTGGCACAGAGGGCTTCCAAGAGGAGCTGTGTTGGATCTGCAGCCTCCCTGCAGGGCTGGGCTCACAACCAAGCCAGGTCTCCCCGCTGGGAAAGGGATCCAGAGCCCAGTTTCTGCCCCCAGTCTGCAGGTATCTGCCGTATTCAGTGAGCTGTGTTCCAGGTGGAAGAGCGGCCAGGCCACCTTACTGGCCTGTAAGTTTGGAATTCCCTATGGGAGTTCCCTATGGGAATTCTCTATGGGAGTTCCCTGAGCCAGTAAGGGGCAGTTTTCTTGGTTAATCTCAGCTAGAGTTGTATGAGCACTAAAACGGAACAAACACTGGCCCATATCATTCTCTGTGAGCTTCTTGATGGGAGCACAGCATCAACAGGTTAGGCAGCCCCCTTTCAGAGGAAGAGAGACCTGACACCTCTCCTGTCCAGGACTTCTGTCCCAGGTTGGACTGGATGACCCCAGCAGTTGTGGTGTGTAGGTCTTGGTCCTTGTTTTTGAAGCTGTATCACAGGCTATGAAGACAGCAGAAGGTGGGGGAAAAAAAGGTTATTCTTTTGTTTCACACCACTCAGCTATAGATCACAGAAACACTCCAAAGTGGCTTTAATGAGTTAGGAGGGCATGGTGTGGTGGCTTACGCCGGCAATGCCAGCACTTTGGGAGGCCGTGGCAGGAGGATACTGGGAGCCCAGAAGTTTGAGTCTACCCTGGGCAACACAGCGAGACCCTGTCTCAAAAAAAAAAAGAGGTTTCATTTTTCCTTATATAAGCAGCCTTGGGAGGAGGGCAGTCAGGTGCAGAAGTGAAGGTTCCACTGAGTCAGCAGACATCCACTTTCCTTCTATGTTTCCATGTAGCCATTCTCACCAAGCGCTTGTTGCCTCCTCATGGTCTAAAGATGGCTCCTCCAGGCCAGGCGCGGTGGCTCACGCCTACAATCTCAGCACTTTGGGAGGCCGAGGCGGGCAGATCACGAGGTCAGGAGATCGCATCCTGACTAACACCGTGAAACCCCGTCTCCACTAAAAATACAAAAAATTAGCCTGGTGTGGTGGCGGGTGCCTGTAGTCCCAGCCACTCGGGAGGCTGAGGCAGGAGAATGGCGTGAACCCGGGAGGCGGAGTTTGCAGCGAGCCGAGATTGTGCCACTGCACTCCAGGCTGAGCGACAGAGTGAGACTGTCTCAAAAAAAAAAAAAAAAAAAAAAAAAAAATCAAAAAATCCTCCATCTGAGCTCCAGGCACAAGAAAGTGAGGCTGGTGAGAGTGCATGCGTCACGAAAGACCACCTGTTTAAAAGTTTCCTCCAAAGCCCCGCCCACTTGCTTTATCTTACATCTCATTGGCTGGGACTGCATCATATGACTG
The DNA here is from genome assembly GCF_000001405.40 of Homo sapiens. NCBI lineage: Eukaryota > Metazoa > Chordata > Mammalia > Primates > Hominidae > Homo > Homo sapiens. The sequence continues at coordinate 72,874,044 of NC_000016.10, read as the reverse complement.
TCCTCGGGCACAACAGACAACAGGTTTTGGCTGAGGGTATTGTGCTTTGAATAAAGTGAGTGTTCTGTTAGCAAGGAAGTATGCTTATTACGAAGGCAATTAGAAACATCAGCCATACGCCTTTTAAAATATAAGAAGATTAAGTAAACTGTGTTACGATTATGTGGTGGAAATCTGTGTAGCCATTAAGAATAATGTTCTTGATTAATATTTAAGGATATGGAAGCAAGCTCCGTAGACTGAGGGGTGGGTAGCAAGACCCAAAAACACATATAATTGTCACAGTTTCCTTTAAAATATCTATATGAAGACAGCACTGATTATGGACAATTTTCGTCTTCATACTTTCTCTGTTTTCAAGATTTTTGACAATAGGCACTTAGGCTTTTATGATCAGAAAAAAATTGGCGAACTTGAAGTGTAAGGAGCAGAAAACCTGGTAATTACTACCTCGTATATGAACTATACTTGATGGAAAAAATAAAATGAGTAATAAAAGGGAAAATCTATAAACACGTAGTGATAATGGAATGATGACGAGTAGCTGAGGTGGTACGGATTCATCAAGAACAAATCTCATCATACTAATAAGATAAAATGAAAGAACGTACCTGAATTCTCATTGAAAAGGGAAGTCGTGCAAATGCAAATTTGTATTCTGGGGCCTCTAAATGTGCAGCAGAAACATTTGCCATTTTCTCCAAGCATGCTTTTGGAGTCATTCAGAGGCATTCTTTCCCCTTCATTCTTGCATTGAAAACATTAGGGCATGTTGAGCTTTGCAGCTGTTTATTAAACATCTGTTAGTTGTAAATACTGGTTGCTGTGAGGGAATATAAAAAGAACAGAAGAAATGAGCCCAGCCTATGATCTTTTGGAAGGATGTGAAAAATACGCCCATTGAAGGTTAACAGGGTTCAAGATGATCCGTAGTGAGTAGCAGAGAGTGGAACAGGAAGTAAATACTCTGGGCCTTCGAGGGTGAGGAATTCCTGGACTGAATGGTGGGGAAGCTCTAAGGAGAGAGTCAGGCTGAAACTGGAAAGATAAATCAGTAGAGACAGAGGAAGAAGACCCCAGGCTGTTGTGGGAGTTCAGGACTCTGGTCGGGAGCCAATGAGCAGGCCATTCTGCCTAAAGAGAGGATCTTGGGCAGGGCCAAAAATTGCAATCCCATTTTCTTCCATCTTTCGGAAGTCTAGTTTTGCCCATCCCCCACCCCCCACCATCTTTTGAAAGGCGTGTAGGTGAGTGTGAATATCATAGATTTATTTAAAACAAATACATGGCCAGGCACGTGGCCCATGCCTCTAATCTGAGCACTTTGTGAGGCCGAGGCGGGTGGATCACTTGAGGTCAGGAGTTTGAGACGAGCCTGGCCAACATAGTGAAACCCCTTCTCTACTAAAAATACAAAAAATTAGCCAGACATGGTGGCGCGTGCCTGTAGTCTCAGGTACTCCGGAGGCTGAGGCATGAGAATTGCTTGAACCCGGGAGACGGAGGTTGCAGTGAGCCAAGATCACCCCACTGTGCTCCAGCCTGGATGACACAGTGAGACTCTGTCTCAAAAAAAGCAAAACACAAATACCTGAAAACTCCTATTTTTCTCGTAATCTCCTAAACAAATTGAGAACCTAGAGAGTACTTTCACATGTTGAATTCTGAGTAAAAAGAAAGCCTTAAAGAGGGGAATAATATGTTGATTTTGGGGCTATTTGTATTGGAGGGGAACTGCAAGTGCTGATAGGAGCTCTGTTTTCATTGAACATTTTCCTCAATATGGAAACAATAAGTAGTAAATGAAATTTGCATATCATCTGAAATATGCATAATATATATAATTGCAATACTTAAGAATACAAAATTATATAATTGGACTGGGGATGTTAGGAATCTTATTTTAATTTCAATTTGTAATTCCTTGAAATTTTTTTTTTGTTTTTTGTTTTTGGAGACAGAGTCTCACTCTGTTGCCCAGGCTGGAGTGCAAGTGCGGTGGCAGGATCTCGGCTAACTGCAAGCTCCGACTCCCGGGTTCATGCCATTCTCCTGCCTCAGCCTCCCCAGTAGCTGGGACTACAGGCGCCCACCAGCACGCCTGGCTAATTTTCTGTATTTTTAGTAGAGACACGGTTTCACTGTGTTAGCCAGTGTGGTCTTCATCTCGTGACCTCGTGATCTGCCTGCCTCAGCCTCCCAAAGTGTTGGGATTACAGGCGTGAGCCACCGCGCCCAGCCAATTCCTTAAAAAATTTTTAAAATTTTGGCCAGGCTTGGTGGTTCACACCTGTAATCCTAGCACTTTGGGAGGCTGAGGCGGGCGGATCACATGAGGTCAGGAGTTCAAAACCACCCTGGCCAACATGGTGAAACCCCGTCTCTACTAAAAATATTTTTAAAAAGGCCAGGTGTGGTGGCTCACACCTGTAATTCCAGCACTTTGGGAGGCTGAGGCAGGCGGATCATAAGGTCAGGAGATCAAGACCATTCTGGCCAACGTGGTGAAACCCCGTCTCTACTAAAAATATGAAAATTAGCTGGGCGTGGTGGCGCGTGCTTGTAATCCCAGCTACTTGGGAGGCTGAGGCAGGAAAATTGCTTGAACCAGTGAGTCAGAGGTTGCAGTGAGCCAAGATTGCACCATTGCACTCCAGCCTGGCAACAGAGTGAGACTCCGTCTCAAAAAAAAAAAAAAAAAATTAGCCGGGCATGGTGGCAGGCACCTGTGATCCTAGCTACTTGGGAGGCAGAGGCAGGAGAATCGCTTGAACCTGGCAGGCAGAGGTTGCAGTGAGCCAAGATTGCGCCATTGCACTCCAACCTGGGCGTCAAGAGCAAAACTCCATCTCAAAAATAAATAAATAAATAAAATGTTGATATAATTTCAGACTTATAGAAAAGTAATGTACTTTACATAGTAAGAAAATTCTCTCACCTGCATTCCCCAAATATTAGCATTTTACCACATTTCCTTTTTTGACTTCTCTCTCGCATTCATAATCTTACTCTCTCCATAAAGACGGAGAATAAATAGAAATATACACATTGCCATTTTTTTGGGAAGGATTTCAGAGTAAATTTCACACATGGTGCCCCTTGACATCAAAATAAGTTAGTGTGTATTTCCTAAGAACAAAGATATTTTACATAACCACAGAACAATGATCAAAATCAGAGAACTAACATTGCTATAAAACTATTAGGTTATTATAGTCCTTATTCAAATTTTCCTAATAATATCCTTTGTATGAAAAGAATATCTTAGATCACAAGGTATATTTAGCTGTCCTCTTTCATGTTCTTTCTTTTTTTTTTTTTTTTTTTGAGACAGAGTCTTGCTCTGTCGCCCAGGCTGGAGTGCAGTGGTGCGATCTCGGCTCACTGCAAGCTCCGCCTCCTGGGTTCATGCCATTCTCCTGCCTCAGCCTCCCAAGTAGCTGGGACTAAGGGCGCCTGCCACCACTGCCACCACTCCCGGCTAATTTTTTGTATTTTTAGTAGAGGCAGGGTTTTACTGTGTTAGCCAGGATGGTCTCGATCTCCTGACCCCGTGATCTGTCTGCCTCTGCCTCCCAAAGTGCTGGGATTACAGGCGTGAGCCACCGTGCCCAGCCGTTTTTTTTTCTTTTTTCTTTTTTTTTAAAGACAGGGTCTAGCTCTGTAGCTCTGTCACCCAGGCTGGAGTGCAATGGCGAGATCTTGGCTCACTGCAACCTCCACCTCCTGGGCTCAAGTGATCCTCCCACCTCAGCCTCCTGAGTACCTGGGACTACAGGCATGCATCACCACATCTGGCTAGTTTTTGTATTTTTTGTAGAGATGATGTCTCACCACATTGCCCAGGCTGGCCTTGAACTCCTGGGCTCAAGCAATCTGCCCGCTTTGGCCTCCCAAAGTGCTGGGATTACATCTCACCTGGCCCATATTCTTTAATCTAGCATTGTTCCTCTGTCTTGCCCTTTTATGACCTTGACATATTTGAAGAGTGTAGGTCAGCTGTTTTGTCAAGTATCCTTCAACTGGGTTCATGTGATGCTTCCTTATGATTAGAATCAGGCTGTGTATTTTGGTAGAAATGCCAAAAAAGAAAGCGTGTTCTTTCTCGTGTATTGTTTCATGAGATACATGATATTGATTTGTCTCTTGATTGCGGGCATCAGCTTTGGTCAGTTAGTTATGGTGGTTCCTTCTGGGGTTATCCATTCTGAAGTTACTATTTTTCCCTTTGTAATTAATGAGAATCTAGTGAGGATATGCTTGGAGATGATTTAATAAGGAATTGAACTGTTTAAATGAGATTGTTTTGAAAAAATGGCTAATAAAAATCAATAGGGAGAAATATTTGGCAAATGAAAGTGGTGGTCATTAAGGTTTATTTTTAGCCTATACTCCCCTTCCCGGTTTTCTAGATGATCAGGAAATTCAGCAGGCCAGAACTTTAGAAAGACTGGGAAGAATTTTCTAAAATGTCACTGATCACTCATGGTGTCAAACGAGGAATGGAGGCTTTGGGAAGTGGACAAAGAAACTATTACAGAATAAGAAGGAAGATCATGTGTTACCTTGGACAGAGCCTGGGTAACAGGGTCTTAGAATGTGAAAGTTGGTATTATGATAAATTGTAACTTATTTCTAAATCTTTTATTTAAGAAAAAAAAAACACCTTTAGCTCTCATCAGTGTGTTCTGCTATAACTGAGCCTCTGGTTGGCGAGGGCTCTGGCTGGCTGGTCCTTGAAGGATGATGGCAGAGGGGCTGGTAACTGTGCAAGAGCTCACAGAAGGGAAAGTGAAGGCTCCAGGGCCAGGCTTGCTGTTTCGTGTTTCTAGTCTCCCCAGTATTTTTTAAATGTAAGGCCTGGTAATAGCATTTGATTAATTTTCCATTTTCTCTACTAAAACTGTTAAAAATTTGAAGTCCTTCCTGCCTTCCTTTCCGTCTTCTCTCCCTTATCTGAAGGAAATGAATGAGAAAGCAGATGTTTGCCCTGGGATGGCTCAGAAAGCATAGTCTCATCTTCACCTTTCACCCTTTCTCTGTTATTTGGATTTTGGAAATACAGCCTTCTGATTTTTCTTCCTTTCATGTCAAATCATCGTCAGCTTTTTCTCCTGTCCATTCTTAGAATTCCTGCCAAGACCCACTCTTCCTTTCTGGAGGTAATTATTCCTGCTTTCATCTCCAAGGCTGTATGTACAATAGGGTTGTTTCTTACAACTCCTGAGGTGAACAGAGGGCTACTGAGCCTTGAGCCTGGAGAAGCAATCAAGGTGGAGGTGCAGAAGGTGACCAGGAGGCTCTCTGTGCCTGAGGAATCTCACTGTCTAACAGGAGAAGATTCCTAAGAAGCCTGTCGATGTGGACCCTGAAAACTGAAGATCTGCCAGTGTATAAAGGTCATGGGATGTAGTTGTAGCCAAAGATAGAGCGCGAACGGGTGGAGGGGGAGAAGCAAGGACTTTCCCCTCTAGGGAGTGCGGAGCCCTGAGATCTGGGGGACCTGGCAAAGTCACCTGATCTCTCCTTGTTTTAGAGGGTAAGACTGGCTCCCCAGTGGAAGATGGAAGAATGTGAGGGAAAGCTTATGTAAGGTGCAGGATGCCAGAGGGTCTAGGTTAGAGTGAGACACTTAATGCTGTTTTTAGGTGGTTCCACCTGGGAGAAATGGGGAAGAGAGCAGGTAAGGATGATCTGAGGATGTGAGCTTGGGCCTTGGATAGGCGCTGATTCTCCAAGTGGGAGAGAATAAGATGAAGGGCAGGAATGGGTAAGAAGGGAGGGTGAAAATGATGTTATCATCAAAACCACACATACCTCCCTCATTCCCCACTTTTGTAAATGAATATAGCAGTGAATCTGTACCACTGACCCTTGCACCCAATTACATTTATGTATTACTTATGTATCTCATGTTATTCCAAAAAGATTGGACAGCCTCGTTTGGCTGATTACTTAGTATTTGCTTACTATTCATCCCTAAAATTGGAAACATCTTGGGGCAGGGATCATGTCTTACATTACTTTTGTCCAGAATCTATCCCATTCGTCAGTGGCTCAGTTAGTTCCATGCTTCCTTGGGCGCCATCTTGTCGGAGCCCCGTGGGTTCCTTGGCAGACTCTGTGCGGCTCTTGATATTGTCACCATTTTTGGCCTCCACAAACACCCTTTTCAGTGATTGGTGAGAACTTTCCAGAAAAACCGACTCAACTGGTTGGTGCAGTGACCAGAGGCATCATTAGAAGAGGAAAGCTGCCACCTTAAGAAAATAGTGCCTGGGCACAGACAGCATCCCTTCTTCTTCTTCTTTTTTTTTTTTTCCCCTGTCAAAGAGTCTACTCTGGGGGTTCGCTACTTTTCACCTTGGCTAGAAACTTGACAGGAAATGACTGCAAGAGCAAAAATAGATGATCCAATCAAAATAAATGTGGATTACATGTTTAAACTGGTGTCAACAATAAATGGAAGAAGAGTTTGCTCATGGGTAGTCGTACTCCATGAGGGTATTAACGTTAGCATGGGATTACGATGTTGCTTCTTACAGTCTTAGATTTTGGTATGTTTTGGTATGTTTTGTCTTCTGAAAGGCGTTCCATGTGTCTTGCAATCTTCCAGATAGAAGGGGACACACTTATAAAATCGTTCTCATCTTCCTGCTCAGGATTAGACAGAGTGCACTTCTCCATTGCGTAAAGTGCACGTTTCCAGAGTTCTGCTCTGCGAGTGATGCTGTTAGTGCAGTTTTTTCTTCTAAATTTTGTGTAACCACTCAGAGTAATCACATAATATGCCACACTGACATTATTGACACCTGGTGGAGTAGAATTAATGCTGAGCTTCTTCCCAGCAGAGTCACAGATGACAGCTTCCTCAGCTTCCTGTGGGGTTGAGGATGCCGCCTGGACAGTCTCATGCTGGCTTAGTGAGACTTGACACTGGACCCACCACATCATCTTCTGTTCAGCCCATGGTGGGAAACATTCATGCCAATGAGGTGCACTCTTAATTACTTTCTACACAGTTCCCTCTCCAAATTAAGAAAAGCAATACAGGCAAGATAATGACTGTTCATATTTTGCAGAACTTCCAGAGAGATGATAATTTAGGGAATCTGGATATTTCCTGCTTATCCCATTGTTTCCAGGTCATTCTCTGGCTTCAGTTAAGGTGGAACTGCAGGTCGGTGGGTTTGTGCCTGTGTGGATGGTGAATGGGTGGGGTTGTTGTGGGGTTGGTTCATGTCACTTCTGTACACTGAAGATGTTCAAAGAGGTGCCATGGCTTTGAAGAACCTCTGGGATAGTGAAAGGGGCTTGTAAATGTCCTTGGACATTCTACTTAGACCCAGCACCCATCTCATTTCCTTTTCCATCTCCTCAACTCTTGTATTTCTTTTTCTTTCTTACTCAGTGAAGACTGGGGGCTTTCAGATCAGATCTGGTTGCAGAAGCTTTTATAAGTCACATAGGAGTTTAGATCCCAGCTTTTCTGAGCTTAGTGACCTTGGTCAAGTTATATAACCTGAGGATTTCTTACCTTTTCAGGTAATCTAATGAAAGAAATGATCCCTCACCCCAGAAGAATGCTCATGAATGCACATGCACAAAAAAATGTCTACATGTTTGTTTCAGGGGCTCCCAATTGCACCCTTCTTGAGCCTCAATTCTTTTACCTATAAAAGGGGACGCAAATGCACCCTCAGGGGGTCTACCTCATTAATCTTTGTTTGACAGTTAAGTGAGGGAATGTACATAAAGTGTCATTATACTTAGTGTGGAGCCTGGCACATAGTGGGTGCAACCTTCTTTCTGACCCTCCCTCTCTGGCTACTGCTCTCACTCTCCCTCTCTGTGTATCTGCCAAAGGAGAAAAGTTAGTGTTATTTCATTTTAGGATCATTTGTTAGGACAGAGCCCTGCCAGATTTTCATTTCATCTGTCCACAGTGATTTCTTTGTTCCTTTTTTTCCTCCTTCCAATTTGGGCATCTCACGACCGCATCACATTATCTTTCTGGGCTGCAGCCTCAGTACACCCGCTTCCTTTGTGTGGGAGGAGTATGTTGAGCTCAGAGAAGCCCCGGGTCTCCCTTTCCCACTTAGGGCTGTCCCGGTGGCATGTGGAATCTTCAGCATGGCGTTTCCTCCATTGTGTAGGGCAAGGGGAGCCCTACTCCAGAGTTCATGCCTCAAAGGAGCATGAGTGGCGTAACCATGACCTCAGCCTGCAGGGCACACAGCCCCACAGAGGGCTTCTCTGTGGATACAGAAGCCTTGGTCAGCAGCAGAATTGGGAAGAGCCAGTCCTGATGGTGGAAGCCCTCATTTGTGATGAGTTTGGAGGTGACCCTGACCACCTCCAACCCACAGCCTTCCTCTTTGGCCAGTCACAGGTAGTGGAGGTACCCTCCATCTCAGTAGCAAAAACTCGCCTTCTCTTTCTGTTGCCTATACCTGTCCCTATAGCCTATGACAGCATACTCCTTGTCAGTGTGCCCTTGGGTTGGCACATTGGGTGGGGACAAGATCCAAGTTCATTCTGGGAGCTCACCAGAGAGCGAGCCAAGCACTACTGTTAACAAGGGCTGTCACAGCCCAAATGCCTGATATGGCCCAGCACAGGGCCGCCATGAAGGTGAAGACAGATCCATGGCACTCAGAGCCCAACTCGGGGCTGAACGGGCTTGTGTGTATATTGAGGGTTCTGCTGGGCTAGTGGATGGCACCTTGGAGGGATCTCAGCCACAAGCCCTTTTCCCATTGGTCTCTTCCCTTTCTGACCTTACCTGGTTCTCAACTGAGTCCTCAGTCTTGTGCCCTGCCTGGGCACATGGAAGTCATCCATAAATACTTGTTGGTGAGACTCTTTCAAGTCACAGGTTCATCTTAAGAAAGTGAAAGCCTCTCTCTCAGGTTCCTAAGTTAATGTTTCATCTTCTGTTTAAAATAATTCATTAGGGTGGTTCAGCCGGCTGTCACTATCCTGACAGTAGGCAGGAATGCAAAATCCACTTTTTAAAATAGCCTCATTGGTAGAGGAATATTGGCCTCACCTAACACCCATTTGGGCTATCCTGGCTGGAAATGCACTGGCCCACATCTTTATTTGCATCCTCCAGGATTACAGGACAGTCTCATTTTTCAGGTGGCATCATCACGGCTCATAAATTGAACAACACTTCCATTAGATTGCGCTAGGCATCATCTTCAAAACTCTAACATCTGGATGTTTCCAAATAGCCTGCTATGTAGATGATTGATGGCTTTCATTCTTGGTTGGATTCTGATATAGGCCATAGCTGTTGGGATTGGAATTGGTGGTCCTGATGTGCCAGTATGTGATCAACTGATCGATAACATGGGTGGCCATGCAGTGAGGCCCAAGAGTGTGGGCCACCTGAGAGGTCAACTGCTGCTCTGTCCATGGTATTTGGTGCTTCATTCACAAGTTTAGAGAAAGATTTCAAAGCTTTACTTGTGTGTCTATCGATACATGACAGTCTGTTGCCAAGATACAATGCTTAAACTGTTTGGGTGGCCCGGGAATACTTTCACATCTTCCTAAGAAGGGGGATGAACGCCCCCTCAAGACTTCCTACAAAGACAAGAGAGCACGACGCTCTGAGTTGCTACTGAATGATTGATGTGGTCTTGTTTGTACATGTGCTTCTATGTTTTCTAATGTGTATTTAATGAAGCTTCCCATGTGCCAGGTATCTTCAAAGCCCTAGAGACATGGTGGTCAATGTGGGTGGCCAGGCCCCAGCTCTTGTGCAGCTTACATCAAGAAGGGTTTATGAGGAGTAAATCAAAAGAAAAAAATATAAGGGTCAGGTAAAGAATTAAAATCAAACATAAGATGGGTGACTAGGGGTTGTTGAGGTACCTGTTGTAGAGGGATAGTCAGGGAAGGAAATTTTTTTTTTTCGAGATGGAGTCTTGCTCTTTCGCCCAGGCCGGACTGCAAGTGGCACTGTCTCGGCTCACTGCAAGCTCTGCCTCCCGGGTTCACGCCATTCTCCTGCCTCAGCCTCCCAAGTAGCTGGGACTACAGGCACCCACCACCACGCCCAGCTAATTTTTTTGTATTTTTAGTAGAGACGGGGTTTCACCATGTTAGCCAGGATGGTCTCGATCTCGTGACCTCATGATCCACCCACCTCGGCCTCCCAAAGTGCAGAAGGAAGGAACTTTTTTAAAAAAATGAACCTTCTGTGTTCCTGAGTTGGATAATTTCAAACATATCCACAAGTAGAGCATGAACCAGCAGACCCCATGAACCCATCATCTGTGTTCCTGAGTTGGATAATTTCAAACATATCCACAAGTAGAGTATGAACCAGCAGACCCCATGAACCCATCATCCATCCTCGGCAGATACCCACTCACAGCCAGTCCTGTTTCATCTATACACTACCCCTCACTCCCTGCTTCCGTTTACTCAATTATTTTCAAACAAATCTTGGTTATATCATTTCATCCCTATTTCTTTCTCTCTCTCTCTCTCTGTCTGTCTCTGTCTCTGTCTCTCTCTCTCTCTGTCTCTGTCACCCAAGTTGGAGTGCAGTAGCGCGATCATAGCTCTTTACAGCCTTGATCTTCCAGGCTCAAGCCATCCTCCTGCCTCAGTCTCCTGAGTAGCTGGGACTACAGGCACGCACCATCATGCCTGGCTAAATTTTTTTTTTTTTTTTTTTTTTTTTTTAGTAGAGATGAGATTTTGCCGTGTTGTCCAAGTTGGTCTTGAATTCCTGAGCTCAAGCAATCCTCCCACTCCGACCTCCCAAAGCACTGGGATTACAGGTGTGAGCCACCATGCCTGACCTGTATCTCTCTTTTTTTATTAACAAGACTGCAATATCAGACCCCTAAAAATTATAAATTCATGGAATCATCAAATATTGAGTTCATATTAAAAATTCCCTAATACATGGATTATTTTTATTTATTTTAATTTTCATTTTTGTAGAGGCAGGTTCTTGCTTTGTTGCCCAGGCTGGTCTCAAACTCCTGGGCTCAAGCGATCCTCCACCTTGGCCTCCCAAAGTGCTGGAATTACAGGTGTGAGCTGTCATACCCAGCCTAATACATGTGTTTTTTGATAGTTGCTTTGTTTAAATCCAGATGCCAACATGGTGTTCACATTACATGAATTGATATGTCTCTAAAGTCTCTTTACCTGTATGTTCCTCTTCTAACTTTTTTTTTTCCTTCCTTGCAATTTTGGTTGAAGAAACTGAATCATGTATCTTGTAGGATCCCTGCAGTCGGGATTTGGATGTTTTGATGATTATAGCCCCACAGCATTGTTGAACATGTTCTTCTGTACCCCTGTGTTTTCTGTGAACTGATAGTTAAATCTAGACACTTGATCTCATTTAGGAGCAGTTTTACTTTTTCTCCATGGCTGCTTCATGTGTGTTAGTCAGTGTATCTGATCAGGAGATACATGTCTCACTGATTGTTTTGTGATGTTATTAGCCATTGATGATCATTGCCCAAATCTCCTATTTATTTGGAGCTGGCAAAATGATGATATTCTCATTCTATTATTTCTTCACTTATTAGCTGGGCTACTCCTTATCAAGGGAAAGCTTTCCTCATTAAATATTTGTTTACCCTGAATACTGCAAAGGCAGGTTAAATGCTAAATCTTTAAGGTGGTAACATTTAGGCTGTGACCTGACTTGACCTTGAAGAAGGCAGGGAACACAGCAGGCTTAGGGCCTGGTTGGTGCAAAGGCCCTGGGGCAGAAGGTAGGCCAGTGCAATTGGTGTCCTAGGGAGGGCTGAGGTGGGTGGCATCTACCACCAGACCCACCTTTGTAAGCAGGGTCCTAAGTTTGGGGTTTCAGTGCTATGGGAAACCCTTGGAGGTATTCAGCAGTGGCCTAACATGATTGATTTCCCTTGAAGTTGCATGGTATACAGTGTGTCACACAGTTCCTCCCCACAGAGCATATGGTCTCAGGGAGCAGAGGACACCGACAATGAAACAGAAAATTCCAGTTCTATCTATTCTTTTTATTTTGAGATGGAGTCCTGCTCTGTTGCCCAGGCTAGAGTGCAGTGGCATGATCTTGACTCATTGCAGCCTCTGCCTCCCGGGTTCAAGCAATTCTCGTGCCTCAGCCTCCCTAGTAGTTGGGATTACAAGCTCATGCCACCACACCCGGCTAATTTTTGTATTTTTAGTAGAGGTGGGATTTCACCTTGTTGGCCAGACTGGTCTTGAACTCCTGACCTTAAGTGACCCGCCCGCCTCTGCCTCCCAAAGTGCTGGGATTACAGGCATGAGCCACCATGCCCAGCGGGTTCTATCTATTCTTGTGCAAATTTTACAAAATATGTGGACCTTCAGGTTAGGCTTTCTGGTTCTGGCATCTTTTGCATGTTGGTAATTCCACATTTTCAGATAGAATTTTTCTCTGATGTATTTTTCCATTCCTGGACTCTGGTTTTCCAGGAGGCGTTTGGGGCTTCCTTGGGGGTATTAGGGTGTTCTCTTGCTCTGGTAAAAGCTTGAAATTACCCAGGTATCAGGATTCACTGGTGTAATGAAATGTGCACGTGGATGGGGAAACAGTCTCTTTTTCCAGACTCTGAGGAGTAACCCGCCTCCCAGGGAGGGCTTGTCCTTGTGTCTGGGACTGCACCCAAAACAGGATGGCCGGCCAGCTTCTGAGTGGCTTCTCCATCCTGGGGGTTGGGTTCACATTGCATTATTACTAATGTGAGAATTTCCACCCGATGCTTAGTGGGAAGATCTCATACCCTTTTATCTTTGTTAATATTCTTGATATAGCGATTTAAATATGCAAAACGAGGACATGCCATATGGCAATGTGTGACAAGACAGCCCAGTGGCTGTAGGGGACAGTTGGTACCAAGCACTTCCAGAAGGGTGATGTCAACACAGCACAGGGGACACAGGTGTCTGCCAGGTGGATGGCGGGTTAGGGAGTCATTTGCATGGGAGAGGGAAGGTGCGTGAGAAAAGCATCTGCTGACCCGTTGCTGTTGGCCAGGTAAGAGAAGATGAAGAAAAGTGGTGGCAAGTGGTGTCTGTAACTTGGGAAAACCCTGGGAGGCTGTAAAGTCACCGTTGTGCACACAAAAAATAAATGCATTATTTTTAACTGTCAGACCAGGGATGAATTTTTGAGAGCTGTCAGAGGAACAGCCAGGCTTGCGCAAAGATCGAGAAAGGACAGACGACTGAGCATTTAGCCAACCCCTTCCCTGAGGTGTTGTGTTCTGTGAGGGCGGTCCATAGGGTGGCAGCTCCAAAGGGGACCTAAAAGTTTGTAAATTTTGGCTGGGCGTGGTAGCTGACACCTGTAATCCCAGCACTTTAGGAAGCTGAGACGGGTGGATCACTTAAGGTCAGGAGTTCAAGACCAGCCTGACCAACATGGTGAAACCCTATCTCTACTAAAAATAGAAAATTAGCCAGGCGTGGTGGTGCATGCCTGTAGTCCCAGCTCCTCGGGAGGCTGAGGCAGGAGAATCACTTGAACCCAGGAGGGAGAGGTTGCAGTGAGCTGAGATCGTGCCACTGCATTCCAGCCTGGGCAACAGAGTGAGTGAGACTCTGTCTCAAAAAGTAAAAAGTTTGTAAATTTGGAAGGTGGTTTGGAGGGACACACGTTTGATATTTGTTAAACGCTGAAAGGAAAGAGGGGGGAAAGCGGGCAGGCTTTTAAGAATTGTTGACTTTGTGGATTTGGAGCTTCCTGGGGGAAAACAGAGCCGTTCCACCGAGGCCTGATGGAACAGGAAGCGGGTGTCTGCGGCACCATCCCAGAACCAGCTCTGCAGGGGGACCAGCTGGAGGGGGCTCTGTGTTTTCCTCCCTGCTCTAAACAGAAAGCCGTTTTTCTAGATGGGAATCTGGATCTGTTAAAATATAATCGGTAACGAGACCAGGATTATTTATTTAAGTATGTGGAACGCTGAGGGAGTGTTGTACTTCCCAGCTGGGCTAGGAGCTGCAAACGTCCACCATGTCGAGGGGCACGGAAATAAGAACTCGCCACCCCTTCGGAGATGCCTGCATAGTGTCCTTACAAGCTTCTCTTCTCCTTGTTTTCATTGTTATTTATCTTCCATTTCTGTAAACTAGCCTGTCTTACGGCCTGGGGGCTTCTATCAGTGATACCTTGGAGCGGAGTCCTGTTTCTGTAAACTCTTCTGATCTCAGAAATATGAACACGGAGTGGCCCAATTGTGTTCTTAAGGCCATTACCAGAAGTGACCACAACCCAGCTGTTCATTTCCTCTAACCCATGTCCTGCCGCATTCTCCCCTCACTGGGCAACTCCTTGTAGACTAAAGGATGGTCTCAGTAAAGCTCGTTTCTGCGCTGAATTTTCCTTGTACTCCAGTGGGGCCAATGAGTTTTAGCCTGTGGTTTCTTCTGTTCTAATTTATATGAAGTTAAAGCTATATTTCAAATCCCTAAACGTCTTTATTTCCCTCTATGGGAGACAGAAAAAAGTGGGGCCTTATAAGTGGACTTCCACATGTCCAAGTTGGGAATCTCTTCCAGACTTCCAGAGACTTTAAACATGGCTGTAAAAGAGGAGTTGGGAGAAGAAGGCTGAGGTGGGATTTTGTCTCTTGCCCCCTTGCGGCCTCTCTGGGACGATAGCGGTTGTCATAGAAATCCAGACCCACAGGCAACCCTTTGCCCCATTTCCACCCACAAAGAATGGAATCCAGAGAACTTTCTCGCCTTTTGGACATGAAGAGAATGGCTGAGTTGGTGACAGGGGAAAAGAAAGAGGATTGGCCCAACAGTTTGTTTATGTGGGCTGCCTGTTTCTGGAGAGCGTCATCTTTTCGGTAGAAATGCCCTTCTGTGGATTGCTTTAAAAAAAGAAAAAACAAAGATGAAAGTTCTCATTGCTTTTTGGAAACATCAAGCTGTGACCTGGTTGGAGGAGTCCAATCAACGTGGGGAGGGCTTTCAGAGGCACAGAAGCCAGAGGGCAGAGGGTGTGGAGGGAGCCTGGGAATACCCCGTGCTGGCCAGTCCGGCCTGGCTGTCAGCTTGAGGAACTCAGGATCTGATTGTGAGAAGCAGACAGAAAGCGAAGTTGAGCTGGGCACAGCTTTCTAGATGAGCTGTCTGAAGCTGCCGTGTTTGGTTTGGCCTGAAGCTGAGCAGGAGACCCGGCCGGCTTTCCAGAAGGGAGGCCAGCCCTGACCCGCTGCAGGGCCTGGGGCTCTGCCCTCTGTGTCGCCCAGGTTGCGGCAGCTCGTGCGTAAATGGGGCAGCCAGGTCCACATCTCTTCCTCCCTCTGCACAAATTGAAAACGACTAACCTTGCCATATTTAGTGCAGCACTCACGGCTGCTCGCCTCCAAGGGGTAATCATGCAGGCATAAATTCGGAAAGTTGCTAAGCTATGAGCAGTCTTATGAGCATTAAAAGTGTCCTCTTTGCCAGAAAGGTCATTCATAACTTGGCTACCCTGCTGATGTACAGCCAGTGATATTGATTGATTAATGTATAAAAGCACCAGATCCATTTGCTTCTATGAAAGAGAATAAAGTGCAGTCGACTCTCTCTTTATTTTCACCTCATCCTTTTGTTTGAAGGACATTTTCCCCCCTCTTTTTGTTTTGCCGGCTATGTTTAAGGGGGTTACAAAAAGCCAGTTTCTGCCAAGTAATGTGTTCACAAAGGGAACATTGATTCACATCAGTGTCGCTTGAATTACCCTTAAAGGTTTGCCAAGGAGTTGCTCTTATATTAACCTTCTGTTCGTGAAGGAAGAAATAAATAAATAAGTCATAAAGTCAGCCTCGTTGCTTTGGATTTCATTTTGGGCTTGATCTAAAATAATTTCTTCCACGGCTGCTTGTGGTGAGAGGTGTTGACCAGAAAGGCCCTTGTTAGTTTTTAGGGTATGGGATGGGGGCACCAAGGGAAGCAAGCCCACCCCTGCCGTCAGAGCCCCCCGCCGCACCAGATCAGGGAAGAGAACACTGAATTTACTTCCAGCACAGAGATTAGTTCTGATTGGCTGCCCCGCCTTTCAGGCTGAGGAGCAGCGGGCCCTGGTCCTTGCTCTCTTACTCCGGTAGTTCACACTGTCAGGTGTTGGAAACGGCAAGAAAACCCTGCCTTTGTCTGAAAGATGAAGGATTTTGGTGGGGAAGGCAACTTTGCTTTTTAGAACCAGTGGCATGAATTATACAACCTTCAGAGTTATCCTTAAATTTCCCATTTCTTTGCAAACCTAGCAGGGCTGCAGCCTGAAGTTGGGAAAAAATAACTCCTCAGCTTTTGTTAACTTGGAATTAAGTTTGTTTTGTTAGTGTTTTGTTTTGTTTTGTTTTTGTCAATTACAGAGACAGGATCTTGCTCTGTCACCCAGGCTGGAGTGCAGTGGCACGATCGCGGTTCACTACAGCCTCATACTCCTAGGCTCAAGCTATCCTCCCATCTCAGCCTTCATAGTAGCTGGGACTACAGACATGTGCCACCATACCTGGCTAATACTTTTATTTTTTGTAGAGATGAAGTCTCGCTATGTTGCACAGGCTGGGCAAACTCCTGGGCTCAAGTGATCCTCCTGCCTCAGCCTCCCAAAGGGCTGGGATTATAGGCATGAGCCACCACACTCAGCTTAGTCTTTATTTTTTATTTTTCTGTTATCTCTGTAGGTGGAGGAACTTCCTGTCCTTGTGAAACCCAAATGGGGCTGGTCCTCTATGAAAACTAACAAATACTGATTACCTTGTGATTTGGTTAGCCTTGGGTATTATACAGAATACAGCATCTTGCCAACCAATTAGCTCTGTTGTTTAGGTTTTCTTTCAGTGACTTGATCAGAAATGCCTAGGAAGATAGTCCAGTGCTAGGCAATGTATGAGGCCATTGGTCAGTATCAACTGGCTGCCCATCTTGGATTCTTTATCATTTGACATGGGTCTTTTCAGAGCTGGAAGAATTCCAAGCAGGTGGGAAGGCAGGGGAATGTGGAATTGTGGAAACATAAGGCTGCATTTAGCTCCTGTGGAGGTGTGATCTGAAGCATCACCTGCGGGTGTCAGTGTGGAGTTCTCCTTACTGGCTGCCCTACTGGCAGAATGGCCTTGCTTTTTGAGGTCTGTGTACTTTTGGTGGGTGCTGTGGAGTGAAAACTGATCAATCTTCCTGTCTGTATTTATAAGCCAGGCCCCACTCACTTGACACAATCCATTTCACCAAGGGTGGAGATGGCCCAGGCTGTTCCTGCAACATGGTTTAGTAGAAGGTGGCCACCTTCTGTCTTCAAAGCTGATGTGTATAGGGAAGAACTAATTTCACTTCATTTTGCAGCTCTTGAGCATTGAGGTTGATGATTGCTGGGAGCCACAGAGGAGTTTTCCATGTGCTAGGAAGATTAGACATTGAAGTCTCCCCTAGGAATCTAAGCCCTTGGACCTACACGTACCTCTGTCTGCCCTGGGCAGCTGTCTCCAGGTGGTGTAAAAGCAGCAGGTGAAAAAGTAGATTGCTTTCTTCTCCTCCCAGAGGTGGTTTGGGATTTTGAAGGCATCTAAGCTCCTGCGTATCCCTCTTAGTTAAAAGAGGCACAGAGTAAGCTAGCTGCACCTGGCCTGTGCTTTGATAGAGACGCAGCTCTTCACTTGGGAACACCGGAAGCCTCGTGAGCCCCCCAGGTCTTGCATGACACTTTGAATAATCTCTTCTGTTCAGCCATGAGTAGTACGATGTTACTGATGGCTTGTGGTCTGACCACGTGCGTGCTCATTGTCAGTCTCATTGGCTTTTCCTTTGTTCTAGAACATGGCAGGGGAGCTGCAGACAGACAGGTACAGCGCCTAGCTTTACAGTTACATGCACGCTGTGTCATCAGTTTCTTTCCCCCCTTCATAGCAGCCAGAGCTCTAAACACTCATTGCTAAACTAACCCCAAGGCGCTGGTGAAGTGTTGGACTATACAGGGAGCCAAACTAACTTTTATGTAATTGTTTAATTAAAACCTTGGTTTTCTAATTGCAGTCTAAACACAAGCGCCTTTTGTTAATGAAAGGCAACCTCTGTGCTTGGTGTTCTCATACACGGCCTTTCTTTTCCACTGTTTTCAACTAGAAAATCGACATTTAAGTTCCCACCACGGGGAAGGTGGCAGTTGGCGTTTCTTGCCATTGGGGGAGATGTTCCACAATCCCTTTTGTCAGTCCTTGTCAACAACTTATCTAGGCTGCAGTTGCCTTTCTGATTTCCTATTGCAATGAGTCAAATTTGTAAGCTTCTTCACGTGCTGGAATAATTGGAAAGCCAGAGAAGGACCCCTGCGTTTCTCTGGCGCGAGCATTATTTTCCATATTCCTGGTGCAGGGTATTGAAATAGATATATTTTAATGTTTGCTTTTTAAAGGGGAAGGTTTCTCTCGATTTCCAGATGAATCTTGGAACCTTTCTTTCACTCCTCCCTCTGCTGAGGTGATAAGAGCTGGCTCAGAGGATATACTGAGAATGAATCCGTTTTCGTTCCTCTGTCTCTGCAGAATGAATTAGAATTTGCCTGATTTAATAAAATGGCTTCATCTGCCTGCCATCTTTTCCATCTCCAGAGTATTTCTTCCTTAGTGGCCTGCCCTTCTATAATGGGTCTCAGCTCCATATCTCCTTATTACAGGCTGGTGGTTTCATATGTAATGCATTCACTCATGCTCTCACACACACACTGTTTCACACGCGTGCACGCGCTCCAGCGTTGGGGGATCCTGATGGCTGAAGGTGTGGAAATTTGTCACCAGATCTCATTTTCCCCATTGTCAGGCATGATGGTTATAATTGATGAGGTTGGTGCAATTTGCCATCCATCTGCCATTAACCCCAGCCTTGTGGAGTTGACGTGACCACAATGTAGAATATATTTTGGGAGAAGAGGGAGAGGTTGAAGATGGGGAATTGCAGCATAAATCTTCTCAATCTGCCCCAGCCCTCTCTCTGTTTAATTGGAACGTATTTATCTCTGCGTACAGTAGAGTATTTTGCTATCTCCCCATTGCCCTCAGATGGACTGATAGGAGTTTGTTGTTTGAATTTGGAATGTTTTTTCCATTTGACACCCCCCCCCCACCCACCAATTTGTGTTTTAATTTCTATTTCCTAGGTTGATTTTTTTTTTCTTTCCATTTTGACACTAATTATGCCAGCCGCATTGGGAGTGCGCACTGCTGGGAGGTACCCAGCTAAGTGTTAAGAAGGGTTTTAAAAACAGGCTGAACTCCCTCTTAATGAGGCTCAATCGGGCTCTCCTCCGGGTGGTTTTGTTTTGCTGATCTGTCAGTTTTTCAAGGATTTAATTGCACTTTTTTCATATTAGTCTTTGAAATTGGCCTATCCAATCTTGCTATAAAATACATTTTTTAAAAAAGCAAAAAGTTTGTGGTTTGTCCCTCCCCCCTTATTGTTTGGGAATTTTTACTTTTTGCTCTCATTTGTCCAGGACCATCTTCTGCCAGTCGTTCTTGGGACCCAGAAATAGTGAAGAGCCAGAATGGGAGTGGCAGGAGGGGCCTTGGAGAGCCCGGATTTGTAGGCCTCAGAGGGAGTTTCCCCATTCTTTAAGCCTTCCCTCTTTAGGGCTTTAGTAATGCAGCTTGGCTTATATCTCCTCTTCCAGATTTGCTCTTGATCAAGGGCAGGGAGAGACTCGCACACAACCGCCATTTCTTTCGGTATAGAAGTGACAGATTCCATAAAGTGGTGCCAGGCCGGCTAACCACTGTCTCGAATCCTCAAACATGGGAGGCAAAGAAAAGGAAAAGTCCAAAAGCTAGAAGGCAAAAGTTAGCAGGCAGGGGAGGGAGAGAAGCAAGGCCATATCCTTTATGCTAGTATCTTTATGGCATAGAAAACATGCTTAGAGCAATCAGCATGAAATTCTTAATTGCTTCGCTTACTTCTGCTCTCCTCATGGGACAGATTGTGCAAATGCTGGAGCTGCCAGGACCCTCATGTTAGCACACTGTCCCTGCTGCATACACTATTTTTAACTAGTGCTTTGTTTTGCAAAGATGCACAAAGCTTTTTCTTTTCTTTTCTTTTCTTTTTTTTTTTTCCTTCTCAAGGATGCTAATAAACAGCGGAGGCCATAAAGAGCTATTCCAGCCACCTTGACAGCAGCTACACTTTATTAGTCTGTGCACCTAGCTCTCTCCTCCTGCCGCTCAGCCTTCTGCTTCCTCTCTTTGGATTTCTTCATTCTCTCCCTTTCAGCATGAGTTTTGGCTTTTAAAAAAAAAATTCTGTGACCAAACCAACTTCCTTTTCTTCCTTCCCCGCCCTCCTGAATCTGATTTGCATCCTTCTACTGCCCTCTCTTCCAATGCCTACCTTCCTCTTTTGAGATTTCCAGTCTCCTCTCATGAGAATGTAAAATCCAAGAACCAGATCTCAGAGATTTCAAAATAAAATAAAAGTAAACTCTGCTTAAAAAACACTTTAGCAGGAAAGCCAGGCTAATTGTAAATCAATGGGTCTTAAAATGCAGCATCGATCTCCAGTTAGAAGTTTGAAGGGGAAAGCAGTAATTACTGCACCAGAAGGTAGTTTTTCCTCTTAGTAAGTTCTGGGCAGAAAGAAGGCTCATTAGGGCAGCACTTCAGAATCTGAGTAATTAGTTTAAAAAGTACTTTTGTGGTGTTATTCCCTTGGCTAGAAATTATTGGAGTCTTCACAGATTTATAGCTCAATTCTGATAAGATTTGATTTCTTATTGTGTTTGGTGGTAGAAGAACCTTGATCATAATCACCCAGGTGAAGATTCAGGGAAGCCTGGATCAGACAGTCTTTTTAGAGTGGGTGGGGTTTAATTCTTTAACAATTCCTGCTATTCATAGTATTGAAGGTGTCCAACTTAGAGCCTTAGCATGGTGGCCCTGTTAGACCACCCAGGGTCAACCTTGTCATCCCTCAGGTGAGCAAACAGAGTCAAAGAGGTGATTTTCTTGTCCAAGTACATGTTGACGTGATGGTTCAATGAGAAAGCTCTGGACATAACACAGCCATCTTATGTTACCTAAAGTGGATCTACTGGAGGGTAAGTTCCATGAGGGCAGGCTTGTGACTCACTTGTCCAGTTGGATCCAGAATGGCTGAAACCTAGGAGGCATGAACGGATAGTTTAACTAATGACTTAGTGAGCAAATAAAGGAATAGAGGACTCTTCTGTTCCAAAGAGAAAGCTTCTAAGCTCTTTTCTTTGGAGGAGAAAACTACCATGGGGAGCGTTCTGTCTGGTTAGGTTATCAACTGCCACTCTTGAGCATTCAACATTACAGAGAACAGAAGTAGCCCCTCTCCCTCTTTTTTTAAAAAAAGGAAACTTTTTATAAAAGGAACTTGGTTTTGCTTCTATGAGGAGTCATCAAGAGATCTTTCTCTTCCCTCATTTTTTACTTAAAAGAAAATATACAACTTAAGCAATACTTTTAAATCATCCATTGTTGCACAGCTGTCTCCATTTTGGGACATTATCTTTTTTGTGCCTGTGTAGTAGTAATAGCCAGTCAAATGTATGTGAGAGTGTTTTGTCCACTTAAGAGATGTGAAGTTCTTAAATTCTTCCTGGAAAGTTTCAGTTATCTGTGCTGTTTCTCAAGGGAGGCTCTCTGAGGAGTGCGCTCCACTTTTAATCTAGAAATAGACATCAGATAGAGCGGTGGTTTGTAAAATTTTATTAGCGGAGCCCTCTTTTAGAAAAAAAATGCAAACGAATTTGGACCTAGTATATAAACAATGTTTCAAAAGGCTTGAAAACTATAGTTATTTTAGGAGTTCAGATTTTTAACATTTACTTATTAAGTTAAAAAATTAGAACAAAACAGAGTTGATCAACAGATCAAAATTAAGAATTGTGGAAGGTAGTTAAATAGTATCAACTAAGCTTCTGTTTTGTTTCTATATTTTGTTTTAGACAATTTCTGTATAATCCTCTTTCATACAGAAGTAGTTCCAAACAGGACTGGTTTTAATAGCCTGCCTTGCAATCCCAGAAGAGTCTTCCATTAAGTGAAAATGGCAGAAGTTTTATGCTAAAGTCTACGCAAAAGCTGTTTAACTTGGCCACGTAACTAGTTCACCTGGCCGCCAGTGTGTTAAATTTTGGCATATATCACATTTGAGCATGCCTTATTATTACAGCATTTTAAATGAAATTGAGGCCAGGTGCGGTGGCTCACACCTGTAATCTCAGCACTTTGGGAGGCTGGGGTGGGCAGATCACTTGGGGTCAGGAGTTTGAGACCAGCCTGGCCAACATGGTGAAACCCCGTCTCTATTAAAAATACAAAAATTAGCCGTGGTGGTAGGGGCCTGTAATCCCAGCTACTCGGGAGGCTGAGGCAGGAGAATCTCTTGAACCCGGGAGGCGGAGGTTGCAGTGAGCAGAGCTTGCACCACTGCAGTCCAGCCTGGGCGACAGAGTGAGACTCCATCTTAAAAAAAAAAAAGTGAAATTGGAATCAAAATGTGCAGAACCCTTGTGGTATTTGGGAGCTCCCCAGAGAGGAATTTAGACACCATTATATTAATACTGTAGGAACTCTAGTCAGAAGTACACTGGGACTTTTGCCGTTGCAAGAACCCAAGAGTACTCTCTCTGGAAGACTCGCCGTGGTGTTGAGTGGCTGATGAAGAGCCCCTTGTCGGGGTATCTCCCTGTCACCCACATTGGGTGACCTTTGCATAGAATGTGCAATCCTGTTTCATGTAAAGTCACTTCGTGGATTGCAGAGGTCTTGGCCTCCCCTTGGAGGCCTCTTGTCCCTCTTCTTCCTGGTATCTGTTGGTCCCCACCCTGAGAGTGTAACATCTGGCTGGGGCATCTCTCTCTGGTCCCTGCCCTGTCTGCTCAGGACTCTCCTCTCCTCCGTACTGTGAACATGGAAGTGATGACGTTCCATGTGGAAAAAAATGGCACTTTCTATTTATAAGTGAAAGGAAATATTTCTGCTGTTTATCCTAGAAACCCCGAGCCATGCTTTCAGACGCTGAGAATTATGTCCCTGCACCGCAGCCTCAGTCAGGCTCCTGGGCCCTGTCACCACTTGGCCCAAAGCTACTTTCTCCCCCCAACCCCATCTGCTTCCCACCAGTTTTCGTTGCTTGCACCCCCTCCCCTTGAGTCAAATGTTCCTGCTTGCAGAGTTTATTAATAGCTCTAGCATCATTGAGTAGTGATTTTTCTTCCTTTTTTGATTTATTATTTTTTTTAATTTTAGGCTTTTAGAAACAAATCTGGAATAATATTTCAAGCTGCTCCCATCTGGGGCAAACTCCAGTCAATCCTTTGAGCCCAAAGCACATCTTAGGGGGAGGCATCCTCCACGTTTCCTCCCAAAGCTGTGGGCCTGGCGAGCCCGGCCTCTTTGCTCTGGTGTTAATGCCCTGGTGATCACTGGTCATCAGTAGTCCAGCTCTACCATGGTCCATGGTTCTGTGGACCCACCCTATATCCCCAGTTCCTTGAGCCTCCTCTAATCAATGTCCCTAAAAACTTCTCGCTGCCCAGAGAAATTTTTTCCCCAACTTCGACTCTACAGTGATATAAGTGCTGTTGAAATGATTGACTATGTGTATTTCAACACACATGAAAATAGCACTTGTGTGCACAGATTTACTGCACACTTGGTAGTGACAGTGGGATGGTCGTTCGTCCTGTGGTAAGTCCTTTTCCGTACTGAAGCGTAGGAGTGAAGATGGGCAGGTGATGTTTCCATGTGGGACCTGTGGTCTGAAGTGCTAAGTGAGGTAGACACTGGTGGGTGTGACTTTGTAGGTGTGACAGTAGGTGTGACTGTGGCTTGGGGAGGCTGGGGTCAGGAAGGCTTCCCCAGGGTGGGCAGAGGGCTGATGATGGCTGTGGCTTGTGTTTTCAGGCTGGTCCCATCTGGAGTGTTGTCCCTAGTCCAGTCTGGGGCCTGAATCATTTCTATCAGTGCCTAACCTAGAAACATCTGATTTCTCTAATCCTCTTGTTTGCTCTGACAGTCCCCCGACCGTTCCCACCTTTTCTTTCAGCTTATGTCCCCTGACGTAGCTTAGCACTTTTGTCATCACTGGAACACGGAAAGGTGATTTTCAGATGGAAGGGTAGGTGTGAATTTTTTTTTTTTTTTTTTTTTTTTTTTTTTTTTTTTTTTTTTTTTTTGGTAGGTGAACTCCAAGTGGCAGAGAGCCCACCTGGAAGTCAGCTGAGAGCTGGAGCTCTAAGTAAAGGCACTCTTGACAGGGCTCTGTCTCCTACTCTCGAACAACCAGGGAAGTGAATGGCAGCCGTTGGCCAGGAATTGATTGCATTAATTGATATGCCAATAAGAACGCTTGTTACATCCGCCATTGGTTAGGAGGCCAGCTAACAAGTCCGCTGATCAATGGCACCAATAAAGATTTCATCCATTAATGAGGAACGTGGTAATTAATGTTATCCATAAACCTATTAGCCTGGCTAGCTAATGCACTGGTTAGTGCCATGAGTGGCAGTGTGGAAAGTGGGCAGGGCATGGGTTGGGACTTAGGCAGGATCGTGGGCACCATCTTGGCAGGATCGTGGCCTCATCTTCAGGCAGGTTTATTCCAAACGTAAGCACATTTCAACCTCCTGGCAGAGAGAGAAGTCAGGCTGAGCCGGCTGGGCCCCAGGCTGGAGTATGGCTGAGCCCTGCTTTTGTCCCCCTACCTGCTGGGAGGAGACCAAGCCACGTTTTTCTCTTGCAGCTCCTCTGGCTGCAGAGCTTTCCCACGCAAGTCTCTCAGGGGCTGTTAGGGGCGTAAATGGAATGACTGAGTTCCCGGGTCATTCCAGTCCCAGCTGGGCACACTGTCCCCAGGGACACTCTCCGTCAGTGGCTCACACGCACTGCCCTGTGCTCCTGGAGGGCGGGCGTTGGCCTCTTCTGGGAACCATGAGTGAGTGGTAAAGTAATTAACATCCCCCACCCCCGGGCTTCATTAGGAAGAAAAATTTTGCTAGACGAAAGAAAGAAGGAGAAACAGATGATTTGAAGCTGTGCCTTTTTCCTTCCCCCCTGGTTTTTTGAAATGACATCAGTGGGTTGTTTGCCAAGCATAACCTGGCAGCCCGGCGCTCTGCCTGCCTGCCTGAGATTTCTGGGGACCGTGCAGCTCGCCAGCTCCAGCCGTGGCAGCATGCCAAGGTGACGTTCCGTGACTAAGCAGAAACGAGGGAAAGGGAAAGAGGGAGGAAGAAGGTATGTGTGGTTGGGGAGCTGGGGGAGAGAGTGGTCCTGGGTCTGGGCGTGGCATGGGGAGATGAGGAGGCATGTCTGGGGGCATCTGATCAGGAGGGCGGGCAAGAGGGGCAGGCACTGGCAGGCCAGGAGGTGTTCCAGTGGCATAGGGGGTGGGAGGGGGGGCACAGGGTGATGGCCGCAGACCCAGCCTGGGAGGCCGCCGAAGGGGTCTGACTTAGGAGGGAACCAAATGAGCCACAGTGAAGGTGACAGCCCAGAGGGCCTGGAACTGTTGAGGAGGAGGCTTAGGAAGCTTTTATCAGCATCAGGCCTGATACTCCACAGCGGAGTTTCCTTTGCATTGTTAGGTATTGACCCTCAGAGACCCCTTGTGGATTCCCTAATTGAAAATTAATACTAGATCAATGCCATGGGCAATTTGCATATTGATCATAAACAACTTTGAAGGCACCGAGTGTGCGGCAGATCAATAGGGCTCGTGAATAGGCTGCAGAGGGAGCACCTCCCAGTACAATGCGCTCCGAGAAAGGTTAATGATTTAGGAAGTTCCTAACTGCTTAGCGCAGGGAACAGCCCCCACACCACACAGCATCCCCAAGAGCAATTAGTGCCAGGCCTGAGCGCCTGCCCTCCATTCCCCCTCAGCACCCCCATCCCCAGGAGCGGAGGGAGGGCCACTGTGCTGGTGTGAGGCAAGGGGCTGGCGACCTGTGTTTTTACAGTTGCCTTTTTTGGTGATGGATGAAGTCTTGGGGCAGTTTATTCTGGGAAGCTACTGTAAAAGGCAGCAGCTAAGTTCAGGCTCCAATCATTGTCCTGACCCCTTCCCCAAAACACAGTTCTCCTGATGATGTGAATGGAATGAGATGGAGGAGGGGAGGAGCCTGGCTGCACCCAGCCTCCTCCCCCTCGGGCTTCAGATCAATGTGGAACCTACATTAACGTTTGCTTTAAGCCGTGATGGGTTTGGCCCTGGTTTGCTTCCTGTTCCATTCAGCTCTCATCTTTGGGCTTTTATGTCTTCGCCCATCGCTTACTCTCCCCTGCTTTGCGTCTGCTTGTTTTTGCTCTGGCTTTAGGCCTTGCCTTTTGGGGTGTCCCTGTTGGGTCCCCAGCAAGCCTGGAAAGGAATTCACTCCTCTGGGGAGATTCCCTTTACCTGCCACCCCTCCCCTTCTTTATCCTGGCCTCCATCCATCCCCTCTTTTCCCTTGGCTGCGGAAGCTGTGTGTGGATCAGCTGCCCTGGGGGTGCTCCGGGCTCACTTCTTAACATTGCAGCAAAACCTGGAACACTCCGGGGCCTGACCACTGAGTTTCTTGGAGCTCCCAGGGTACCAAGAGATGGCTGGTCCTAGGTTCAGGGCCAGATGCAGCCTGCAGAACTAATGCTGCCTGCCTGCACCTAGCTGCCTTGCTCCAGCCCTGAGACTGCAGGGTGGTGGCACCAGTAGCAGAGAGGTCTGCGTGTCACTAGGGGGAGACACGTCTTAGGTAGTGCTGAGTTGAGCAGACTTTCTTCTACAACAGCCAATTTGAGAAAAATAAAGTCCCCCCTTCATCCTCAATACCAAATTCATTTTGTACTAGGAAGTGCTAGCTTAAAATAGCCCTGCCGAGGTCACATAGTTTTCTATGGCTTTTAAATTTACAAAGTCCACTGAAATACATTTAGGTGCAGGGACAATGCATTTCCATAGAAGGGACATGCAGAACAGTCAGTAACTAATTTCTGCATTTGCACCGCAGTAACTAATTTCTGCATTTGCCATTCTGAGCCTTGAGTCCTTCACCCCAGTCTTGGTGCTGCCCTGTCCTCTTCTCAGGGAGAGGCTTCAGAGCACGATGGTCAGATGGGTCCTTTGGTTTATGGGCGTCCAGACTGTCCAAGTGCTGCAGCACCGCCCATGGCAAAGGATAGCCACTGGTCCGCTTCCCCTCTTTGTGTTTCTTCACCGTGAGGCCAGCTCTACCCCCACCCCTGCCAGCCCCCAGTAAATGGAAAGGTTCAAAGAGATTTTATCTGTATCTGCAGCCACATCCGTATCTGCACTGATATATTGCACATGCATGTTTAGGGAAAGACAGGAGTTTTTCTACTGGAAATCCCTGCCGGGGCCACCAGCTAAAGCCGTGCAGGTTGTCCCCCACACAAACAGTTCTCTGCTAAGGGGGATGCATAAAGACTGCAGTCCATCCCAGACACTACCTTACCCAGCAGAGGGAGTGGTGGGTCTCAGGACCATATGTGCCCAGAGGAAGAGGTGCTGGAGGAGCACCTTGTTCTGACTTTCTCAAAGGTACCTTTCATGCTCACAGTGCCCGTGGCCTGCAGTGGGTAGCAAGGCCTACAGGATGCTGCCCAAGACCTCTCTGAGCTTATCCCCTGCCTTGTCCCTTCTCTCCCTGCTTAGCGCTCAGCGCTCTTCCAGCAGGCCAGCCCTCCTTCTGTGCCCTGGGTCTTTGCACGTGCCATGCCTCTGCCATGTGAGCCTCCTGTGGCTCACACTCTCACTTCTTCCAGGTCTGTGTGCAAATGCCACCCTCTCTGAGCTTCCCATGTTAAGGAACTCCCTGGATTCCTTTTTCTACTTTATCGTTGACCCTTAGCAGCCTCTGACTTAGAATATGCTCACTTACTGAGCTGCTTACTGTGTTTTACTCTCCCCACTCCTTCCTGCCCCTGCCCCATGAGAGCAGGGGCTTTCCTGTTGTGTTCACAGCCGTGTTGTCAATGCCTGGGGTAGGTGCCACATGGATATGTGATGGGTGGGCGGATGGATGGACAGACAGCACAAGCACAAGTGTGTGTTCTCCTGTGAAGGCCACCATGGTTGGTGCCTCTAGAGGTAGCCATTAAGCATATGGTCCTTGGCATCAGCTGTCACCTCCTAGCTATGTGACCTTCACCAGTAATTTAACCTCTCTGAGCCTCATCTGTGAAATGAGAGTCCTAATACTATCTACTTCAGCTGAGTGATGATTGTGTTGCTATTGTTAGATACTTGCTAATGACTTAAGCCAATGGAGGCTTTCCAGGCGCGTGGTATTGGTTTTTGTGATCAGGCTCTTGGTGGTGAAGGGGTCTACACAGGCAGGAGAAAGGGAAAGTCGTCAGTGTTTTGTACTGATTGGTCTGGGTCACAGATGCTTTGCGGTCAGAACATTTGGGATTGGGGCAAAGAAGATGGCAGCCAGAACACAGGCTCCTGGGGCAGGACGGGGGTGCCGTGACACAGAGCGTGGGAGCACGTGGCGTGGGGCAGTGATGTGAGTTGGGGGCGGAGAGCCCACGCAGGCCTGGTTCAGGGCCGGGCGTGGCTGCAGCCCTGCCAGCCCAGCGGGCAGGTGCCGGGATGTCCCTGTGCATGCGATGACTTCATTATGGAGCCTTTCATTGACTTGGCTGCACTGTGCTGATGAACTGAGACTGGGGACAAGAGCACATAATTGAGGGAAATAAATTCCCATCACAGGCCGGGCTGCAGCCAGGAGTGTGCGTCCTCTAGGCGTGTGTGTGGTGGCAGGGGGAGGGGGTTCCAGTGTTTTCTCAGGTGCATCTCCCCTTCTTTCCTTCCCTTCCAGACCTTCACAAGCACTGGGCGCAGGGGGAGGAAGAAGTGTGCCTCATCTCCGCAGTGCTGCCTCTGTTTCCCCCGCTTGGAGCTGCTTTTCCAGAAGCAAGCCTCTGGTGTCCGCACCTTGCCCTCTTTTCCGCCACACGGAGGAGCAGGAACCTGCCGGGGCCTCCCTCGTTCCCCTCATGCACCTGTTCATTCTCTCATTCATTCCATTTCCCTTTGTTTGTTCACCTTCAGTTCTGTCTGTGCTCTCGGCTTAGCTCTCTATGAAGGCAGGGAAGGGGAGCACTGTTACTACAGGACTTAATTGAAATAGCATTTCATTCATCTCGGAAATGAGGAAGGGGAGGGGGCGGGGCAGGGTTTTCGGGGCAGTCTACTTGCCTCTCATTCGACACAGAGCCAGGCCTGAAGATACCAATGCCACAAATGCATAGCAAGATCTTAAGAATTTAGGAACCAGAGTCATTTGCATAAAACTAAACCAAAAACCGCACAACCAGCCACATGGTTTAACGACCTCTAAGCCAATGTCCTGCTGCGGTGCATTTTCTAAGAACGGGGATATCAGCTGCTCTGGTCACCAGAGCATCTGAGGTCAGTCATTATTAGTTGTTTACAGCAAAGGGACACCCACCCCCCCACCACCACTCCTGAGCCCCAGTGTGTTTTGGGCCTTAAAATACATTTCCTGGAATGTGAGGTCTGTGTGCTGTGTGCTGGGGGTGCATGTGATGGTTGGGCGAGGGAGGCAGGTTGCCTCAGTTACAAAGAAACATGGGCGGTGTGAAGGCAGAGTAGAAAAGAAATGGAGAGCCCTCACTTGACACCCTCTGACCTCAGCCATTGGAGCTGAATGCTGGAGAGCCAGGACTGAAATTGCAGTCACTTTAGATTATTTGGAGCGAGGAGAGGCAGGGAAAAAAGGGTCTGTTGACTACAGGAAGCTGAATTCTTCCTCTGCTGAAAAGCTTATTAGTGGAAGGGGAAAAAGCAATTACTTGGCTTTTGCTAGTTCTCTGTGGCTGGGATTCGGGGCTGTGACAGCAACCCTGTCAGCAGTGCCTTGGACCTCACCCTGATCCAGAATATCGATGATGAGCTCTGCCCCAAGCCATTTGGGAGCAGTACTTCTGGGATTCCCCCCTTTCCAGAAAAGAGCATGGAGGGGAGGAGTATGTGAGTGAGTGGGTGAGTGTGTGCGGATGTAGGAGAGGGGGAGAGAGAGCTGTGTCTTGTCCTTTCTTTAAATGTGATGCTTTTATTTGGGGCTTCATGTTGCCACTGGGCAGGAAGTTAACAGGGTACCAGGTGCCTGGAAACAGGATTGGCTGGTTTTGTTTTGTGTATCGTGGGGTTTGCTTTGGTTTTGGTGAGTTCATTTTTTATCCTTGCCATGCCATTTGTCTTAAACTGTAAAGAAAAATTAGGCATTGCTTTGAACAACTATGGTACCATTATTAGAATCCACCTGCCTCAACATCACCACCTTGATGGAGGGAAGATTCCCGCAGAGCCAGCACCCAGGGAGCAGGGTGTGAGGCTGCACCGCCCACACTGCCCATGGCTTCTGTCTTGTTTGACTGTGTAAGCGTCACCCCGAGCACTTCTTCCCTACACAGCTGATGGCCTTCATCCTCCTTTAGACACCCTCCTTCAGGTTTCCTCACTGTGTGGCTTTTTTTTTTTTTTTTTTTTTTTTTTAGACGGAGTCTCGCTCTGTCGCCCAGGCTGGATGGAGTGCAGTGGCGGGATCTCGGCTCACTGCAAGCTCCGTCTCCCGGGTTCACGCCATTCTCCTGCCTCAGCCTCCCAAGTAGCTGGGACTACAGGCGCCCGCCACCACGCCCGGCTAATTTTTTGTATTTTTTAGTAGAGACGGGGTTTCACCGTGTTAGCCAGGATGGTCTCGATCTCCTGACCTCATGATCTGCCTGCCTTGGCCTCCCAAAGTGCTGAGATTACAGGTGTGAGCCACTGTGCCTGGCCCCACTGTGTGGCTTTGGAGCCCTATCCTGCTCCAATCCCTGGTCTCCTAGTCTGTAAAATTGAGGTACTTGTGGTCAGCTCCCCCAAATACCTCAAAACACAGGTAGAACCTGCCGGTGACCAGGCTTTTGCGAACAGCCTTCATTCCTCCTTCCCAGATCTGCTGTCCTCATGTTTATGCTCTCTTTGTGTTTGGACTATTCTGCCTAGTTATCCTTTTTATATTTTCTAAAACACCTAAGAAATTTCTGCTTTTGCCATCCTAATTGTATCCAGCTAAATTTTACACAGGTAGATTTTTAATCCAATGTCCCTTTTATCTTTTCTTGCTTATATATCTCCATTCTTCAAGTTACCTGTCTTCAAGGCTGTTTTCTGTCTTAATTTCCATTCTCCTGGAACATTTCCTATTCTTTTTAACCTTTCAGCAAAGTTCTTTAGTAGTTGAGTCAACTCATAGGCTAGCTCTTCTTAACAGAAATTGATCCGGTTTTTTTCCTACCATAATATATATTTAATTTTAAGATATAACCTTACCTGGGTTTGTTTTTTGAAAGTTTTCATTGGTTGCCATCTAAATCTCCTTCCTCCGACCTCCTCCTATTTGAAGATTTTGCTTGGTAAGTGAAGAATCACTTACTTTATTCTTTCTAATCATGGGACGGTCTTATCTTCAGTGTTGCACTGCCCTTTGATTAGTTCATCTTCACACCTCTGGCTTGTTTTACCCTTCTTTGCTAAAATCTTGGCCTTACAAAGTGAAGCATAACCTTTCATTTGTTTCGAGTTTCCTTTCCTTATTCTCTCACTGTCCAGTTTCTGTATTTCACTTTGTGAAATGTTGCTGGCTGGGCATGGTGGCTCACACTTCTAATCCCAACACTTTGGGAGGCTGAGGCGGGAAGATTGCCTGAGCCGAGGAGGCTAAGGCTGCAGTGAGCTGAGATGGTGCCACTGCACTCCAGCCTGGGCAACAGGGCAAGACCTTGTCTCAAAAAAAGAAAAAAGAAAAAAAAAACAAAAAAACAAGTTGCTCACTTATGAAAGTTTGGGGACGTCTGAAGTAAGGATTTTTCTGTCAGCGGGTTTCTAGTGCTTCCGCCAACTGCAGTGTGTACACGGAAGGATCTCAGCATCCCAGATTATTTCTTTAAAATGTAATTGTGTGCTACAAATTTCTATAGATCCCTTATTTCTGTGTCAAGTACCAACTCTTTGTCACTAAACTGCACCTTCTGCCCGATCCCTGATGACTTTGTCATCTCATGGCAACATTTTCTTTCTCTTAGGTTTCATGTATTTGTTGTTTTCGAATATTCCCACCACTAAACAGGATGGGGTGTGAGTCTAGAATTTAAATTACTTTTGTTCAAGTGTTTGTCTTGATGACTATCACTGTGTGTTTTTGGGCCTTGAGAGATATTGCTGTATACATTTGTGGAATGGAATGTATTGCTTTTCAAGGGTTGCTAGCCTGTTCTTAGGTCTGAGAAACACCTCACAGGAGGAAAAGCTAAATAGATACACAGCGAGTCCTGAGGCTGAGTCTACAGGGCAGTTTAGTAGCTGTGGGAGATTTGAGGAGCGCTGCTGTAGCTAAAATCATTGTGAAAGGGATGTGGGGGTGGCATTTTGTTAAACCCTAGCAAAAGACCGTTTCATTGTACAGGATCCAAACTTTAAAAAAACAGAGGCTTTGGATCCAACTACTGGCATCACTTTCTAAGTTTCTAAAGAGGAGGAGGATCCAATATTCTTTCTCCCCTTGGACACAGAATAGCTGTACAAGGTGCCTATTAAAAATGACAAGTTAGCAATTCCATCTGCTTTTTCCCCCATTAATGGAGGAAAGCTCTTGAACGTAAACCTTTGGATTTTCTCTGTACCTCAGCTTCCTGCTTCACTTTCTTTGCAGTTTCCCAGGAAATGTCAACTGAAACATGTTGCTTCTGTTGCCTGTTTGTTTCAAACTGATGCATGCTTGGGGACTGGATGGTTTTTGGAGAGTAGCCCAGTTTTTGACTTTCCACGTGTAGACGCACCTTGAAATGTCTTGGGTCTGGCTTCTGGCAGAGTTAGGCTCTTCTCCGCTGGCACCAGGGAACTCGTGGTAGGCACCTGAAGGCTCCCCACGATGCTTGCAGTTGTAAGGGTCTTTTCTTGGCCACTCCGGGTGTTCACACGTTTCTAGCATTGCATTCTTGAATGTGCAACCTGTAAATACGTAGTGACCTTTGTATATGCTTGGGTCTGGCCAAGGGAGAGCAGATTTAGCTGGTGTTTTTCTGGGTGCAGCATTGCCTCAAGCTGGCCTGATTTCTGTTCCCCAGATTTGGTTTGGAAAGTGTAAGCCTTTTGTTTGTGCTTTGTTTTTATGAATCAGCTTATTTTACCAGCTGTGCATATTAGTGGCTTATGATCATGCAAAACAAAGCTCATTGACAGTCAGTTCCTCATTCTGCTGTCCACTGGTGGGAGTAAACTCATATTTCTGCCTGAGTTCTGTGCTTCGCAAGGGTGAAGCTGTTTTCTGAATAGGTTAGAGATTCTTCAGACGCTGTGGGCTTCAGAGTAAGGTGGCAAACAGGGAATCCAAGTCCCTCATTTGTATCCTCATGTGACTCAGACCTCTGGAGTCATGGTTTTATTTTTCTCTGTTGTGTGCCATTTGTTTCGATGGTCAGACACAAAATGTTTACCTCTTTCTTTTTCTCTTTGCTTTTTTGCTTCTCTTTGCCCCAAATAGTCCGTCATTCCCATTGGTATTGTCAAACTGTGTCTCCCCAGCATTGCAAATGCCTTGGGCCTGCATGGCCGCCCCTCCATCTCTCCTTCCCTGGCTGTCGTTCTTGTATAGATTGCATCCATCACCGTTGACGCTCCTGTTACGAGAGCCATCCCACAAGGTTTCACTTATGCCCATTAGGTTCTAATCACCATCATTTAATATCAGTTCTGGTACATCCTGTTCATTTCCCATACACCTTCATTTGTATATAGATGCTTAAGTACACTTACAGGCCCTCCTTGACTTTTTTTCATCCATATATTTCCAGTATTTTCCAATTAAAAATAAATAAATAAGGAAACGGATTTTTTTTTTTTGCATTAAGCATAAGATCTCTCTCTGACAAGCCAAGTCAGTTTTGATTCAGAAGGAGATACCAGTCTTCTTTAATGGAAACTGTTAAATTTTTTAATTTACTCTCTATCACTCATGTGTGTTTATCTGTCTTGTCTTCTCCCCTCCCAGCATGGAAACCTGGCAGTGTTTATTTCCGGCAGGTTGTTATTGAAAGACAGATGCTTGTAGGGACTGCTCAGCCTCACACCTGGAATGTTAAAAAGCTTTCAGGCAGGTCTGCTCTGTTGAAAAATGTCCCTTCCTACAGAGGAAGGGGACAGGAGGGAACGGGTACCCCATCAGGGAAGCTCCCCTTCTTCATCCCCCCCACATTGTCATGAACCCCCAATTCTGACCATAAATCTAGACACCCTAGATGATGCCTCTGAATCCACAAAATGGTTAATTCTGATGAGCAAATAAATACTCCATCGAGACCTTCTTCTATCAACTCCAGCTTTTTTTTGGGGGGGGTGGGGCTTTATCAAATTTTCTGTCTTTAAGACATTACTGTTTCCTCTCTCTCATCCTCCTCTCTTTCTCAGTAGCATACTGGGTTGGAATCATTTTTCTTGACTCCTTTGTTTTTAACGAGATGGGGGACACCCTTCTTGGTATCAAGGACCTTCTATTTTGCATGCCCCTTCTTTCTAGAACATTCCAGTTTGGTGTGAGGTTAAACTGTGTAAAATACTGTTTGAAAGAAAGGAGAAAAAGAGAAAGGAACTTGTCAAAATGCATTTGTTAGATCACGTTTTAAATGAAGTACAATTGAAGGTAGTTTTTGTCCAAAGAAAGGAAAAACCCCTGCAAATCCGCTGAGCTCCCAGAGAGCGCGCCTCCTTTGTCGTCGCGCTGACATTGAAGTGTAATTTTTCATGGTTATTTGGACTGGAAAATGGGGGGGGGAAGGGAGAGATGGGCCTGCGATTATTTCCCATAAATGACAACACAATCACATCACGCTCTGCTACAGACATGCTCGGGGAATTTGCCTTTTTTACATTTCATGTGTGAAAGTAACAGCAACAATCATGGCTCTGTAGAAATCCAAGGGAACTAATCCCTGCTGAATTCCGTTTACTTCAGAGTTCTGGGACATAGCTAGCTTTCTTACTTAGCGTGTATTCCGAGAGCGTTTCAGGGTTGGGTTTGTATTTTACAAACTGGAACTCACACCTTTCAGTTATTAAAAAAAAAAAAAATCTTCCTGTGAATAGCCACCAGGCGAGTCCGCGACATATTTCGTTCCGTTGTGCTTTGTCACCGCACATTTACTTTTATCCTTTCTGGATTTCTGCAGGGGGCAACCCAGGTGCTTTTGCTAAGAACACAGATAAATGGAACTTGTTGCAATACTGGCTCTAGGCGTTTCCTCCCTTTTTCTCCTCTCTTGACCCCCACCCACCCCCGTAATTCTTGTGCGGTTTTGACAAATTGTTCAAATGGCCAAGTGGCCTTGCCTGGGAGAGGAAAAATGGCAGGACCCGTCCCTCACCACACAACGGCAGCATTTTTCACTTCATGCTCTGGCGTTCTGTGCTGTTCCCACAGGAGGGACGGCTGAAAGGGGAAATTTTCTCGGGGAGGCCTTAATAGGCCCTGGCCACTTTGGACTCGTAACAGGCTCTCTCCTGTCAATGCTCAAGTTGGAGGTGAGGTAAAGTAAAAAGGCAAATGGAGAGGCTCCCCCAGGCTTGCATTCTTGTTGAGCTGGGCCATACTCTGCCCAGCAGGGGCCGAACACGCAGCTGCAGCCTGGCCCTCCCTTCCCAGGCTGCCTCTTGCCACACAATCCCCATTTTTCTTGTTTCTGTAAACAGTGGTAAGATCTTCAAATATACAAAAGCATAAATGGTCTCTATTCTCCAATTAGTCATTTTTAATAATACCCAGAGTTGCTTTCAGAGTGTTGATTCTTAGAGCCTGATGCCAAAAAACAGGGATGGTGGTAATGGGGGACAGGAACGGGGTCAGGGTGGGGGCGGTAAGGAGGCTGAATTCCTTCAGTGTGGGGTTTTCCTGCAGGGCCTCCCTGCTGCAACCCCCTTGGAAGCTGGCAGCTCTCCACCACCTTTCAAGCTGTCCAGAAACTCCAGGCGCTGTGGCCCCAGGTGTATTTGGTAAATGACCATCTAGTGGTAAAAAGAATTCTTGTGGTAAAATGATTACTTAAAGGATCCATGTGAAAAAGAGTTTGTAGGTCCAGGCATAGTGGATCACATCTGTAATCCCAACACTTTGAGAGGCCAAGGCAAGAGGATCACTTGAGCTGGGGAGTTTGAGACCAGCCTGGGCAACACAGCGAGACCCCTATCTCTAGAATTTTTTTTTTTAATTATTTGGGGATGGTGGAGTGCACCTGTAGTTCTGCTACTCAGGAGGTCAAGGAAGGAGGATCACTTGAGGCCAGGAGTTCAAGACCAGCCTGGGCAACATAGTGAGACCCCATCCCTACTAAAAATACAAAAATTATCTAGGCGTGGTGGCATGTGCCTGTAGTCCAAGCTACTCAGGAGGATCGCTTGAGCCCAGGAGTTTGAGGCTACAGTAAGTGATGATTGCACCACTGCACTCCAGCCTGGGTGACGAAGAAAGACCCCGTCTCAAAAAAAAAAAAAAAAAAAAAATCATCATTGGAGCCAGGGCGCATGTCTGAGTTTTCCATGACCCCAGTTTCTTTCTGACCCCATCTTCTCCACTTTTAGAGGGCTGAAATCTGTTTGTGTCGTTGTCATCTTTGAGAAGGCAGTTTTGTTTAAAACAAGCTAGCAGTTTGTTAGCAGTTTGGCCACTTTGTTTTGGTAAGCCACCAGGGTGGGAAAATTACCTGTAGGAGCATTAGGCTGACCTCTGACTGTTTAGTCCAGCAGGTGGAGAGAGGTCTTTCACATGGCAGAGAGATTAAGTGGGTGAGAAAATGGAAAAGGATGAAGGCAATGGCGCCCCTGGAGGGAGACCTGCCTCTGTTTTTCCCACACTCTGTCCCATTGACTTGGTGCACTTCGGTCCTACTGAAGAGGCAGCTTCTAGAGGCCCGCAGGAGTGCGGGAGGCCCATTTGCTTATCATACACGCAGAGAGCAAATGGGCATGAATGTCTCGAGCTTTATTCATGCGCTGGAGTTTGCCCATTGGAAAAGAAATGACATCCTGAGAAGGTGGGAAAATATTACACTTCTGATGAGTAAATAGATGCTCCAGCTGTAGAGCCCCTGCCTGCTTTCTCCTGCCCCCACCCTCCCACACACATCTGCACTCAGTCTTCACCCCTTCGAGGTTTCCTGCCTGGACTACCATAGGGTTAGTTAGCTCAATATGTCCCACTCATCAGTGCTGGTTTGGATCCCAGGCCCTTCCTCTTGTGATCTGGCGTTTTCCTCAGTAAATGTATATACTCTGCTGAGAAGTAGAAGATGGAATGGGCAAAGTTGGTTGGTGTTTTTTTTTTAATTTAGATGATTATCCACAGAGGACTTCCATGGAGATTGGCAAATTCCCTTTTCCGTGTACATACATGAGAACATGCAGTCACCTTTACTAAGATGCTGAGTGTACGATGTGTGATGAGAACAATTTGTATTTGTGGTAAGCAAAAACCACCTTGATTTAAGG
The DNA here is from genome assembly GCF_000001405.40 of Homo sapiens. Classification (NCBI taxonomy): domain Eukaryota; kingdom Metazoa; phylum Chordata; class Mammalia; order Primates; family Hominidae; genus Homo; species Homo sapiens. The sequence goes on along the minus strand of NC_000016.10, from coordinate 72,836,490 downwards.
GAAAATTCCCGAGGCAGGGCATTGTTACCCAGAAGACCTAATCGCTTGGAAGTTACCTCTCGGGCATCTAGCCAGGTTGTCAGGGCTGGAAGAACACCATGGAATAAAACCAGGGAGTAAATATTTGAGATGTGTCTGGGATGTTGCAGAGTAGGTTGCTACATTCTGGGTCTGGCTGTCACGGTACAGGTAGGATATAGCTTGGGGCTCATGGAGAGTCACTGGCAGGACTTGTGGTCACTATTCGATGAGACTCCACTTGCTCGAAAGTCACAGAGGGAGAATGGCATAGGGAGTGGCCCACCTCCATCGGTGTAGCCACAAAGATTACCACCACTAGCCTCTTCCTTCCTGGCTTAGAGAGAGAAGACGGGAGTAGAAGTAACAAGCTGGGAGCAACACAACTGCCCGTCCACCAGCATTGCAGATTGTGTTCCGTTAAAAGTTTCTATTGTAGCAGAATTATAACGCACTGGATTTTATTTGAAATAAGTGGTCTAGGCCTTAGTAGTCATCTTTTATATTGTGGGATTTGATTTGACCTGTATTTGCAAAATAAAGCCTGCATATTCTGTAGAATATTTGCAGCCAGTAGAGGTTTCCCATTGATAACAAAATGCCAAGAGGATTGGACACGCTAGAGTGTTCTGCCCTCGTTTTCCAGTTGTGCCAGCCAAGGCTTAAAGAAGACAAGTGATTGGTCAGGGTATACAATGAGTCTCAGGATGCCGCACCTACACAGGAGTTAGAGGAACGAGAGCGAGGCACATCCCCGAGTCCTTCCTTCCACCCACCACAGAGACACCAGCAAACGCCACTTGTAGCTGCCATCCTCCGTGTCAGTCTTGATGGTCAGAGTGTACCCCGCCTTTCCCACCTGCTTCAGTGGTCGTCCTTGGGTTAATTAGGTTGAAAATGGAGAAAGGAAAAGCTTTAACTCTATCTTCAAAGTAAGCAGATAGGTTATTTTGTTTTTCAAAGAAGAGGTCCTATATACAATTAAAACTTGTTTCTGGTAAACCTCATTCCAGGAAAGATGAGCTTTTAACAAAAGGCTTTTGACAGCTGCAGGCTATTTCATTTTTTTTAATGCCGAATGAAAAATCAATACATTTTTCTGGGTTATACATATTCAGAACAGGCCTGATATTTCCATTATAATGGAAAGTGGGTGTCTGTGCACATCTCGCCTGTCAGAGCTGCACCGCCGCATTTTCCAAGCCACTGCTAAATATTTCAAACCTGATTTGATTGTGGTTCATGACAGCTAATGTTTCTCAGCTCTTGAGCCTGCCGACAGGCAAACGCACTTTATTTCACCCCCACCCTCAAACATCCCACCCTCCAAAGAAAAAGGAAAGAACAATTTCATTCTTCGGGGATCACAGATTGGTGTATTATTTAAGTAACATGATCATGTGAGAGCCTCGGGTACAGATACCCTGATTCTTAGGAGAATTTCCAAATTTCTGTCACACTGAGGCACTATGGGGGCTTTGTCAGGTTTGGGGAAGGTTTGAATTAATCTGCATTATCCTGTTAAGAGTTAGGAACAGAGGGACTAGTCTTAATCATTGATTGACTCCCCTTCCTTCAAGCTTATAAGTGATTCGTAGAATACCCGCCGTGGACACGTCACTTGGCCCCCATTATTTGGGAAAATAGTACCTTTTTTTTTTTCTTTTTTAAACAGCTAGAACATTTTCTTGGGTGATGCGTTTGGGGAGTGCATACAGTGAGGTTGCGGGGTTGAATGCTGGCTTTGTGGTGATGCCACCTCTATTTTTGGCTTCTGCCTGGTGCTGCTTTCGCGAACCAATTTCCAGGTTGTTCATAAGATTGGTGCAAATTCCCATGGGGCTGCCAGTTGGCATGCTCTCCTCCTTCAGGAGCAGATTTCACCACCGATGGGGGAATTGTGCAGTCACCTTTACCAAGATGCTAAGTATAAGGTATATTAAGAGATCAATTTGCATTTGTGGTCAGCAAAACCACTTTGATTGAAGGGAAATTTTCTGGGACTGGGGTATCATCCCCTTAACTGAAGCTGTCCTAGGAAGCTTTCCCCTTTAGAAGGTATTTATCTGCTGGAATTCTTGCACTTCAGGGCTCTGCACTTAGTCAGGAAGCCTGAGTGATGAGCAGGCTGGATTTTGCCAGGCACTAGTAAGTAAGTGCTATCTGGGAGAAGCAGTTGTAAAAAGGAGGTGGTGATGGAAAGAGTTTTGTTTTGTTTTGTTTTTGAGACAGGGTCTCACTCTGTTGCCCAGGCTAGAGTGCAGTGATGCAGTCATGGCTCACTGCAGCCTCAACTGCCTGGGCTCAAGTAATCCTCCCACCTCAGCCTCCCAAGTTAGCTACGACTACAAGCATGTGCCATCACACCCAGCTAATTTTTGCATTTTTTGTAGAGATGGAGTCTCACTCTCTTGCCCAGGTTGGTCTCAAACTCCTGAGTTCAAGCAATCCACCTACCTCGGCCTCTCAAAGTGCTGGGATTTACAGACATGAGCCACCATGCCCAGCCAAAGAGGTTTTTTAAAGGCCTTCAGTCACTGTTGAACATGGAAATGAAAGGCAGAAGGGACCCTAGGAAGACACTGCAGTTTTCCAGTATTTGCTTTTATTTCCCTAACTCTTTAACATGAAAACACACACAGGAGGGGGTGCTCCAGTTTGAGGCTACTGTGGGCTTCCGTATGGGTTTTAGAGACACCTTCTCTGGTGTCTTCTAAAACACAGAGCTGTCTGGGAGGCATTGGGCCTGCTACCTCCTGCCCAGAACCAGGGCGGGACTAGGGGAGTGGGGATGACCTTCTCTCCCAGGTCCTGGCCACGCCCTTGGGAAAGCATTCCTGGTGTGCTCTGGTTGGGATTGGAAATACCATTAAATGCTTGAAGGAGAAGATGGTTTTGATTTGTCTGTTTCAGCCTTAAAAATGGCACAGTGGCTGTTATGTGTCTTGGTCTCTTTTTCTGTAGGAAAGACAGGATTTTCCAGATAAAACCGATCATCAGTCCATCAGGTCTTCACTTGTTCCCACCATCTGTCAGTAGCTAATATTATAGGGGAAAAAAATCTGCAGCCTCTGTAATAATGACCCAGCCAGTTACCAGTGACTTCGCAGAAGAGGGGGGAATGCAATCCATGATCTGTGGGGGGAAAAGCAAAAAACCTCCCCTCCATTCTCCAGCACGTGTGTATCAAATCTACATTCCTAAAGAGAACAAGGGCTAGATAACAGCCCTAGGAGCTTAGCGTGTGGACGCAGATCTCTGTTTCAAAGCGGGATGCTATTTTGCCCCTGGTTCCCACGTGTTTCCAGGGCCGGGAGACCAAGCCCTTCCCCAGGCCTGGCTCTTGGTAAGCAGCTTGCTTTATGCTTTCGGAACCAATAAAACACACCCTGCCTGCAAAGCATCGTGGGCCTGAGCTGTCCAGACAAATTTTCAGTTTGCATCTCTGTTTTTTAATCATTTCTCTACCTTTATTGGTATTCAGAGCTCACAGTTTTCCGGTTACTGTCAGCCTGGGCTTTCATCCATTTTAAAGAGCTATTTTTCCTCTTGCTGTTGATGATGATGGTATAAAGACAGATGGTGTAACTGCTTATGAATGTCCTATTTTATTTCTCCAGGACCAGACAGTTCACTTGAAGACATATATTATTTCCACATGCTCAGGTTAGGCGGTCCAGACTCCTCTGCCTCCTGCAGCCAGCTGCCCTTCCGGGCCTCGCCATGCGGAGGGCGACACCTGTAGGTCCTGGATGGAACTGCAGGGATGAGCTGGCTGGGCTGAATGGGACCTGCTTTTTAGGTGGGGGTGGGGGACTGAGGACACTGATCCCCTTGAAAGGGAGCTGGCTTATCCAGGATTTTCGTAATCATTTCTTCTTCTACCACGCATAGAACAGCCTTTTAGTGAATGAATCACAAATGATAATATTAAACCTAGGAACTCAAGAAGAGGACTTGATTTGTAAATCTTTTTAAAAAAAGAGATAAGCAAAATAAGTTCTTGAAATAACCTCTTTCGTTGATCCTCTCATCGGAACTCAGCTGCCTTCATTTTCTGCTTGCAGTAGGGCAGGGAGGGAAGAAAGCAAAAGCCCAAGTGGGCTCACAGAATGAGAGCTCCAGGAATATTCACAAAGCAACATGCAGTTTCCATGCTTGATGCATCAATGATCTGCTTATACATTACAGTCTCTAGTTTCTCAACAGATTTGTTTGGTAAGGCTCAAAGAATTGGGGTCAGTGTTGGGTGACTGTGAGTTTTTAGTGCTCTGCTGTGATAGCTGCAGGCTGTATAATGTGCTGGCTTGGAGATGGCCCCCCAGTGGGTAAATCCCTTCCCATGTCTGCTGAGCAGCACCTTCAGACACTGCACATCACCATCTCAGGGTGTTCTGTAGTTTGTAGGTATCAGACTGTCTTCATCTAAGGTGGTCATATGTATGCACTAGAGATGAGAGGCCATTGAGCCATCTCTTTGCCTAATCAAATTTGATTATCCCATTTATGCTGGAGATTGCAAATTTTTTGTGTGTGAAAAATCAGACCTTGGCGATGACCTTGGGCAGTAGGATATAAATAACTCCTACAAGCTTAGTGTTCCAATAATGGAACAATAGGCATAAATGTATCAACACTACAGATATTTTGTATCACAGCATGTATTGGGACAAATAAGGGTCCTTTAAGGGACCTAGCTCATCTGGGTAGACCGAATGCAATAATATTCATTGACCGCACGCTGGTATCACCATTCAAAGATGAATTTTATCATTATAGTGTTGAACAATTTTATTGAAATCCTAAAAATGTGCACAGAACGTCCCACCTGGACATAATGAAGATAGTTCCTGTGTCACGCTGTGTAATTTGTTATTACTCTACTGACACCTATACATGTTTACTCTACTAAATGATGTATGGTGTCAATGTGGGGCTCTATATCTGATTGACTTCAAGCTGTGGTTGCCTGATTTTTCTCTGTTTGAACTAAGGGTAGGGTAGGGAAACTTGATGTTGACTTTATTGTGCAGTGAGACAAAGAAGGAGACAGAGAAATTATATGTGGAATCCTGAGTTGGAGATGAAAATAAACAGTACCGTATTTCACCTGTATTCCCAGTGACTGCCTCATAAACTCCCTCTTGGTGGTAAGGAAGAAAGAACGTTCCGTGACACTAGTTCAGTTTTCCAGACCTTGGACCTCCATCATCTCTTGAGTCAAGACAATCTGATTCTAAATAGACATCTTCTTCCTCAGTGTTTTAGAAACCCTTTGAGACCAATTTACTTTGTACTCCTGTTACTTCCTTCGTGAGATACATTTAGAGGCTGTTTTCTAGACAGTCAGAAGGCATGACATTTAGAAAAATGGAAAAGTAGCATTGGGGTAGAGGCTGTTTTCTAGAGGGTCAGAAGGCATGATACTTTAAAATACTGAAAAGTTGAATTGGGGTTGGACAGACCTCTGGCGGTGCTGGATAGAGGCCTGATCCAGTGTTCTAAGCCAGACCCAGTACTTCCTTGCTGGGGTCTGGTCTGCTGACAGATGTGGGCATCCTTGCCCTCACGCCTGTGTACCTGAGAAAATGTGCTCTTCACAGCCTCCTAATAATTTCATCTTTATTAAAATTATTTCACCTTGGTTTGTCCACTTTATTCATTCCCTTAGCCCACTCTTACTGAATGCATGTTTTGGATAATGTTTCGGAGGGCCAGGAAAGCAAGAGAGAAGTGTCTCCCCTTCTTTCCCTCAGCATCTAGAGTATCTTATTCTCTTCTTCCCCACTTGGCTGAACGACATTTGACTTCATAAGCAGCCTAGCGTTGGCAGCCGTCATTCTGCCTTCACTGTAGCACTGTGTACTGAACTGGAGAGAGGTTTCCTGCATTAGTTTTAAACCCGTAGTGAGTGAAGGATGGAATTGCTTCAAAAAGAAAGTGTACGACTCTGTTACAAATTTTTATCCCTTACTCTACAAATCTCACTTCCCACCACTGCCTCCTGGCATGTTCACAAGATACCATTTGGTTTCTGGAACTCTTCAAACTGATGAACTCATATCACTGATATTCTGTGACTCTTCGCAACCTGCATGACTTCCAACAATTCCCACACACTCTGGCACATGCATAGGCACTGTGAGCCCTGTGAGGGGTCAGTGACTGGGGCTGGTCTAGGCCAGTACCAGGAGGCTTTGGGAATGGAGCTAGGCATGAAGTGAACAGGTGGCCATGTTTTGCATTTTCAAGTGTAAAAGACTTGCATGCAACTTCAGGGATTCAGGTGGAGTTACTGCTTCAACCAGGATTGGTTTTTCAGTTAGAACTACTCAAGCGAAGCATTCAGAATCTATCTGGAAATACCTAATGGCCACACATCTGGAGCGAGTCACAACCTCATACCAACTGTTTACCCAGAAGGAAAGTCCCCACTGCTTACCCAGACCTCAGTATATCCTTAGCACCGTCAGTCTCCCAGGGGCCTCTGGAAAGAGAAGGGGGACGAGTCATTGGTGTCTGTTCTGTCGTTGGCAGTTGTTTGCAACAGAGGCCAAAAGTCCTTCATCTTCTTTTTATTTTTAACCCTTGACATGTTTTTCTTCTGTTTCAGAAGAAGCCATTGAAGATGTTGAAGGACCCAGTGAAACAGCTGCTGATCCAGAGGAGCTTGCTAAGGACCAAGAGGGCGGAGGTGAGAAAGACCAGGGCAAGTGGACAGGTAGTGTGTGTGGCTGTCCTTGAGCCTTCTCATCTTTCCTTCCCTGGAAGAATGGAGCTAACAAGTCAGGGAGCGGATACATCCTTAGTCTGCCCAGAAAAAGGATGAGTGGGAGGGAGATTTCGTTTGCTTCTTTGAGCAGTCACCTTTATTCTTCTTTATTATACTACATTATACTGTAGTTTTTAATGGTTAAGCTTTTTAAGTGGCACCAAAGCCAGCTTGCTTATTGAGTATCCAGGTAAGTGCCAAGCTGTGTGCAAGGGCATCTGGGTGTTGGTCACATCTCTTTGGTGGCTCTTCACCAAAATGCCCTTGATGTCATTCTTCCTCTATTGAAGGTCCAGTCGCTGGTCCCACCTGCTCCCAAGGCCAGTGGAGAGATTTGTCATGTGGAACTTGATCAGGGTCACCCCTGATTCTTAGCCTCAAGATTCTCTAAGGGTCAGGCACAGTGGCTCATGTAATCTCAATACTTTGGGAGGCTGAGGTGGGAGGATCACTTGAGCCCAGGAATTCAAGACCTGCCTGGGCAACATAGCGAGTCCCTGTCTCTACTAAAATTCAAAAAAAAAAAAAAAATGCTGGGTGTGGTGGCACACACCTGTAGTCCCAGTTACTCGGGGGGCTGAGGTGGGAGAACCACTTGAACCCTCAACTGGAGGTTGAGGCTGCAGTGAGCCCTAATCATGCCAGCCACTGCACTCCAGCCTGCGCGACAGAGTGAGACTCTATCTCGGGGAAAAAAAAAAAAGATTCCCAGCTGAGAGTAATGGCTCACGCCTGTAATCCCAGCACTTTGGGAGGCTGAGGTCGGCAGATTGCTTAAGCTCAGGAGTTCGAGACCAGCCTGGGCAACGTGGTGAGACACTGTCTCTACAAAAAATTAGGCATTGTGGTGCACGCTGGTAGTACCAGCTGCTTGGGGGACTGAGGTGGGAGGAATGCTTGAGCCAGGGAGGTCGAAGCTGCAGTGAGCTAAGATCATGCCATAACACTCCAGCCTGGGTGACCAAAAAATAAAAATAAAATAAAAATAAAAAATTACTAAGGGAGTCAGCAGTGAAGGGTGGTCTTTGTCCTGCATTTGGGGGCCTGGGCAGGGCCCTGCACAGGTGGTGCCTGCCCTGCATATTCTTCCTGTCCTCCCCCTCCCCCAGGGTGAGCACTCATGTGCTGAAATCCACCCAAAGGGGAGACAAGCAGTGCAGCCAGGCAGGGGGACATCTTACCCAAAGCAGAAGACATTGAAGAAGCCAAGACAGGAAGTGCTATTTCTGGAAAAACTGGTGTTGAGAGAAGGAGAACGGCCATTTCTCAAGATGATAAGCTTTCTATGTTGAGGGGAAGAAGAGCTGAGACTAAAAAAGCTTAGGGTTTTTGAGGAGGAGCAAAGTCATTTCAGAGAAGACTTAGGGGACAGTTAAGCCTTCTAGAAAATAATAAGAGGAAATGATGTGACGGGCAACAAAAATGATTTTATTTGGTCAACCTAATTCTTACTACCATTATTAATATTACAATACTTTTGTTTTTGAGAAAATGTTTACTTTCTGGAGTCCGTATTCGTTGGGCCTTTGTTACTTTTCCAGGCATGACTGTTCTTAAATCATGTTCGGTGTTGGACTTCACTATTTAAACAAGATACAGAATCTTGGAGAGAGGCCAGAAGAGAGCAATGAAAATGACTGAAGGGCTGAGAAATATTGCCTTTGAGAGGAGGCTGAAGAAATGGGTCATTCAGCCTAGAAAAGAGAAATTAGAGAGGTAGTACAATAGTTCCCAGATATCGGGAGAGATACGCAGGGCGGGTGATGTACCACTGTTCAGTGTTTCCTGGGAGACACAGAGAGGGCCATACTGCAGCCGAATGAATGGGCAGCACACCAGGTGGATTCTACTGTCCACTGTGCTTAGCATTCCCCTTCAGACTGGCCTGTGTGGTGTCCAGAAGCCTAAACTCCAGAAAACAATGAGGGTCAAACACCCTAGGCGATGTGTAAGGTAGGACCGAGGAGTGGAGGATGGACATCTGTGCTCAAAGGAAGGCCCTGAATGTAGTGGGGGACGTATCCTCCTGTGGGGCTTTGCCTGGACCAAGATCCCAGTTTTGCCTCAACGTTGAATGAGAGCTAAACAAATGGTTCACACGGCAATTAAACAGATCGCCAGGTGAGCTGGGGAAAAGGATTTCACAAACACAGTTTGAAGACTGGGTGACCTTCTGAGCCATCTGTCCTTTGTTGTCACGATTTGGGTGCTTGATTTCTAATCCTGGCTCTGCCACTCATTAGCTGTGTGACCCCACTCAAGGTACCTTGACCTTTCTGTGCCTCATTTTCCTCAGATGAGATGAAGATTAAAAATAGTACCTATTTCTGTAGGATTGCTACGAGGATTATTTGACTATGGGAAGCTCCGAACAGTGCTTGGCATGTTGTAAGCTCTATGTAAGTTGTTTGTTTGTTTAATGGTTTAGTGATATATAAGATGAGGAAAACTGGTAGCAGTTTCTCTTTGGGTCCTCTGTTGCAAGGCAGCATGTGGCTCCTGGGAATTTTGAGCTGAGGGAGAAGCAACATACAAGCATTTAATGGGATCGTGCGAATGATGTTTGGTGCGTATGTTTCGTGCATTTTGTGTGCTAAGGGCACTACGGAAATAATAAACAGGAGCCACCACTTGCAAAGTCCCTACTCTATGTGCTGCCTTATGCTAGCCACTCTATATGTGCCTCTCTAATCCTTCCAACCAGTTTAGGGCAGCCTTTGTTGAGAGCAGTTCAATTAAATCTTACTCAGAGTGTTTCTGATTCATTGGGAGTGTGTCTTCACAGCACTAGTGGACATGCTAGGCAATCAGGAGACTACTAAAAGACGTAAAATGAGCACCATAAAAAATGAATGTCCTTAATAAGGTTCCACTTTCTCATGCATTCATTCAAGCACCAGGCCTACTTAATCTTTACTTCCAAAAGACAGAGAGAAAATGAATGAATGAGTGATTGAATGAATAACTCAGAGATGCACCTTGCCAGCTGCACAATAGTAAAGAGAGAAGGGAAAATTCTTTCCCGACTCCTGCAAATGATCCTCTTTTGATCCGAAGCATAATTTTGTCTATAGTATCTGAGTGTGTAATGACAGGCTTTATTAAGGTACTTGGGCCGATTTGATCTTGGAATCGATACAGGTGCCAGCAACCTCCTCTGAGCTTTCTTCTGGATCCTTATTATTTTATATATATTTTTAAAACTACGTTTGTTCTATTCTCTCCCTAAATTGAGCTGTTCCTATCTGATTACATGTGACGGGGAATGCTTCCTCCTGGCAAGTAAATAAATAGTGATTTCACAATCTGTTATGTTGATTAGTGGCTGTTCATGATGCAGATTAATAATATTTCAGATGGGCCTGGATAATTGGCATTTTCTCAGCTACTGATTTTGTAGTTTTGGGGTTTGTGCAGGAATGGGTACTCTGTACTGAACACTTTCAGCTATTTATTTCTACATTTGGAGTGGGCCTCCTGGTTTCCTTTTTGGGGGTTCCTCTTTGGGATTCTTTTATTCAGATGTCAGGTCTTTTACCCTGGGTGGCAGCACAGCAAGCAAGATAGTGATCTGAACTGAGGTTGGGTCAATTCCACGATCAATGGCTGAGTCCCTACCCCATGCGAGGCACTGGGCAGAGTTCCACTGATCACAAATTCAGTGAGATTATAGGGCCTGCCTTCAGGGAATCTAACATTCTTCTGGGGATTTCAGGAACGCCCGTAGTCGTAAGACCGATATTACTATAGATCAGTGCTGTCGAATGGAACTTTTGGTATGGATAGAAATGTTCTGCATCTGAACTGAACAATACCATAGTCATTTACCACATATGGCTATTGAGCCTGCAAAGTGTGGCTGGTACCACTGAGGAATTGAACTTTAAATTGTATTTAATTTTAATGAATTTAGATTTAAGTAGCCACATGTGCAGCTATAGATACCCCAAAGGAACAAAACTAACCCTGAAAGAATGCATCATAGGTACAGCAACTTTCTGGTAATTATAACGGCTGCATAAAGCTCTAACCCTGTGCCAGGCACCATTCTAGAGCTTCACACCTGTCCTTCCCAGCAGGCATGCCATGAATTGCTCACAGGTACACAGGTCCTGCTTCATCTGTTTATCCCAATTTGCCATCATTTTCTGTGTGTGCCATGATGTGAAAAAAAGGAAGGTAAGAATCTCTAGCACATCGCCAAAAGGTATACAGACAGGTTCAGATTTACACACTGGCTTTTGCACTTATTCTAACTTAGGACAGAGCCCAAGCTCTTACCAATATACCATCTCTCAGAGAAGGATCATTTTCAGTTTGATCATTAGATCTAGTTTTCATCTATGTCTAAGTATAAGGAGTAGCAGTCTCCTGACATTGTACAGTGATCATAGTAACACGATAACCACCAGGATGTTCAAAATGAACTGGATTATCAACCATGGATATATGTCTTGTAAGGAGCTGGCGTTGTGCTCAGTCTGAAAGCGGGATGGTGATGTGGAAAGACTCTAGATTTGGAGTCAGGAAGCCCACCAGCCAGCAGATGACCTTGATTGAGGCACTTGGCCTCTTTCGGCTCAGGTACCTCCTCTGTGAAACATGGACAGGGGATATCCACTAGTCCCAACCGCCTGAGAGTTCCAAGAGGGTGAGTGGTAGCACATGAACAGGCCCTTGCGGGCACATCTTGTCAAGGAAAGTGTGATGTACTCCTGTGGGCCAGTGAAGGGTACAGGAAGGTTCTTTGTTCTCTTCCCTAATGCACAGCCATTGCCACTGTCCAACTTTGTGGTTTTCTCTTTTGAAACATGAAAATGACCCTTGTTCTCTTTTACCAGAATAGATTTGAATGTGTGTATTCTCGAATGAAGAGCCCCCCGTGTCAGCAACTGAGCAATGATTAATGCAGTGATTATCCAATTAATCATTATTTGCAATAAGTTAAGTGATATACAATTAATGTGATGCTTTATCACCAATAATTAGGGGAAAAATTGAACTCTTGGCAAAGAATCATAGCAAGATGGTTATTTAATTCCTGTAGTCGTCATGGTTTCCAGCCACAGAGTACCAGGCTGAGTCTAGTTAAGGTAATTTGGGACGAGATGACCAGAGGGTATTGGTGCTTTTGAAAAATGCGGGTTGGAGGGGAAGCAGGGAAATAGCTCAACTTGAAATGACACCACAATAATGCTTCAAAAATCCCTGACGTTCATATTTTTGTAAATTTTTGAGTTAGAATGGTAGTTTGAGTGTTTTCATTTTTCTAAAGGATTGGCCTGAAGGGATTTTACTTTATTAATTTTTTTAAATCTATGATGCTCACCTAACACAGCAATTAGTGCAGTGGAGCGTCCCTGATTTGAATCTATAGAAGATTGCTATTAAAGGAAGTATTAATGGGCTGGCAAGGTCTGGGTGACTGTTAGGGAAAAGTACGTTTATGGAATATGGTGCTGGCAGGCATGATTCCAATCGGATTTGACATGTTTAACATAAATGTATAGCGTATGGCTCCTGCTGCATATGAATAATTCCTACAGACCTGCTGCCTTTCTAATTACTGAGGTTGAAAAAAAGCAGGTCAGGCACATCCTGGTGCAAATCTATTACCAGCCCTCCCCCTGTTTTCCCTGTTGTTTACAGCTTTGTATAAATAGAGATGCCTTTGTATGGGGAACTTAGTGCCTGAAATATAATCTGTGACAAAGAATGGAAAGGGGCTGAAAAAATACTTTTTTTTTCGTTTTTCCAAATTGAGTCTCTAAGGACAAAAGAAGGTATGTGCTGAGAGGAAACGTGTTAGGAAAAATACAGGACTCGTAGGAGTCAGAAGCCCTGGGTTCAAGGCCTAATTCCGCCACTAAGTTCACCTGCGTGACCTGAGGTCTCTGGACCTCAGTTTCCAAATCTGTAAAGTGGCAGGTTGGACCAAATGGGTTATTAACAATTCTGGAGCTTCATAAATTATGACTGGGGTAGGGACAGTTGTAGAGCATTATAGAATCTTGGAGCATATTAATTACTAAAGTTGGAATGCTAATAACTTTCCCAGATTTCTCTTGTCTGTGGCTAGTTAATATACCCTGGATAAAAGGCTCAAGGCTTTCTCAATGGAGGTCAGGCAGCACCAAGGCTACTTTTCTTGATGGAATGTCTGAGCACCATATGCCCTTACCTAGTTCTGTGTTCTTGGGACAGACACACTGTGTTGTCAGAGGCAGTGTGATGAGGACATCAACAGAGGAGTCCTTGGAGACTCACATGGGTGCCTTTGAGTGGCCACTCATATCCCAACCCTGTTGTTGACTAGAAACCAGGCCATTCAACACCACCACCATACCTCTACAAAAATCATTTTGGCCTAACTCTGTATCTTTCTGGTACTTGGTTTCATTTCTCCACCTCACCCAAAAGTAAATTTGTCTTTGCAGTAGGATGCATGTGAGGGAATACTGGGAGCCCATTTTGCGTGGCCCCTTTGTGGTTCATGGTCCTGCCAATGGAAACCATTTTTGGTTTTATGTTTTCACACGTAGATTGGAATTGTGTGACTGTGTCACCTTTTCCAGAGTCAGCTTGTGCCCCCTTCTCTCACTCCCCACTCTTTTTTTTCCAGGCCACTTTCAGTATACTTGGCTGCTTAAAGTCACTGCAGGCGGAATTCTGTCTCACAATTGAAAACAAATCATGAACTATTTTTATGTTGGGAAGCCAAAATAGATACAGGCTGTGGTGTATATCTGGACTTGCCCAAATTCCAGTTAATTCAAAGGTCTTGGCTTTGAGAATTTATGTTGTAAGTCATAAGAGAGATAGGGACCACATCAGTTGAACAAATATTTTCTTGCACACATATCTAAGGCAGGTACAGGACATGCAAAAAAAAAAAAAAAAAAAAACTCACTTTCTAGAAGTGTTGTCATATGTAATCACAATTATGACACAGTATAATGAGAACTATCATCAAGGTATAGATAAAGGGCAGTGAAAATGTAGATTAAGGAGCAAATCATTGTTCATCACTATAGAAAATACCTTATAGATTTGCATATTATTCTTACAGAGTGGCCATGTTAATCTTGCCTGCTTTGTTCCAGCTTTAACTTTTGTGCCAATTGTAAAGTACCTCTGTTATTATAATCATGATTATTTAAAAAAAATACCATTGTGCCTTTCCATGGGGGATATTAGAGCACGTTCATTAGGTTCTCATATTCTTCTTGGGTCCAATGCTACCTTCGTTTTGCAGCCTCGAGAACTAAGCCTCACAGATTGGGAACTCGGGTGTCAGAGTTGCAGTCAAATCCCAATTTGCCTTCTGAGTCAGATATATTTTCTACATTATAAAGCCAAAGAACATGTAACATTATCACTTTCTCTACTTTTAGGAAGGTTGGAGGAGGAGAACTTAAATTCTATGCTTCTCTTGTTGTCAGATAGAGTTTGTCAGCTGTTTATGGTTAGGAGCTATGTGGCAACCATTGATTTTTGTAATCCCCAGCACCTAGCAAGTGCTTAATACTGTTTAGATGTTTCGTTAACAATCAATTGGTAAAATAGCATGACATAAGTACCTTTAAGTCCAAGTTATTCTACTTTCTGCTTTGTAGACATTAAATCCATGGGTTAATAGGATTGTTTCATCCTGGTATAGAGAAAAGACAAATTTAAGGTGTCTTTGCTTGTCTTAAAAACCAAGTTTCAGTGTTACAGCTTTTAGAATTTGTCTAGCAGGCTTTCCGCTCTTCATTGGAAAGCCCATAAAAACAAAAAAATAAACAAGTTTCTCCCCTCGTTCTATGGTTTTATAGCCCCAGCAGTATTATTTCCCAATCCTTCTAAAAAAGAAACCATAGCAACAAATGTTTGCGCTTTCACTATGTGCCAGACTCTGTGGTAGGCATCATATGCCTGATCTCTGGCTAGCGGCACAGAAACCATGTGTAGACAGTGTTATCCCATTGACAGATGAGGAAACAGAAAGCTCAGTGTAGTCAGATAGGATGCTCGAGGTCACACAGCCAGGATGTGAACCAACTGTGACCAGCGCTACAAAATATTGTGCTTTATTACCTAGCAAGGGGGGCTGAATGATGCCTTCGGGTAAAGAGAACTTGGCCTTAGGCAAACAACAAGTGAAAAAACATCAGTTCCTGAGGAGTACCTGAAGGTGCTCCAGAACCGCCTCCCCATGTCTTCACACAGGTCACTTATCCTAGGCCTTTGGAGCGCTGTGAGTGAGCTGAATGTGGGAACTCAATGGAGACGGAAAGCAGCACTGATATTAAATATAAACATTACACAATGTAGGGTGTCTATCTCTCTGTACTGTACAAAATGCCAAGAGATGTTGACAGTCTTTGTAGTGCTTAAATCTGGAGGGGAAAGTGGAGAATCATTCCCATTTTCCAGCCTTGCAGGGACCTGAGTAATGTCTTTCTTCCCTAAGTATAAGTTCTCACATTTTCCTGTGGAACCTGACTAGTAAAAAGAAACCCTAGGTGGATCATGAGGGAAGGCCAGTTTGTAAGGTTCTGATAAGTTATATTCAGCAGTTCTCCCTGTCTGTCACCATTCTGGACACACACCCACATTTTACCTGTTTATGTTCACAAGTTCACTTTCACTCTTAAAATTTAGTATTTTAGGAAGATAGATTTGGAATGGAGAAGAAACCAGAAGAATATTGTTATATTGCAGTGTCTCAGAGTCTAGACTGTGTTGGGGCTCAAAGACCCTAACTAACCTAATTATTGTTTGACTCGGTGGAGACTGAATGGCCCTCTGTTAATTAACTTTGGCCGGATCCTAGAATGACTCGCATGCGACTGGTTTTGATCTATGTCCTGCACCTCTGGGCTTTTTCCTCTGTTGGTCCAAAGGTTTCTGAGGTTCCTTCCCACTCTGGTTGTCTTCACAGTCCTGTAATAAAGCCACAGGGAAGCGTAATAAGTGCAGACCCCCTAGTGTGTCCCTGGACTGTGGCCACCCATCCTCACAAGATACCATGGCCATAGCTGCAGTAAGCTATGCCAGGGGAAGACAGCATATTTTGGGGGAACCAACAAGAGGCCAAAGACAGGCAGGTTGACTCAGTACCTCAAAGTCAGGAATCAGGTCAAAATCAAAATCAGGAATATTTAGCAGGCCTCCAAATCCTGGCATGAGCCGGGCTCACGGTGGCAGTCCAGTGCCTATAATTTATTAAACAGACCAACAGCTGATGTTGGTCTAAACCAGGTGGTGGCTCTGTTTTGACTGGTGGTTCATTTGCAAACCTGACACAGAGGGAGCAAGGTGTCTTGAAATTGAAATGTGGAATGGCCTTTTGGGAACTCAAATCAGTGTGGTTAAGCAGCCTTATGCATACTTCAGCAAGGAATTAGTGCAACAGATTGATGTCTCTGATGTAGGGCTTAGCACTATTTTTCTCCCAAAATACGCAGAGCAAGCAGCAGCACCCACCGGTCAGCGTGTGCCCACCATCCCACCTTGAGGCTTCCAGAGCCTGCCAGAGAGGCTGCTTCCTGCAGAGAAAGCAGAGGCCCCACAGAATGGTGCCTGAACCCCCATTCCCAGATTGCTGACTTGTGCAAATGGGGGCTAGCATAGATCTGTGCATGCTTCCAGGGCTGAAGCAAAGAGGGCCTTCAGCTGCTGAGGCCTGCAGGTGCCTGACCGAGGGAAGCCAGCACTAAAAAGACGCTTCCTCTTTCTGCAAGGTGGAAGGAGCCCACAGGTATTTGCCCTCTTTTCACAGAGGCTCTCCAGGACAGGACATGTGGAAAGAAAGAGATTTCTGTAAACAAGGAAGTCTGTCCTTATTCTGGATTACGCTAACAGAACACATGGAGCTTATTCCTTCTGAATTTCTGGTTTTGAAGGTGTCTGCATTTGTTTTAGAGTAAGCAGGTGGCCTGAGGGTGTTTTAAAACATCTAGGCTATGAGACCAAACCTGGCTGTCATCCCTGAGTTTAGATGAGAGTATCATGTCATCAGAGCCATTTAAAGTGGACTGACAGATTGGCCCATGCTTGCTGGGCCCTCTCATTTATTTCTAGTTAGACCACAAAGCAGCGTGGTTCCTACCTATTACACAAAGCCTTGGCTCTGACCACTGTTCTCAAAGTGTCGTCCCTGGACCATCAGCATTACTTGGGAACTTACTGGAAATGTACATTATCTGACTCAGACCTACTGAATCAGAACCTTAGGGCAGGGGCTGTGATCTGTGTTTTAATGAGCCCTGCCCGGGAGTCTGACACATTCTGGCATTTGCTGAACCTCAAGGCTGCGATCTCAGTGACAAGCGTGAGGTTTTGAGATCGACTTCTTAACTAGACAGTAAGTCCTGAGCCCTTGCTGGGTTAGGGAGGCATGGAGCTTTCCTAAAGGACAGGGAAGGTGTATGACAGGCATAGGGCCCTAAGTCTTGGTAGATGTAAGCAAGATTGGGGGTGGGGGAGAGGGAGGGAGGGAGGGAGCCGGAGAGGCAGGGTCACGATGAAGAGTGATGGAAGACCTGGAAATCTTTATCTAAACTGCTTAATAAGTAACACCTGGGTGAAGTGTACATGGGTCCTCTCTATGCTGTTCTTGAGACTTCCTGTGAAGCTATAATTATTTCCAAACAAAAAGTAAAATCGTAATAATAACAACTAAGAGCTGCTGGATTTTTAAAGTGCTGACCTATTTTGTTCATATTTAAGTTGGAGAAGAAAAATAGCCTTTCCCTGAGTAACTCTTATACCTATGTGTAGTATAAATCAAATTTTCTTTGAAACCCTTTTTAGAAACAAAAGGCCTGTGAAGTTGATAGAACCTCTGTGTCTTGCCATACCTTTGTAAGCATATTCTACTTTTAGGGGTAGGTGTTTTCTAGGGATATACGGGAGCGAGATAGCTTGCATTTCCTTAGAATAAGACTGTGTTTTGAATAGAAGGTTCTTAACTTCACCAGGCTGGATGTTGAGACAGATTCTGCTTCTTTGATTAGGGAAGAGAGAAGCCTCAGTTTCTTTTTAGCTGTGGCCTGAAGACCGCCCCCTGCTGAGTGAACATGTGCGTGCATCTGCTTCACACAAATCCCCTTCCCCTCTTCCCCTATTCCTCTTGGAAACATCTCTAAGTGCTTGGTTGGAGGCAGAATGAGACCATGCATGTTTAAAGACCAAGTTGGCAGGAAAGCAGATTCTTTAAAGGAACTGTTGTTCTCTCTATTGGGGGGAGGAAGAAAATTTAGCTAGATCTTTGGCCACTTATCAAGTGCAGTAGCTCCACAGGAGATTCAAGTAAGAAAGCCCAGCCTGTCCTCTGGGGAAGGAATTGCAAGCAAATGCCAAGAGTAACTCTACTTTCAATGAAAGTCAGATCACAAAATCCAAAAGCACAGATGACCCTCTGGAAACATTGCATTTCTGCTGTCTAGTGGGAGCATGAGGTATGAGAAGCTGAGAGAGAGGAGCTATGGGAAACACACATTTCACCTTCCATTTAATTATAATTATGAGCTGAAGGACCATTTTCAGATCTGGTGATACATCTGTGTCTTGTGTGTTGGAATAGTTATCCCAACTCAGACATTAAGTATGGAGCTATGTGAATTTCTTTTTTCGCTAGTCAACGGAGATAGAGAAAAGATTGCTGTAAATTTCTGGGGCAGGTGGCAAGCTGGTTTACGGAATGTAAGGCGATGAGAACCTCTGGCTTACGGAAAGTAGCATGAATTAATAATCATTTAATTGGCTCCTCCATTATGTTGCTGGTTTGGGAGATGGAAATTTAGATGGAGGGGCTGTCAGTGGTACTTTTTAGCTAAGAGTCTGATGGTTGAGAGGTGGGGGTGGTGGCTGCCTTTGGATTCCCCACAAGGTTCAAGTGTCAGGCAGCATCCCAGACCCTCAGTGGGCTCACCTCAGGACGCCAAAAAGGAAGAGGATCAGCACTTCGGTGATTACCACCTCCAGGAGTCACTCCACCATGAAGAGATGCAAAAGAAACTTCCCAGTAACGTGGACAGCTTAATGCCTGCCCAGGATCTCCCCAAGGGAGGGAGGCCTCTGGCCAGAGGGAGAATGGTCTGCATCGTAGGATGCAGCCATGCCAACAGCGCACTGGTGTGTTTAGTGATGAGAAGATGAATTTTGCTTAGGAAACACAGAAACTAATTCTACCAGTATGTTGGTTTTCTTGGAGGGCAAGTGGATATCTTGAAAATGAGGGACCTTAAGGTTCCATGTTTTACTTCATTTCCAGTTTTTCTTCAGGCTTATCTTTGATGAAGCAGCAACTCCACGCCTTACTTGGCTTCAGAGTTGTACAGAGTTACTAGATGAGAAATGAAGCCTGTGTTGGCATTAAGTCCACTGGGATTGCAAGCACAACTCTTAAGTTTTCTGTGGCCAGAATTTCAGTGATTCGGATGTCGAATTTGTTAGCAAAGATTGGGATCACATGAGAATTTGTTCTAGCAAGAATGGTTTTATCAGATGAAGTTATAAGGGACTGTGAATGTTGAAAGGCTGTGCTTCTACCATCTTTGTCCACTTGACAAGTTTTCTAAGTGATACTGTTCCTTAAAGTAAGTCACTTCCTACACAAAGTTTTGCTAGCCATATTTTCATTATTCTATATGCTTACAACGTAATAAAACCATTTCTTGCAAATTCCAAACAAAACTTTGCATGAATGCTTATCAGCTCTCTTCCCTATTCCCTCTAACTAACATGAGTAGAGGGGTAACTTTTAAAGTAATTATTTTTAGAGGTTTAATACTTCTAAAACAAATATGATAAAATCAAAGGATATCTGGAAGTTGGTGTCTCCATGCATAAATGATTTTCCCCCTAAGGGAGCCATGTATTGACAACTGTGCTTCCCTTTGAAATGAAATTCTTTTGCCTAGAATGCAGAGGAGCCTAAGAGGATAAAATAGACAATCATGAACAGGTTTGTTTCTCTCAGTATTTGTCTTTGTGAGTTTTAGTTGGCCAACTCATCACAGAATGAGGAGAAGTGGTGGCTGTTGGCCCAGAGAGCTGACTTTTGAATTTTCTGAACTCCATAACAGGGACATGCTAGTCTTTCCTGTGCCTCATCAGCACGCGTTGGGTAGGGCCACCATAACACTAACAAGCAGAGCAAGTGCTTTCTCACTCCCTGGAAAGTCTGTGTGGCATGGAATCCATAGCTCACGTCCTGTTAAGTTTGAGTAGGAGTTTGACCCAGCATTTCGTTGTCACAATATCCCATTTACCTAGCTTTATAGAGTTTGTCATCTATAGCGCATTCAGTCGCATGATTCCTTACCACATTTTTATCCCCTTTGAAATCCCAGGAGCCCAACATGTTGCCTATGGAAGATTCACTGAGATTTAACACATATTTTCATATTTTATAACTGCCAAAATGAGAGAACTTGCTTTTACCAGCAAAGTAAAAAATACCATCTGATGTTTTGCACAGTATAGAGCCAATACCAACTTTTTCATGGACAGTTGAACTTAAATGATAACTGTAATATTAAAAATAAAATGACTATGTGAAAAACTTAAAGTGTTCCATGATGTCATCACCTAAAGGCAATGATCATTTTCTTCTAGTCTTTTTTTCTAATACCTACTTTTTACATAGCTGTAACATGGGATAATACACATTTTATCTTCTTTTCTGATTTGCATTCTCAATGATTTTTCCATATTGCTTCATAGCAATCAGTTTTAATGTCTTCTAATACTCAGTAGAATGGCCATGCCATTGTTTACTTATACCATGCCCTATTGTAAGATATCTAGATTGTTTCCAAATCATTTTGTGATTATTGTACAAACCACTAGAGTTACTAACGCTTCAAGTTGTTTGTTTTTTTGTTGCCGATGTAAACCAAAGGTTCCAGACACCAATTGTCTAAACTATGTCTTGTCTCTGGAGTGCATGTATTTCCATTTCACTTATGTGACATCATCGCAGGCTTAAAGTGACCAGTAATTGATTTTTAAAAGTGTTTTGTATATTGTGACATGTCTTCTAGAGTTTAAGTTTAGAAAAGCCTTCAAAGTGAGAAACCACAGTACTTTCTCTCTTGGTATTCATACAACTTCATTTACTTATGCCCACGATGTATGCTAGTGACAGAACTGAAGTAGAAATTGATTCTGAGACTCTGGCCCTTTTGAAGCTGTTCAGAGAGAAGAAACTTGAGAGAACCTCTGACTGTGGTCTGTGATAAACCCTCATCCAGCATAGCATGTTGATGGAGAACTTGCACAACTCTTTTTTTTTTTTTTTTTGAGACAGTCTCACTCTGTCACCCAGGCTGGGGTGCAGTGGCACAATCATGGCTCACCGCAGCCTCAACCTCCCAGGCTCAGGTGATACTCCCACCTCAGCCTCCTGAGTAGCTAGGACTATAAGCACTTGCCACCACGCCTGGCTAATTTTTGTAATTTTTGTAGAGATGCGGTTTCACCATGTTGCCTAGGCTGGTCTTGAACTCCTGGGCTCAAGCGATCTGCCCACCTCAGCCTTCCAAAGTGCTAGGATTACAGGCGTGAGCCACTGCACCTTGCCAGAACTTGCACAACTGTTTGCCCATCTACAGAAATGGTGTAACGACTTTGGTACGATGTCTTGATAGGGACTGACATTTTAATGTCTGAGGTCAAGCAAGGGAGGGGCATGTGTCAGCCATAGTTAACTCTTAGGAGCCATCCCCACATCACTCAGGCAAACACAATGAGATTGTAACTGGGTGTTTATAGAATCTGTTATAAGGATGGCATTGCTTTATCTTTAGAGAAGGGGCCAGTGAGCTGCAGGTGGCTAATATCCACTTCTAGACAGATTTGATCTAATAAAGGTGCAGATTGTCCTAGATAGAAACTAGATGAACCTGAAGTTTGTGCACCAGTGGATGCAGCATTTCATGTTAAAGCAGGGCTGTTGTATCACTGGGAAGAAAGAAAAATGAGTGAGCAATTGGTGATTTTATTTTTTAAAACACTTTATAATGGGTCCTTAGCTCAAGCTCACAAAAGAAGCTTTAGAATTCCAGAGCAGTTTGAGTTTGGAAAAAAAAAAAAAAAAGAAGTTCCCCTCTCCATGCAGGGGGAAAGAATAGTGGCTTCTGAAACCAGAATTCTCACCTCTGCAACCTCACCACAATTCATCATGTGTTCAGCATTCAAGGAAGAGGATGGACTCTTTGGTCCTATGAGGAAACTAATGCTGCACTGGGTTACTGTGTTTGCTTTTCAGCTCTGGGAGAGTGAGATGAGTCGGGTGGTCTCAGCCTCGGTGCCCATTCATCCACACTATTGAGCAAGTGCACAATTGACTCATTCCATAGTAGGGGGCAGGCAGATTGAGGGCATTTACAAGGCAGTCACAGTCCTGTAAAACAGGTGTTGTTTTTAGTCAGGCAGAGTAACAAAAGGATGGGGATGGGTGTATGGAATAGAATCTATGTCTTAGTTTGCCTCTACTGGAAAGAGGAGCAGATAGCAGCTTTTTCCTAACTATATATACCCTGAGCCTAACCTAATGCCTACTGATTGGAGTTCACAATAGAGAAGGTAAAGAAATGGCTGTGACAAATAAACACTGGAAGTATTATTTGATGCCCTCACCCACCCCATCTTGAGAATGCATTTGAAGAGTTAATATATAGAAGATAACCACTAAGCAAAAATCAAAATGATGGAGAATAAGGAAGTTTCTGGGGGCAAGGGAACTTAAGTTCCTGAAACATTAATTAAGGACTCCAAATGTAGATGTGTTCAGGAGCGGCCCATCACACTGCAAGGTCTCAAACCTGCAACGCGACGTTCCATAGGATCAGGTCTGAGCGGGGCCAGGAGATGGGAAGTAGGCCATGGGGGAACTGGTCTAGAATGTTGCAGCACCTAGTTAATCGGCAGCCATTCCATCACATTAAACATCCAGCCGTCATGTATTACCTTTCAAGTGAAAATGAATAACTCCCATTAAGAGCAAAATGGGTTTGAAGTCGATTCGAGACAGATTAAAATACTGTTATGAATGTGTGTGTTGGGAGGAGGAGGATCTGTGTGTAATATGCTCGTCCTTGTACTTTTTAAATAATAGATGTCCTACAAACTTATGTAGACCAGGTTACCAAGATACTGGGGTTAAAGGTCACAAGATGTGCACTCTGGGAAGAGCATCAACTTCCTGGAATATATTTCCTGCATTTGGCAAATTTCTTTTCAAAATTATATTGTGGCCTTATGATTTTAATGAATAAAATTGATTGTCTAAAATTGTTTATTAAAGTAATGACAGCATCTTGGTGTCCACATCAGAACAAATTTCAAACCCAAGCATAAATGGAAATATATGCCAGATAACTAGACAGGGTAAAACAGAAAGCAGTTTAACAGGGAATAAAAATTGGGCTTTCTAATTCAGTGACCTGAATGCTGAGTCACATTATTTTTTCATGAGGGAAGTGGGTATATATATTTTCTCACTACCACTTTTATTACTTTTTTTTTCTTATTGCTTTAAACAAAATTCTGAAAAATGGAGTCCCATATTCAAAACAAATGAAAGAGCCAACACTCAGATATTGACCAGGTTATGGAACAACCAGATCCAACCATACTGTGTTTAAGCTGGAGGAGCCTTGCTTATCCTGGATAAACCCTTAGCCTGGCTGTTTTCTTATCAAAGTGTTTGCCTCTACTGGAAGGAGGAGCAGATAGCAGGTTTTTCCTAACTATAAACCCTGAGCCTAACCTAATGCCTACTGATTGGGGTTAAAAATAGAGAAGATAAAGAAATGTTTCCTTTCCATCCTTCAGAGAACTCCTCCCACCAGCACTTCCGTACGTGCTGTCTGCTGCTCAATCCTCATGGGCCACTCCTCTTTAAATAGCGTTTGGTTTTTTTGGTGGTGTAAGCAAGAGGGGCATGGAGGCATGGTTTGGGCAAGCAGATAGGAAACTTTCCCTATTCCCACCCACTCTGAATAAACTCTTGGGTCTGGAGCACTGGCTAGATTATATCTTGGATTCAGGCCCTGCCTAGTTCCACTCCTCAATTATTTCTTCCCCAAAAGCAAACTGCTGAACCCAAACTTGATTTTTTTCCCCCACATATTTGGTGTGCTGATACTCATGTGAACCTTTCTCAAATCACATTTTTCATGTTGCCAATGCTGTGCCATGTTGTGATTCCAAGAGGAGGGACAATAAAGTTGAGAGCACATCTCTTCTTACATTTCTGAAGCAGAGCATGTCTGGTACTGAGGCTGGCAAAGCAATTGGTGAGACTTTCCCACCCACCCTCAGCCCTACTGCCCCCCACAAGCCAGCAGATTGTATCTAGATTGGGGGAGGTTAGAACAGACTGAATTTAGCTTAATCCAACTCCAGAGCCTTTTATTCCATTTCTTTGCCTTCTTTTCCTAATGTTCAGTTGTTAAAGTAGTGACAGAAATTCATGGGGGAGAA
Source organism: Homo sapiens (assembly GCF_000001405.40). Taxonomy (NCBI): domain Eukaryota; kingdom Metazoa; phylum Chordata; class Mammalia; order Primates; family Hominidae; genus Homo; species Homo sapiens. The sequence goes on along the minus strand of NC_000016.10, from coordinate 72,812,219 downwards.
AGAAACACTTGCTTCTTTTCCAACATGCTTGATAAATCAGTCCGGATGTTCATCCTTCTTGAATTTTGGTGTTTTAAGAAAATCCTGTGCTATAAATGAATGTTGATTTTCACCCAACACAAACCCTCTGGGAGCTGGCCTGGTCTGGCTGCTGTATTGCATCTTCTACTTTCTCTTTTAGCATCGTCCAGCCAAGCAGAGAAGGAGCTGACAGATTCTCCTGCAACCTCCAAACGCATCTCCTTCCCAGGTAGCTCAGAGTCTCCCCTCTCTTCGAAGCGACCAAAAACAGCTGAGGAGATCAAACCGGAGCAGGTGAGGCTGGAAGGGACTCTGCTGGTGGGGAGGTGAGGTGTTTTAGACATTGGTAGGGAACAAACTTTTGGGTGGGCGGGCTTGGGGCACACACAGTTGCTCAAAGCAGTGGGTGTGTTCCCCACAGATGTACCAGTGTCCCTACTGCAAGTACAGTAATGCCGATGTCAACCGGCTCCGGGTGCATGCCATGACGCAGCACTCGGTGCAACCCATGCTTCGCTGCCCCCTGTGCCAGGACATGCTCAACAACAAGATCCACCTCCAGCTGCACCTCACCCACCTCCACAGCGTGGCACCTGACTGCGTGGAGAAGCTCATTATGACGGTAAGGCAGCCAGGAGCAGCACCCTGTGGTCTTTCTCCAGGGTCAAAGGTGATGCAGTAACATGGGCAAGATACTGTATTATTGGACGAGAAAGTCAGTGTAGAGTTGGAAACGTCAGAAAACAGTCCTTGTTCTGTGACCTTTGTTGTACTATCCCTGCCTTAGACTTGGCATGACCATAGCCCAAAGTGCTGAACATGTGTTTCTCAACCTCCCTTATCATCCTCTCTGCCCTCAGGGGACAGAGGCATGGATTAGCTAACCATTTATATGAAGAAATCATTATTCAAATTCTTCAAACCTTTACTGAGCAGGTCATGAACTAGATTGCTCTTACCTTCATTATGTCTCATTTCATCCTCATAACAAACTCTGTTTTTGTTGTAAAAGGGAGCCAGGCACACTAGCTCACACCTCTAATCCCAGTTCTTTGGGAGGCCGTGGTGGGGGGATTGCTTGAGGCCAGGAGTTTGAGACCAGCCTAGGTAACATAATGAGACCCCATCTCTACAAAACATACTTTAAAATTAGCAAGGCACAGTGGTGCATGCACCTGTTGTCCTAGCTACTTGGGAGGCTGAATTGGGAGGATCACTTGAGCCCAGGAGTTTGAGGTTGCAGTGAGCTATGATTAGGCCACTGCGCTGCAGCCTGGCTAACAGAGGGAGACTCTATCTCTTTAAAAAAAGAAAGAAAAAAAAATTTTTTTGACACATTCCCATCAGCAGATAAGGAAACTGAGGCTCAAAGATGTTAACTGACTTGATGCCATTTGTAAGGAGCAGAGTTGAGATTTGAACCCGCAATTTCCAACTCTAGGGTAGGGAGTTTCTCAGTGGATACTTTGATTTTTAAAGCAAGAAAATGGTGAGCTGGATATTGCTGATTCGTGAATGTGGGTTTTGCATTTGAACATGATATTGCTACAACTGCAGATTTTGAAAGCATGCCCCTAAGTGACCACTATAAACATGGCCTAATTAGTGTAAAGATGTAAATCTAATTGTAATATAAAAACTTTTCAAAATAGTGCCAGTGATGGTGATGTCCTACTTTTGACTATGTTGGTGCTGCTATGAAAGTCATTTCCTGGCCAGGCGTGGGGGCTCACACTTGTAATCCCAACACTTTGGGAGGCCAAGGCAGGTGGAACACCTGAGGTCAGGAGTTCAAGACCAGCCTGGCCAACATGGCGAAACCCTGTCTCTACTAAAAATACAAAAATTAGCCAGGCATGGTGGTGGGTTCCTGTAATCCCAGCTACTAAGGAGGCTGAGGCAGGAGAATCACTTGAACCCGGGAGGCAGAGGTTGCAGTGAGCTGACATTGCGCTACTGCACTCCAGCCTGGGTGACACAGCAGGACTCCATCTCAAAAGAAAAAAGAAAAAAAAGGCTGGGCACGGTGTCTCACACCTGTAATCCCAGCACTTTGGGAGGCCAAGGTGGGTGGATCACGAGGTCAGGAGATCGAGACCATCCTGGCTAACACGGTGAAACCCTGTCTCTACTGAAAAATAAAATACAAAAAATTAGCCGGGCGTGGTGGCAGGCGCCTGTAGTCCCAGCTATGCAGGAGGCTGAGGCAGGATAATGGCGTGAACCCGGGAGGCAGAGCTTGCAGTGAGCAGAGATGCGCCACTGCACTCCAGCCTGGGTGACAGAGCAAGATTCCGTCTCAAAAAAAAAAAAAAAAGCCCTTTCCTGATCATTAGAGGAAAAACCACCAAAGAGAATTATTCTCACCTCTTTCTTAGCATTATTTTAGCAGTGGAGTAATAAGTTAATTTGATTGCCTTTTCACGTGAAGATTCCCAGAGAGGTAGTCTGTTCACAACTGCACGTTATAATGTGCAGGTCACAGACATATCACCTCCAGGCATTTTCTATTCCATTTGGTTCTGCAAACGTTAATGAATAACGTTGTAAGTGATGTTTAGTCATGAAGAATATATAATTGATGATGCATCAAGAGAACTTTAGCAGCCAATGGGAAGCTCAAAGGTGACCTAGCCATGAGTTGCCTTTCAGAGATCTTTGAAGTTAAATTAACTTTCTGTGGGTATTTTCAAATCAGCTGGTGAACAGTGTGTAAAGATTCTCTGTAAGTGAAAACCTCCTTCTGTGGACCAGTGGGTTTCTGTGTTACTGGTTTCCTCAGCTTTCTCATCATCCTTGGAAGTAACAGGCCTCATTGTACTTCCCATCTGATGGCCTAGAACCATGGGAGCCTGAAAGAACAGAAAGAGATGTGGGGAGGGAAGCATTGTCAATACTGACCTACATTTTTCTTTTACTCAGGTGATTATTTTTGCTATTTTAATATAAATCTAGTCTAGGGACTGTGGGCCTATAGTAATCTACATGACTGGTTTACATTAGTAAAAATTTCATTTATATATCCCTAGGGACTAGAGTATAACTTATATTTCAAATATTCATTGTTTGTCATATTTTCATAATAGCAATAGCAAGGTAAATTTCAAGTGACAAGTGTGGTGGTCATTGTGAATCTTCATTTACCAACAGAGTCTTCAAGGGCAGGATATTACTTCTGTGTTTGCTTGGGTGCCAATCCCTAAGAGATTTCTGGAAGTTACCCATTAACTAGCACCTTTGGAAGCAGTGATTCTTAACCTTTATGGAGACTCTCATGAAAGCTATACAACAGCCATACTGTATTATTCTTTGCATACCAATGTTTGATAACCACTGTTACTGACCCTCCGTCAAGTATTTTGCAAATATAAAATTGTGTGTACAATGCCAGGGAGCATAAGGATATGTCCATGGGACTGGTCAATACAAACTGTTCTAGAACCCCTGACAATGTAATTATGTAGGAGACACTGCTCCCTAAAGCACTGCTGGGCTTGGTACCTTGTATAGAAACCTCTATGTTCCTCATCTTTCCACAGCAGACCATGGAGATGTTTTCTAGACATTTCTGAGAAGTGTGCAGATTGTGGGAAATGCACTTGTAATAGGAAGTCAACTTGTTAGCAACAAGGGAAAGTCAATGGATTCAGGAATAAAGTTGAAAGTTATGAGAAATGTAATCATATAAGTATTTTACTTTTTACTGAAAGATGTATATGCAAGGATGAGTTTTCTCTTTGCATGGAGTTATGGCATGGCTGTCAGTATTGAACTGGTTTGTCCAGTCATGGGGATAGTTTGCATTGAGCCAAACTATGCATTTCTATCTCAGGCCTTTAGTTCAGCAGGAAAAAAAAAATGAGCAACCAGGGTTAGAGGGAATTTGTGGGCCTACCACAAGGTGAACCTGAGATCGTATTTGAGGACTGGAATACTGATGATCTTGATCTCTGCTCTGATGAATCAAAGCAGATGCCAGTGTCTTTCCTCTGAAAAATTTGGTGTAAAAATGGAATTTGCAATTGTTTCACAACTAAGTGATTATAATGAACCTATGGTTAAAATCATGCCACGGGAGGGTATTTTACTGTCATTTTATTAGAAGATTGGCCCCGGGAAAGTATTGGTTAGGCTTTCTAACGATATATGTTTGTTCATGGCCAACTAGAGCAGGAAAGTGAAAACAGCATGATGAAAAATGCCCCTCTAATCAGGGCTCCATTTTCTAAACCATATCATTAAGGAATGGCCAGTTCTACGGTCATTCATGCTCCAGGAGAAGGAAGTTATGTCTGCTTTGTCCCTGAGTGGCTAGGATGAATGGCAGCAAGAGTGAATCTTCTTTCTTTCCAAATGGGTTGACTGAGTTAGTTGCCATTGGCTGCAGAATAGGAAAAGCTTGCAAAATCCCCCAAATAGATGATTCCTGGCAGACATGGGGTGTGTCCGGGGTATTTACAGCTGTAAATTCTGGTAAATATTTTTTGCTGTCTGTGTCCAAAGTCTCAGGATTTAGCTTGAGTTCGGTTCAGTCCCACTAAAAGTAAATTCCACCCTGATAAATGGAAACAGATTACTTTCTACACAACGTCTTTCTGTTCAGTTGTAAATGGAGTGCGTTTTGAGGAGGCTTCATTTAATAATACCTTATCAGACAGCTTTCAGGAACCTGCAGTGTCTAATATGTCTGTTGCTATGGTAACAGCTGCTTGCTTATGCTCTGCATCTCATATCTATGTCTTCCATGGGCCCCCTTCTTACTGATGAGGGGGCTTGAGAAATATTCTCCACTAGGAACAATTGCAGTGCTGGCCCTCCACTATGGAGACCACACCCACAGCACTTCATTCTTCTTGGCCTATTGGAAACAGAGCTGCAAAGAGTACCTCTGCACACGTCATATCAAAGAAGGAAATCTATAAAGCTTAAGGGAGATGAGACAAGGGCCCCTCCACAACTGGCTGGGCAGCCCTCCCCCAATGTCAGTTACACATAAGAACTCTCACCTATTTACAAAGAAGCTTGAGATTTCAAATTGGTGAAAGAGATGTAGGAGCTGCTGCTCGGTGCCCTTATTTTCCCATTCTTTCAGGAAAGAAGGGTGGAAGGCATGGGGCCCATGTTTCTGTCCCCTGAATGAGAATAGGAAAGACCACCTACCATGCATTTCAATACTCTTAAATTATTCTAATTGATCACTATCTTTCTAAGTGACAGGACACACCACTGGGATCCTGAAGCACTGATATGGGGAAATTCTCTTTGTTCTTTCATCATTTAACAAAATATGACCTCATAATGGAGATGGGATTGGCTCCTGGGCAGCTTAGGAACACCTTCTGTAGCCCTTTGTCTTGGCTCCCTTTGGTAGTTCTTAATTATTCTGTATTTTTTGTACCTGCACAGTTTCCCTTCCATGCTCCTGGCCCTGTGTTGCCTGCACTTTTCTCGGTATCTCTTTTGAGACCAATAGTTTGTAACCTTGTGATTTTTTTCCGTCAGCGTCTGTGACTCTCTATGCTTCATGTGTGTCTGTGAATCTCTAGGACAGGCTGGTTATCTGGGGCTCTAGGGCAGCCACTGGCCTGGGGGCGGTTGCACCCACCTGGGTACCAGCTCTCTCACTTTGCCTGTATCTTAAGAGGAAGGTAATGAAAATAATCAGCCTTCATTAATTCCAAGCCCTGTGAGATGATAGCCATTTGGAGCCTGTTTGCCAATTAGATGGTCTAAATTAGAAGTGACCTTGGTATACTGCCACTGCTTCCCTCTCTGAGTCTAATGAAGGTTTTCTCTCCAATTCATTCTCCTTCTCAGTTCTCACCTCTCTGCGCACACGTGTATAACTCTTCATGTGTTTCCTGTTCTCCCATCTACCTTTTCAATCTTTCTCATCCTCAGTTTCAAAAATCTGGTTCTGAGCTACATTTGTTTCCAGCCTACATGAATGTTAACACGGCCCTACAGTATTTTCTTTTGAGCTTGATGTATTTAAAAATTGAATGAACTACCATACAGAAGCAGTTTTAGAAAGGAAACAAGGAGGCCAAAGTGGGAAGATGGCTTGAGTCCAGGAGTTCGAGACCAGCCAGGGCAACATGGCAAGACTGTGTCTCTACCAACAAAACAAAACACACAAAAAATTGCTGAGAGTGGTGGTGTGTACCTGTAGTCCTAGCTACTCAGGAGGCTGAGGCAGAAGAATCACTTAAGCCCAGCAGTTTGAGCCTGTAGCGAGCCATGGTTGTGCCACTGCACTCCAGCCCAGGTGACAAAGTGAGACTATCTCAAAAAAAAAAAGAAAGAAAGAAAAGGAAATGGGACAAGGAGAGAAGAAGCTGAGCCTTTTAAAAAGACGCCATGGCCCAGTATTCTCCCTGGCATATGTAGAAGACTGTAAAGTGGGGTGGGGAACCCAACTCTGAAACTCTACTGGCAAGAGGCGCCCTGGTTTGTTGGCTGTAAGTGTGCAGAAACCAGCCAGTGGGCCCCAGTGGCTGTCTAGGTACAGGAAAGGAAGTGAGCAACTGGCCTCTCGCTGGAACAGCTGGCTTTAGATATACCAACTAGCTAGACTGCTCAGCCCTAAAAGCAGCTGGCTTTTAACTTCATGCTTAATGTTTTGGGCAGAACCAGTCTCATCCACAAGGATGTAGAGACTGGCTTGGTCTGTGCCAAGGAGGTCTGTGCCTGAGGTCTCTCCTCTTTTTGTCTGAATTTCTTCATTCTATTGATTTTCAATTAAAAGTAAAGGATTTGAGGCATCCTTGGGAGCCTAGGTATCGGCAAATCTATACTTTCACCTGGAATAGTGGGCTTTTCAGAAAGAAGTCCTAAAGTGAGCAATGCCAAGGCGGTAGGAATAAGGGTCTCAGAGAAACTAGGTTCACCACTTTTGCTAAGAAAATATCTCTGCTGGCCAGGCGTAGTGGCTCACACCTGTAATCCCAGCACTTTGGGAGGCTGATGGGGGCAGATCACTTAAGGTCAGGAGTTCGAGACCAGCCTGGCCAACATGGTGAAACCCCATCTCTATTAAAAGTACAAAAAAAAAATAGCTGGGCGTGGTGGTGCACATCTGTAATCCCAGCTACTCGGGAGGCTGAGGCAGAAGAATCACTTGAACCCGGGAGGCGGAGGTTGCAGTGAGCCGAGATTGTGCCATTGCACTTCAGCCTGGGCAACAGAGCGAAACTCCCTCTGAAAAATAAATAAATAAATAAATAAATAAAATCTCTCTGCTTTCCAGCACACAGAATGTGTCTGGGGCATCGATCTAACCTAGGTGAGCCTGTCTGCAGGTAGCTTCAAGAGATGAATTGGCATGAACGGTCCCATAAGAACTTAGCAAAGGGTGACCTTGGCTGCACAGGGTGTTATATTGGCCCTTCCACATCTGTGACCTGCAGGGATTGGCGTAAGTGGCAGGATGGTGTTCCTTATAACTCCAGATTCTACCAAGAAATTATATATTTCAGCAGCCCCTCCCAAATGTCAGAGTGGGAGACTAGTCCCGTATCTCAGACACGGGCTGTATAAGGTGTGCCCTTGAGGCTTTAGGGTCCACTCACCTCATAGAATCTTGAAAAGCATTAGAACATAATCCAAAATAATAATGAACCAAACTAGGAAGAGCTTGGAACTATGTATTTATGAACCTATATGTTACCTCTCCTAGTAGATCAAGGGCAGTTCACTTGAGTACATGGATTTCCTTCTGGGGAGCTTGTAATTTCCTAAAATTATCTGGAATATTCTTTCTGTGAAAGTATTTTCCTAGGAGTCTGCAACTTGTATTAGATTTCTAAGGCTTTTGTGACCTCTAAAGGGTTATTTATTCTGCATCATAAGCCTTTTGGAGACAGGAACTTTTGTCTGGCTCTCTGCATCTCAGAAGCATGCAGCACATGGATCCTGTACAGTGTTTATTTAGTAAATGGTGGTCAATTGAATGAACTGAGAGTTTCTCAAGGCTACTCCTTTTCAACTGTGTTATTTTGGAAGTGCTTAAGCTTGAACATTTTTAGCATCAATGTGGAACGCTTCTGTTTCTATTATATATGAAAATTACTTAAACTGGGAGGTTTTGAGCACTGGAGTAGAACTCTACATTTCTTTTGTTATGCATGAAAACCTGTTTGTTAGGAATATATCAGAGCCACTGTTGGCTTCCAAATTTTCTGCACCCCAGTCAGCTGATGGTTTCTTCCCAAGTTTCCATGAAATGTACATGTACTCTGGGAGGAAGGTAGTTGAACTGGCTCAGAAGGTTTGGGAGGAAAACGTGGTGTCTAGAAGATCACCATGGAACTGCCTTTTGCATGGCAGAGGCCAACCTTGAGAGACCCAAAATGCTGTAATGGCTGTAATCAGTTGAATTTTCTTAACCAGAAAAACTTTTGTCTTCTCATTACTTCTCAGGTTCATTAGTGAATAGAGTGGGGGATATAATTTAATGTATTAAATGTTTATTGATGTATGGATTATCGGAATAATCAATGTGGATGGTACATTCAATGTAGAAAGTGTAGGTGTTTGGGCTGATTTGTACTGTCACCTGGCCAAACCTTAGAACTTTTTTCGTTTGGCTCTTGAGTCCATGGCTGGAAGTATGGACATTGTAGGATTGCGGCCAGAGAGGGGAAGAAGGAACAGAGAGAAAGCATGTATATTGTTCTGCAGGAAAATTGGTGGTAGGACCAGTTATTTGAGGGCCTCTGAAATTTGGCACACTTGGCATGACCCTGGTTATGCTACAACCAGGTTTTGTCTTCTCATAAACCTACATGTTTCAGTGTTCCTGGCAAAAGGGAAGGTCTTTACCTGTGCTCAGCACAGCTGGGATGGATTGATTGATTGATTGATTGGAGACAGAGTCTCACTCTGTCGCCCAGGCTGGAGTGCAATGGCGCAATCTCAGCTCACTGCAACCTCTGCCTCCCGGGTTCAAGCAATTCTCCTGTCTCAGCCTCCCGAGTAACTGGGACTACAGGCATGAGCCACCACGCCTGGCTAATTTTTGTATTTATAGTAGAGATGGGGTTTCACCATGTTGGCCAGGCTGGTCTTGAACTCCTGACCTCAAATGATCCACCCGCCTCAGCCTCCCAAAGTGCTGGGATTACAGGCTTGAGCCACCGCACCCGGCCGACAGCTGGGTTATTACTTTCCCATTTTCAGCTATCCATTAGAGACTATGGCTGGGACAGTCTGAATTCCATGCAGTTTAGTAGCCAGATATGATTGTAAAACAAAGGGGGTGCCAAGGCAAGTGTTGAAGGAAGTCTGCCTTTGGATATATATATCACCTCAGTGAGCAGAAGGACTCCTCAATGGGCTCTGTTGGCAGGATTGTTTATGGCTCTTCAAGATAAAGCATGAAAGCTTTGAGTAAAAAGCTTTGGAAGCTGGTAGGAGAGGGAAGAATGGGCAAAGGGAACGTTAGTGTCTGAGAACTGACATGGGGCCCTCCAGTAGCCTGTGTAGCAAGGCAGCTTCCATTCTCAACCTCTGTTGAGACACATGCACAGACAGACGCCACCTGAATTTCCAGATCCTTAGGATTCTCTTTAGGAATCTTCCTCTTTGCCTCCTGGGAATTTCTTGCCCATCAAAATTTCATATACCAACCCCCCCTTTTTTTCAGGGAGAGGTTGGGTACACTATAGATGAGAAAAATGCAGGTGGATAAAAGTAGTTACTTAAACACATATGGGGCAAGACTTACAGGTTTGGAGGCCCAGATTAAGATGCAGAGGAGCATGTGAGGTTGATGATTATATTTCGGGGAGAGTTAATTGATGGAAGGTGAAGGCAGACAAAGAACCGCTGCTTACTGCCTTCTTGAATCCCAATCAGGAATTATGATTAAAGTCGCAGCGAGACAACAGAGGGCTGATGAATTGGTGTCTTTTTTTTTTCTTTTTTGCCGTCATTCACACTTGATTGACTTCAACCTTTCAAGTGCAAAAGTCTCTCTTTTCCATTATTATTCATAGCCATCTGAGTTTTTCTAATTAAAGTGTATGAAAACAATTACTGATCCGTCGTACTGAGTCTGTTAGAGGGGATGTCTGCCTTACTGTAATGTGTATGAAAAGCCCACAGTTTTCTATAATGATGTGCAGCTGAGGTGTTAGATAATTTTATTCTTTTTTACTCTGTAGGGCTTTTTTTTTATTTCTCATGATTCATTTTTCATAATTCCTAAAGATCCCAGGAAAGGACTGATCTTGCAGCTACAACCGAGAAAGGAGGTGGGGGGGAGTCTTTTTTCCTTTCCCTTTCTCCCCCTCTTACCCCCAACCTCGTGCTCCCCCTCAGCTGAGGACTACAAATTAATCGGTGACCTTTCACTTCTCGGATTCCCGCTGGACTCCCCAACCACACTAGTCAGAAATGCCTTCTATTAAAAAGAAAATAGATGGAATGAGTTTGGCAATCTCCACTCCATTCTTAACGATTCATCAACAGCTAGCCTTAACCAGCTGCCGATGAGCTTTGTGTGAGGTGCAGATGTCTGTGGGGGCAAGAATGCTATGTCACACACATTCACCTGCCACACACCTGCTCTTCGTAAACACAGCATTTCTCAGAATGCTTCTCCATGGTACCTGTTGCTTACTTTTTGCACCCGCTGGCATCTGGGTTGCTGAAATTATTCTAATACCCCTAAGTGTGATGAGGAGTTATCCTATGTTGATGGGGGTGGCTGTCTGGGTTTCCTCTAGTTGTCAAGCTTATTGCTGATGATTCTAGTGGACATCTCAGTAGCTATTTTGAGCAAGGCTGGGATCGTCACACCATTAAAAATTAATAGTAATGTATTTAAAATATTATTTAATTTTGAACAGAAATCTACGTATTCCAATCTTTGCAACAGACAGTGAAGATGTCTGTGCAGTACGGTTGTGTTTGATGGAAAAATAATGTCTCCAAGTGGGGCTGGGTGCCACGTAGAAAGGTTAGTGGTGACTGTAGTTTCTGGTCCTGTAACTTCTAGGTCAGTCCATTTCTCCAGCTATCATCAAATGGGAGGTGGTTTCTAATTCATTTGAAATATCATCGCCACCTACCCTTCCCACCCCATATCAGGCAAAAGGATATTGCTTCTTTTTGAATGAAGAACCTTTGATCTTTCCATTGGATATCGAGGGCTGCTTATCACATTAACATAAGGCAAATGATAACTTGTTTGGACAGGCTTCTGGCCGTACGGCAGGGAGGCCTAGAGAAATATCTGAGGCTCTGCCCAAAAGTTGCAGCTGTTTGGATCCAGGCGATTTCCAGAACTGCTGTATTGAGAAAAAATGGCCATGGTCAAGGTGGGGCTGCCCTGTTGTAGAATGCTGTGCAGGCCACCCTCTATCGCTGGGACGTTGGTCAGAAGTTCCCTCTGATGTTGTATACCTTGGGCAGAGACTCCAGAAGAAATCGTGGCTTAAGTGAGTCACAAAAAAAGGCTTGTTTGTGCTTGATGTCAGCTTGTAAAGGGTTACAAATGTTGTTTTCCTGGAAAATCTGCCAGCATGTCTGCGTGTCCCTAGCCTTCCCTTTGTTCTCTTCTTTTCTTCTTACCCTTTCCTTCACTCTTACTCCCCTCCTCCTCTTGCCTGAATACGTTCTGAAAACAGTACTACAATGCTCCCTGCTTCAAGATTACAGTGTACTTTACTAGGTATGATTTAATTAGGGCCCTTATTATGTTTTCAGCAGCTTAAGGTGGGCCTTTCAACTTATCTACCTAATTGGTTGCACAAGAAGTTTCACAGCCCATGACAAAACATTGTCAGTGATCAAAGTCAAAATTCTGCATAAAGGAAAAATATTAATAAGAAGATTATTCTTCAAGTGTGCACTGCTAATTATGTCCAGAATGTAACCGTAGAAACACTTTTGACTGATGTGAGCTTTGTCTAATAAACATGAATCTTCAGTGAGCTATGAAAAGTGAGACACCTCTAGCTTTACACTGGTGAAGGCTAATTTTGCTTATTAAATAATTTTTAAACATTTCCTATTTTGTGTCGCTTTCCTCTCCATTTGACTCTCCTTGCTCTTGCTCCTCAGGTGACCACCCCTGAGATGGTGATGCCAAGCAGCATGTTCCTCCCAGCAGCTGTTCCAGATCGAGATGGGAATTCCAATTTGGAAGAGGCAGGAAAGCAGCCTGGTCAGTATCATTATTCTTGACCCCAAGAAATTGAAACAAGATGGAATGCCAAAATGTTCATGGAGAAAGGTTTTCAGGAATTCTTTACAATACTCTTAAGGTGAATGTAACTGATCAGGAGATGAGGGGCACTGTCATCAGCTACTTTATACTCTGCTTCTTGGCATGTATTTGTATATTACTCACATGGTTTAAAGTGAGAGAAAATTAGTATGAGAACCAGTGGAATTCTGGCACAGACACACACATCTTCTTAAACTATACAATTAGGGAGTGAATAACCAGAGACTCAGTCAGTAGGCCCTACCATTCTAAGCCATTAAACACTGTATTTCTGAGGACTTAATTAGTAGGGACTTGTGGGTTGATTTTTAGGTACACTGGATTAGTTGTCTTTCGTTCTGAGTTTTTTGGGATTGGCTTAGGATGAAGCACAGAGATGCTGATGGAAAGAACATTGTTGTAGACAGTAGTTGGTGCCACATAGTGTTTCCTGGCTAGATGAATGGTTAGACCTCTGTGAGGCTGTCCTACATCGTTCACCTCTAAGGTGGGAAGAGTTCTAAGTTGGGAAGAGTTTGGCCACACTACTGTCCTGCCTTCTCTCTTTCTTGTGAGTTTTCCATATTAGACAATGGACAAATGACCTGTTAAAGGGTCTCGGTATTTATGAGTGTGATGATCTCATTGTAGGGAAAAAAATGTATTTTAAATAATTGAACACTTGAATGTTAATTGCTTATTGAATAGAGATGGCAATCAGAAGTCACATTATAACAAGAAATTAAATGCCTAAAAATATGTATCCCCAAATTTCTTATATTACGATGTTCAGCAGTTCTTGTAAATTCCTCACAACTTAGGACAGCATTAATTCACATATTCTACACTTCAGATCTACTGTGCTAAATGCTTATTACATAAAAGATGAACATAAAAGGGAAATCCAGTCTAAGATCAGTAACCTTCAAACCAGCTCTTGAGAAATTGAGGATTCTGAGTCAAGCAATTAAATGCTATTTAAAAGACTGTTAGATCTGTGATATGACATGGGTCTATTATGCATTGAAACTTTTTGTATTTCCTTTTATCCATCTCTGTTCATGTGCACCCTGTTTATAATATGTGCTCTATTGGAGGAACAAAAGAAAGCAGGAGGCGCTCCGCAGAGATTCTGTCATTCAGGTTGGGCACTTCCCTCATCATCAGATTCTGTGTTCATGAGGCCTGACTAGGTAGACCGCTCTGGGTGCCATCCTTGAAACAAAGCCTTCTTTATCTTTGGGTTTGATTTTTTTTTTTTTTTTAACAGAAACCTCAGAGGATCTGGGAAAGAACATCTTGCCATCCGCAAGCACAGAGCAAAGCGGAGATTTGAAACCATCCCCTGCTGACCCAGGCTCTGTGAGAGAAGACTCAGGCTTCATCTGCTGGAAGAAGGGGTGCAACCAGGTTTTCAAAACTTCTGCTGCCCTTCAGACGCATTTTAATGAAGTGCATGCCAAGAGGCCTCAGCTGCCGGTGTCAGATCGCCATGTGTACAAGTACCGCTGTAATCAGTGTAGCCTGGCCTTCAAGACCATTGAAAAGTTGCAGCTCCATTCTCAGTACCATGTGATCAGAGCTGCCACCATGTGCTGTCTTTGTCAGCGCAGTTTCCGAACTTTCCAGGCTCTGAAGAAGCACCTTGAGACAAGCCACCTGGAGCTGAGTGAGGCTGACATCCAACAGCTTTATGGTGGCCTGCTGGCCAATGGGGACCTCCTGGCAATGGGAGACCCCACTCTGGCAGAGGACCATACCATAATTGTTGAGGAAGACAAGGAGGAAGAGAGTGACTTGGAAGATAAACAGAGCCCAACGGGCAGTGACTCTGGGTCAGTACAAGAAGACTCGGGCTCAGAGCCAAAGAGAGCTCTGCCTTTCAGAAAAGGTCCCAATTTTACTATGGAAAAGTTCCTAGACCCTTCTCGCCCTTACAAGTGTACCGTCTGCAAGGAATCTTTCACTCAAAAGAATATCCTGCTAGTACACTACAATTCTGTCTCCCACCTGCATAAGTTAAAGAGAGCCCTTCAAGAATCAGCAACCGGTCAGCCAGAACCCACCAGCAGCCCAGACAACAAACCTTTTAAGTGTAACACTTGTAATGTGGCCTACAGCCAGAGTTCCACTCTGGAGATCCATATGAGGTCTGTGTTACATCAAACCAAGGCCCGGGCAGCCAAGCTGGAGGCTGCAAGTGGCAGCAGCAATGGGACTGGGAACAGCAGCAGTATTTCCTTGAGCTCCTCCACGCCAAGTCCTGTGAGCACCAGTGGCAGTAACACCTTTACCACCTCCAATCCAAGCAGTGCTGGCATTGCTCCAAGCTCTAACTTACTAAGCCAAGTGCCCACTGAGAGTGTAGGGATGCCACCCCTGGGGAATCCTATTGGTGCCAACATTGCTTCCCCTTCAGAGCCCAAAGAGGCCAATCGGAAGAAACTGGCAGATATGATTGCATCCAGGCAGCAGCAACAACAGCAGCAGCAACAGCAACAACAACAACAACAACAACAACAACAAGCACAAACGCTGGCCCAGGCCCAGGCTCAAGTTCAAGCTCACCTGCAGCAGGAGCTGCAGCAACAGGCTGCCCTGATCCAGTCTCAGCTGTTTAACCCCACCCTCCTTCCTCACTTCCCCATGACAACTGAGACCCTGCTGCAACTACAGCAGCAGCAGCACCTCCTCTTCCCTTTCTACATCCCCAGTGCTGAGTTCCAGCTTAACCCCGAGGTGAGCTTGCCAGTGACCAGTGGGGCACTGACACTGACTGGGACAGGCCCAGGCCTGCTGGAAGATCTGAAGGCTCAGGTTCAGGTCCCACAGCAGAGCCATCAGCAGATCTTGCCGCAGCAGCAGCAGAACCAACTCTCTATAGCCCAGAGTCACTCTGCCCTCCTTCAGCCAAGCCAGCACCCCGAAAAGAAGAACAAATTGGTCATCAAAGAAAAGGAAAAAGAAAGCCAGAGAGAGAGGGACAGCGCCGAGGGGGGAGAGGGCAACACCGGTCCGAAGGAAACACTGCCAGATGCCTTGAAGGCCAAAGAGAAGAAAGAGTTGGCACCAGGGGGTGGTTCTGAGCCTTCCATGCTCCCTCCACGCATTGCTTCAGATGCCAGAGGGAACGCCACCAAGGCCCTGCTGGAGAACTTTGGCTTTGAGTTGGTCATCCAGTATAATGAGAACAAGCAGAAGGTGCAGAAAAAGAATGGGAAGACTGACCAGGGAGAGAACCTGGAAAAGCTCGAGTGTGACTCCTGCGGCAAGTTGTTTTCCAACATCTTGATTTTAAAGAGTCATCAAGAGCACGTTCATCAGAATTACTTTCCTTTCAAACAGCTCGAGAGGTTTGCCAAACAGTACAGAGACCACTACGATAAACTGTACCCACTGAGGCCCCAGACCCCAGAGCCACCACCACCTCCCCCTCCACCCCCTCCACCCCCACTTCCGGCAGCGCCGCCTCAGCCGGCGTCCACACCAGCCATCCCCGCATCAGCCCCACCCATCACCTCACCTACAATTGCACCGGCCCAGCCATCAGTGCCGCTCACCCAGCTCTCCATGCCGATGGAGCTGCCCATCTTCTCGCCGCTGATGATGCAGACGATGCCGCTGCAGACCTTGCCGGCTCAGCTACCCCCGCAGCTGGGACCTGTGGAGCCTCTGCCTGCGGACCTGGCCCAACTCTACCAGCATCAGCTCAATCCAAC
This sequence comes from Homo sapiens, assembly GCF_000001405.40. Taxonomy (NCBI): domain Eukaryota; kingdom Metazoa; phylum Chordata; class Mammalia; order Primates; family Hominidae; genus Homo; species Homo sapiens. Next base: position 72,796,265 of record NC_000016.10, on the reverse strand, counting down.
CCTGCTCCAGCAGCAGAACAAGAGGCCTCGCACCAGGATCACAGATGATCAGCTCCGAGTCTTGCGGCAATATTTTGACATTAACAACTCCCCCAGTGAAGAGCAAATAAAAGAGATGGCAGACAAGTCCGGGTTGCCCCAGAAAGTGATCAAGCACTGGTTCAGGAACACTCTCTTCAAAGAGAGGCAGCGTAACAAGGACTCCCCTTACAACTTCAGTAATCCTCCTATCACCAGCCTGGAGGAGCTCAAGATTGACTCCCGGCCCCCTTCGCCGGAACCTCCAAAGCAGGAGTACTGGGGAAGCAAGAGGTCTTCAAGAACAAGGTTTACGGACTACCAGCTGAGGGTCTTACAGGACTTCTTCGATGCCAATGCTTACCCAAAGGATGATGAATTTGAGCAACTCTCTAATTTACTGAACCTTCCAACCCGAGTGATAGTGGTGTGGTTTCAGAATGCCCGACAGAAGGCCAGGAAGAATTATGAGAATCAGGGAGAGGGCAAAGATGGAGAGCGGCGTGAGCTTACAAATGATAGATACATTCGAACAAGCAACTTGAACTACCAGTGCAAAAAATGTAGCCTGGTGTTTCAGCGCATCTTTGATCTCATCAAGCACCAGAAGAAGCTGTGTTACAAGGATGAGGATGAGGAGGGGCAGGACGACAGCCAAAATGAGGATTCCATGGATGCCATGGAAATCCTGACGCCTACCAGCTCATCCTGCAGTACCCCGATGCCCTCACAGGCTTACAGCGCCCCAGCACCATCAGCCAATAATACAGCTTCCTCCGCTTTCTTGCAGCTTACAGCGGAGGCTGAGGAACTGGCCACCTTCAATTCAAAAACAGAGGCAGGCGATGAGAAACCAAAGCTGGCGGAAGCTCCCAGTGCACAGCCAAACCAAACCCAAGAAAAGCAAGGACAACCAAAGCCAGAGCTGCAGCAGCAAGAGCAGCCCGAGCAGAAGACCAACACTCCCCAGCAGAAGCTCCCCCAGCTGGTGTCCCTGCCTTCGTTGCCACAGCCTCCTCCACAAGCGCCCCCTCCACAGTGCCCCTTACCCCAGTCGAGCCCCAGTCCTTCCCAGCTCTCCCACCTGCCCCTCAAGCCCCTCCACACATCAACTCCTCAACAGCTCGCAAACCTACCTCCTCAGCTAATCCCCTACCAGTGTGACCAGTGTAAGTTGGCATTTCCGTCATTTGAGCACTGGCAGGAGCATCAGCAGCTCCACTTCCTGAGCGCGCAGAACCAGTTCATCCACCCCCAGTTTTTGGACAGGTCCCTGGATATGCCTTTCATGCTCTTTGATCCCAGTAACCCACTCCTGGCCAGCCAGCTGCTCTCTGGGGCCATACCTCAGATTCCAGCAAGCTCAGCCACTTCTCCTTCAACTCCAACCTCCACAATGAACACTCTCAAGAGGAAGCTGGAGGAAAAGGCCAGTGCAAGCCCTGGCGAAAACGACAGTGGGACAGGAGGAGAAGAGCCTCAGAGAGACAAGCGTTTGAGAACAACCATCACACCGGAACAACTAGAAATTCTCTACCAGAAGTATCTACTGGATTCCAATCCGACTCGAAAGATGTTGGATCACATTGCACACGAGGTGGGCTTGAAGAAACGTGTGGTACAAGTCTGGTTTCAGAACACCCGAGCTCGGGAAAGGAAAGGACAGTTCCGGGCTGTAGGCCCAGCGCAGGCCCACAGGAGATGCCCTTTTTGCAGAGCGCTCTTCAAAGCCAAGACTGCTCTTGAGGCTCATATCCGGTCCCGTCACTGGCATGAAGCCAAGAGAGCTGGCTACAACCTAACTCTGTCTGCGATGCTCTTAGACTGTGATGGGGGACTCCAGATGAAAGGAGATATTTTTGACGGAACTAGCTTTTCCCACCTACCCCCAAGCAGTAGTGATGGTCAGGGTGTCCCCCTCTCACCTGTGAGTAAAACCATGGAATTGTCACCCAGAACTCTTCTAAGCCCTTCCTCCATTAAGGTGGAAGGGATTGAAGACTTTGAAAGCCCCTCCATGTCCTCAGTTAATCTAAACTTTGACCAAACTAAGCTGGACAACGATGACTGTTCCTCTGTCAACACAGCAATCACAGATACCACAACTGGAGACGAGGGCAACGCAGATAACGACAGTGCAACGGGAATAGCAACTGAAACCAAATCCTCTTCTGCACCCAACGAAGGGTTGACCAAAGCGGCCATGATGGCAATGTCTGAGTATGAAGATCGGTTGTCATCTGGTCTGGTCAGCCCGGCCCCGAGCTTTTATAGCAAGGAATATGACAATGAAGGTACAGTGGACTACAGTGAAACCTCAAGCCTTGCAGATCCCTGCTCCCCGAGTCCTGGTGCGAGTGGATCTGCAGGCAAATCTGGTGACAGCGGAGATCGGCCTGGGCAGAAACGTTTTCGCACTCAAATGACCAATCTGCAGCTGAAGGTCCTCAAGTCATGCTTTAATGACTACAGGACACCCACTATGCTAGAATGTGAGGTCCTGGGCAATGACATTGGACTGCCAAAGAGAGTCGTTCAGGTCTGGTTCCAGAATGCCCGGGCAAAAGAAAAGAAGTCCAAGTTAAGCATGGCCAAGCATTTTGGTATAAACCAAACGAGTTATGAGGGACCCAAAACAGAGTGCACTTTGTGTGGCATCAAGTACAGCGCTCGGCTGTCTGTACGTGACCATATCTTTTCCCAACAGCATATCTCCAAAGTTAAAGACACCATTGGAAGCCAGCTGGACAAGGAGAAAGAATACTTTGACCCAGCCACCGTACGTCAGTTGATGGCTCAACAAGAGTTGGACCGGATTAAAAAGGCCAACGAGGTCCTTGGACTGGCAGCTCAGCAGCAAGGGATGTTTGACAACACCCCTCTTCAGGCCCTTAACCTTCCTACAGCATATCCAGCGCTCCAGGGCATTCCTCCTGTGTTGCTCCCGGGCCTCAACAGCCCCTCCTTGCCAGGCTTTACTCCATCCAACACAGGTGGGTTCTGCTCTAGGCGATTGTTTCAGGGCTAAATAGCTGCCCAGTCAGCATTCTGTTATGTGGATACCACCCAAACCCTCTGAGTGCTGGGCAGATGGGAAGCTTACCTTTCTAGTTCTTTAAAAGCAACAAGACTTCAGTTCGTTCCTGTTGAGTCTCCCAAGTACTGGTGTGTCAGGGATGGGACCTCCTGGTCGGAACAGTCTCCTTTGAAACCACTCTTATCCCCTATAATAGGGAAAAACTTGAGGGTCCTGGCATACTAATTTCTGGAATATTTCAAGAAACAAGTTTTTATCATAGACCCTTTCATTCAGTCCTTGTGGAAATGCTGATCCTGTCTAGATATTTGTTGTAAATATAAGACACCTGAGTTAGTCCTAGCTAATTCTGGATTATGCCCTAAGAAAACTGGTCCAAGAGCATTTAAATCAACTCTTTGCCCTCACCTGGGGTCCCTGCCTTCTTGAGAGAGCTACGGTGGCAAAAGAACTGCTATCAGGGCCGGGTGCAGTGGTTCATGCCTGTAATCCCAGCACTTTGGGAGGCCGAGGCGGGCAGATCACAAGGTCAGGAAATCGAGACCAGCCTGGCCAACATGGTGAAACCCCATCTCTACTAAAAATACAAAAATTACCCAAGTGTGGTGGTATGCACCTATAGTCCCAGCTATTCGGGAGGCTGAGGCAGGAGAATCGCTTGAACCCTGGAGGCAGACAGTGGTTTGAGATTGTGCCACTGCACTCCAGCCTGGGTGACACAGCGAGACTGTCTCAAAAAAAGAAAAAAAAAAGAACTACCAGAAGGTCTTATGTGGTAGATCCTTAATGTTGGGGTTCTCTTCTAGCCAGAACAATAGTGGCTGTTTTTAACAAGATGGCCGTTCTACTTGAGTGCACTGACCAGGAATCTTGTATTGGGCAATGTGGTTCTGTTAAAATACTGATGCACATTTCAGAGGTCCTCAGTCACCTCTTTTTTTTCCTTTTGCCCATTTCCTTTTCCTTGCTCCTGATCACTGAGAATCATACATATTTGTTGCTCTTATAGTCTCACTTAATAGGGAGTTTTGCAGTTCTTCCTACATACTTCTCTTGTTTCTCCTTCTCTGTCCTCACATCTTCTCTGGATCCAGCCATCTTTGCTAAATTGGACCTTCACCTCCAGGGTCCTGTTAGGCTTAGACATAAGTCTGCAAATTCCCCCCACAATGGCCTGAATTGATTAGTTCCAGTTCACCAAAGGAGAACCCCTCCTAATGCTACCTTGCCTTCAAAATGTGTCCCTGTTCCCAGGGGTTAAAGCAGCTGTGCTGCTTCCCACAGCAATCTTAGTTTCTGGTTGAATTAGTTCCACATTTTACACTTTGAGTGGTGTTTTACCAAACATAAGGCCACTGCATTCCTGGTCCCCATTTCTTATTCAAAGAGAATAAGAAAAGAAAGCATTAAGACATAGAAGTTGTTGCTTATATGTGTTGACAAGTCATGTCACAGAAAGCCAGCTAGACATAAGCCAGGAAAACAAACTATGGAAAATAGAGAAGCATTTAATTACCCCTGCAGCCCAGGACCCTGGCAGAGGGGCTTGGGAAGGCTTAACACATCATAGTAATGTGAAAAAAAAGTAGAATCAGAATGTATGATTTATTCCGCTTGTTTTACAGATGAGAAATCTGAGGGCCAGAGAGGTCAAGACCATTCAACAAGCTAGGGTAGGAGCCAGAGCTTCCACCCAGGCCTCTGGGCTCCCAGGTGCTATGTGCTCCTTCCACAACACCCAATATGAGCCAGTCAGTCAACAGGTATATGTTTAGTGCTACTCAAGTTCTGACCACTTAGAGTGGACTCGAGATAGAAAGATAAGCTCTTATTTATTCAGGGCAGCAGACATGCCCCAGTTATCATCACCTGACCGTAACACAGTTCTCAAAAACACCGGATCTGGAATGGGAGGGAAGGAACAAACTTGTGTTTATTAAACATCTATTATATGTCAGGCCCAATGCTAAGCTTTTTCTATCAATGTGGTCTTTCATTTAATCCTCATAACCATCTGTTATGGAAAGCTGAGGTTCCAAGAGTTCAACCGAAAGTCCCAGGGTCACACGTCTGATGTGTGTGACCATAATCCCACAGGGTCAGTGTGACTCCAGATTTGTAGGAGTAAGTCTAGGGGGGATGAAGTACCTTGCCTGATTCTGATCTTACAGATCAGAAAAAGGATGTCACAGAGTTGTGAGTGTGTTGAGCTACTGTGTCTAGCATGGCTAGTGCAAGGCTTGGTAAATAGTAGAGATTCGTAAACGTTTCTTAAAATTTGAACCTCTTATATAGACCATCAGTTGAAGACACACAGTTTAAGGCTTTTTGACCTGAATCTTTCTCCTAGAAGTCTGGAGCCATGGGGATGGGGAAATCTCTAAATATTCCTTCCTTGCCCCACTGAGAGCAGACCCATTGCCTAGTGGAGACAGAGCCATGTCCCAAGTTTAGAACTCATAATCTACTCTGTCTTGTTTGTGCCAATTTAACCAACAAGTCTTTACTAAGCTTTTCTGAGTAGAGTCACACATATCTTCTCTGGTGTCTTATGTGCACTGAGGACACTGCATGATGAGATGCTGAAGGAACCTTTCTCCTTGGCTATCCAGTATTAACAGCTGTTTGTCTGGGATTGGCAATTTGAAGCAGTCTTGTTCTTTTCGTCTGAAATCTGAGGGTTTTGATGGTGAACACTACCATGATAGCCAGAAATCTGCAGTCTTCCCCCAAGTCTGGGCTTCAGAGTGCTTTTTCTTGCTTTTTTTTCCTCAGTGTCATGTTATGGAACTCCTTCCCCAGCTTTCCAGCAGGTGAGGTCCAGATGAAGTAAGATTTTGATTTTGCATTTTGGTGTCCTCTGAAGAGATGTATATACCATCAAGTTTCTTGGATATGGTGAATATAGAGGTGTTCTGAGAGCTGTTGCCTGTGGGATCCTCCTCTTTGTTTTCTCAGCTTTTCATCGTCCAGCACACACTGCACCCCACCCCCATGCTGTCCTTACCTACTATCTTGCTAGTCTCAACACACCTGAAGCTTGGAGTACCATCCGTAGCAACACCCTCTTGCATTACCTTGGACCTGGTGACTCAAACCAGGAGATAGCTATGGGTCAGGGAGGGTATTAGGCTCTCGGGTTGGTGAAGGCGTTGCAGGGAGTGGTGGTAGATTAGGGGTATGATCAAGGATGGGATTCTAGCCCATGAGGGCCTGGTGATATGGTCAGACCTTTGCTATCCATAGGCAGTGGTGCTTCGGGTAGGTTGTGATGTCTTGGGAATTGGTGTCAGTATCTTGGGCTATTCCACTTCTGACATGGCTTTTCTGCTTTTCCTGCGGTTGTTTCTCAACCATCTACAGTCCCACTGGCCCTCCTGTGTATCATTCAAACAGGGGCAGGAAAAGAAGATGGTCGTTTCTCCCGCAGATTCCAGATTCCTATTCCTAGGCGGTTATACTGTTGAGTAGACTTGTTGAAGCAGGTCAGCTGGGCCAAGGCATGGAAGCAATTTTCCCTGAATGGATTGTTCTTATTTCTTCCCAGGCCCTTCCTCCACACTTTCCTATTCATCATCTTCTCTCTACCCTCCGAAAGCATCCAGTCAGCTGCAGCAACAGAGGTCAGAGAGGAGGAACACCTGTAGAGCCTGTTTTGTTTTTGTTCATGTGGCCGTGCTAGCTTTCTTGCCTTCGTTCTCTCTTCTCCTGTTGCCGCTCTCCTCCAGATAACTTCTCTGGGGACCTCGTGGCCATACTATTTTTGTGATGAAGGCCTTTGGTGCAAATGGGCCCCAGCTAGAAACAGCTAGCTTTGGGGCCTCTAGACTAATTGCAGTTGGGCAGAGTGAATGGTAGCTGGGAGTACTTGGCAAAGAAAATGTGAACTAGCGGGTGTGGCACATTGGGCAGGAAGGTGTTGGAAGTTGTTTGGCTGGAAGGGGAAGTATGGGAGCTAGCCAGGACTGAATCTTCATTAGAATACAAGGTTGTCCAGCCCTGAGCCTGGTGGGATACTTCTGGAAGTTGTTTGGCTGAAAGGGGAAGTATGGGAGCTGACCTAGGACTGAGTCCTCATTAGAATACAAGGTTGTCCAGCTCTGAGCCTGGTGGGATACTTCTGGAAGTTGTTTGGCTGAAAGGGGAAGTATGGGAGCTGACCTAGGACTGAGTCCTCATTAGAATACAAGGTTGTCCAGCCCTGAGCCTGGTGGGATACTTCTGTTGGAAATGTTCGTTTTGAGAGGATCCTTCAAGCCTTGACATCTCAAACTGTGTGCCAGTGACACCGGTAAAACGTCTTGAGCTTCAGCCCTACCCCTGCCCAGACTGACCGGTGATTTCTGTCTCCATTCCTTTCAGCTTTAACGTCTCCTAAGCCGAACTTGATGGGTCTGCCCAGCACAACTGTTCCTTCCCCTGGCCTCCCCACTTCTGGATTACCAAATAAACCGTCCTCAGCGTCGCTGAGCTCCCCAACCCCAGCACAAGCCACGATGGCGATGGGCCCTCAGCAACCCCCCCAGCAGCAGCAGCAGCAGCAGCAACCACAGGTGCAGCAGCCTCCCCCGCCGCCAGCAGCCCAGCCGCCACCCACACCACAGCTCCCACTGCAACAGCAGCAGCAACGCAAGGACAAAGACAGTGAGAAAGTAAAGGAGAAGGAAAAGGCACACAAAGGGAAAGGGGAACCCCTGCCTGTCCCCAAGAAGGAGAAAGGAGAGGCCCCCACGGCAACTGCAGCCACGATCTCAGCCCCGCTGCCCACCATGGAGTATGCGGTAGACCCTGCACAGCTGCAGGCCCTGCAGGCCGCGTTGACTTCGGACCCCACAGCATTGCTCACAAGCCAGTTCCTTCCTTACTTTGTACCAGGCTTTTCTCCTTATTATGCTCCCCAGATCCCTGGCGCCCTGCAGAGCGGGTACCTGCAGCCTATGTATGGCATGGAAGGCCTGTTCCCCTACAGCCCTGCACTGTCGCAGGCCCTGATGGGGCTGTCCCCAGGCTCCCTACTGCAGCAGTACCAGCAATACCAGCAGAGTCTGCAGGAGGCAATTCAGCAGCAGCAGCAGCGGCAACTACAGCAGCAGCAGCAGCAAAAAGTGCAGCAGCAGCAGCCCAAAGCAAGCCAAACCCCAGTCCCCCCCGGGGCTCCTTCCCCAGACAAAGACCCTGCCAAAGAATCCCCCAAACCAGAAGAACAGAAAAACACCCCCCGTGAGGTGTCCCCCCTCCTGCCGAAACTCCCTGAAGAGCCAGAAGCAGAAAGCAAAAGTGCGGACTCCCTCTACGACCCCTTCATTGTTCCAAAGGTGCAGTACAAGTTGGTCTGCCGCAAGTGCCAGGCGGGCTTCAGCGACGAGGAGGCAGCGAGGAGCCACCTGAAGTCCCTCTGCTTCTTCGGCCAGTCTGTGGTGAACCTGCAAGAGATGGTGCTTCACGTCCCCACCGGCGGCGGCGGCGGTGGCAGTGGCGGCGGCGGCGGCGGTGGCGGCGGCGGCGGCGGCGGCGGCTCGTACCACTGCCTGGCGTGCGAGAGCGCGCTCTGTGGGGAGGAAGCTCTGAGTCAACATCTCGAGTCGGCCTTGCACAAACACAGAACAATCACGAGAGCAGCAAGAAACGCCAAAGAGCACCCTAGTTTATTACCTCACTCTGCCTGCTTCCCCGATCCTAGCACCGCATCTACCTCGCAGTCTGCCGCTCACTCAAACGACAGCCCCCCTCCCCCGTCGGCCGCCGCCCCCTCCTCCGCTTCCCCCCACGCCTCCAGGAAGTCTTGGCCGCAAGTGGTCTCCCGGGCTTCGGCAGCGAAGCCCCCTTCTTTTCCTCCTCTCTCCTCATCTTCAACGGTTACCTCAAGTTCATGCAGCACCTCAGGGGTTCAGCCCTCGATGCCAACAGACGACTATTCGGAGGAGTCTGACACGGATCTCAGCCAAAAGTCCGACGGACCGGCGAGCCCGGTGGAGGGTCCCAAAGACCCCAGCTGCCCCAAGGACAGTGGTCTGACCAGTGTAGGAACGGACACCTTCAGATTGTAAGCTTTGAAGATGAACAATACAAACAAATGAATTTAAATACAAAAATTAATAACAAACCAATTTCAAAAATAGACTAACTGCAATTCCAAAGCTTCTAACCAAAAAACAAAAAAAAAAAAAAAAAGAAAAAAAAGAAAAAGCGTGGGTTGTTTTCCCATATACCTATCTATGCCGGTGATTTTACATTCTTGTCTTTTTCTTTTCTTTTAATATTAAAAAAAAAAAAAAAGCCCTAACCCTGTTACATTGTGTCCTTTTGAAGGTACTATTGGTCTGGGAAACAGAAGTCCGCAGGGCCTCCCTAATGTCTTTGGAGCTTAAACCCCTTGTATATTTGCCCCTTTTCAATAAACGCCCCACGCTGATAGCACAGAGGAGCCCGGCATGCACTGTATGGGAAAGCAGTCCACCTTGTTACAGTTTTAAATTTCTTGCTATCTTAGCATTCAGATACCAATGGCTTGCTAAAAGAAAAAAAGAAATGTAATGTCTTTTTATTCTCAGGTCAATCGCTCACACTTTGTTTTCAGAATCATTGTTTTATATATTATTGTTTTTTCAGTTTTTTTTTTTTTTTTTGTTCCAGAAAAGATTTTTTGTTTTGTTAACTTAAAAATGGGCAGAAAGTATTCAAGAAAAACAATGTGAACTGCTTTAGCTTTCTGGGGATTTTTAAGGATAGCTTTTCTGCTGAAGCCAATTTCAAGGGGAAAAGTTAAGCACTCCCACTTTCAAAAAAAAAAAAAAATAATAACCCACACACACAAAGAGTGTTGAGGACTTGTAGCTTAAAAAAAATAAGTTTTAAAAACTGACTTTCTGTATTTATGATAGATATGACCATTTTTGGTGTTGAGTAGATTGTTGCATTGGAAATGAACTGAAGCAGTATGGTAGATTTAAAAGGAAAAAAAAAAAAAAACCTTTTGTGTACATTTAGCTTTTTGTATGGTCCAGCTGACAGCTCCTCATTTGATGTTGTCTTGTTCATTCCTAGCAGATGATAGATTGCAATCCGTTGATTCGCCTAAGCTTTTCTCCCCTTGTCCCTTAATTCCACTTTCTCTTTCTTGTCCCTTAATTCCACTTTCTCTTTCCTTCTCCCACCTCCCGTCCTATAATCTCCCACTTAAGGTAGCTGCCTTCATTTCTTAGAGGGAGCTGCAGAATTATTTTATAAAACTAAAGAAAGAATTTCAAGGGATTCTAGGGGTCATTAGGATCCTCACAGATTATTTTTGGTTGGGGAGTTGAAACTTTTTAAAGGCATATAATTCTAGTTACCTGTGTCTGTTAGCTTTGTGCATTTATTTTTTATTTATCCTTCTTTTGGCTTTTTTTTCTTTGTACCCCTTCTTTTCCTCCTTGTTTGGTAGGAGCTTCAAATATTCTTTTTTTTTCTATACTAAAGGATTTGTTTCCATTTGTGTAATTGGCTGTGTACTTTTCTTTTCTAAAAAAAGTTTTTGGTTAGGGATTTGGTTTTTGGTTTTGTGTTTGTTTTTTCTTTCCTCTCTCAGAAAAAAAAATTTCATGCTTTAAATAAAATCCAAAGACACACCCTTTCACTGCTGATGCAGAAAAAAGGGAAAGGGTTCTTGTTACTTGAGAATTTGTTTCTGATTTAAACAAACAAGACTTAGTTTAATAAAAGAAAGAGAAAAACAAAAGATTCCCAGGTTGTTATGTGCTTCTTCTGCAAGCAGAGAGGCAAATGTTAATGACAATTCCATATACCAAAAGACACATTTTTTACTTCAAAGTTTTGTCCTTGTGTTAGGCAGTCTGAGCAGCGAGTGATCCAGAGCGCAGCCAACAAAGCAGCAGATAGCAGTGTACAGAAAGCAAAAAAGGAACTGTATGTGAGGCACTTGTTTCTGTTAATATCCATATTCCTGTTAACACACACCCTTTCTCATGTAAAAAGAAAAATAAATAAATGGTCTGAACTTTGAAAACTTTGTGCTGCTAAAACATAGATTTTGGAGACAAATAAATAGATGCTTTGCTGTTTCACTTTCATAGCTAAACATCAACAGAAACCATCTCCCCTTGCCCCCAAAGTGTGAAATCCTTCTTCCCTTCGTTTTCTTCCTTATGTTTCAAAAGGGAACTTTGAAGACTGTGAATACAGGTTCCATTGGTCACCTTTCGGGCTTCTTTCCCCAGTGCTGAAGCCACTCATCGACTTTGCAAAAGACTGGAGCATTCCAAGATCTGAAAATGGATTTTTTTTCTTTTTTTCTTTTTTAGCCGGGACTATTTTATTTTTATGAATTTGTTTTTAGTTTAATGAAATAGTAGATCCTGAAATGTTGTACATATTTCTAACTAGGCTGATGCACAGTGCAAATTCCTTTTTTAATTGTTTTTTTTAAGTAGAAATACTAAAGAAAGAATACCATCTAACTATTCATACCAGTATCCAGTTGTAGCATAAGGTGTCAAAAGCAAGTACGCAAAACATTTACTGTTTTAACAAGCTATTTCCTTTTAACAAGAAATCTTGTATTTCTTCCTGTGTTTGAGATGAACATTTTTAAATTTTAAAGTTGTACAGTTTTTTGTTTTCCATTATTTTATCTTGTTTGTAACTCTATGAAATATATATATATATATTTTTTGCCATTTAACTGTTGTATGTTACTCTGTGTCTGTACCATATAGAAAAAAAATTGTTTTTGTTTTTGGTTCTCTATGTGATATCAGTTAACAATGTAACACTAGCTTTACCTGTCAAATTCTGCTAGGTCTTCTCTGAAAACGTTGTTTTTAAAAATGATATTGCTTGGTAATAGTGCAATTTCTATCCTTTTCCCTCCCCCCTCAACTTTTAAGTTCTTTTCTTTATAATTTTGCTGCCCCCTCCCTGATGGTTTGGGTTTTTGTTTTTGTTTTTGTTTTTTTTTTTCATGGAGCTACTATGCCATCCTCCCTCTGTGAGGCAGAGTGACTGTCAGTGTTTTGTTATGCCATGCCTTGAGCTGTGGGTGTTTGGCGACAATAAGGTGGTTGAATAGATTGGCTGAGCACACTTCCACCCACCTAGTGTTCTCAGAGGGGTTATGTGATTGTTTCAACCTGGAGTGGGTTGCACCCTTAATGCTTTCCTCTGCAACTAAACCGCCCACATATATGTTCATTGAAAAAAGTAAGAATAATTCTCAGCACTAACCCAGAAGTAGCAAAGCAGTCAGTGATGGTGAACATTAGAGGTCAAACATGAGTTAGATGTTTGTGGGCTGACAGCCATCGTGGCTATGACCAGTACTATTTACAAAGCATGAATTCACTACAATGCTCAACTGTTTGTTTAGCTTTATCTCACTTGGGGAATTTATTCCTGTCTGCTGCATTGTAGGTAGCTGGGTAGGATATATTTCCACTTGCTTTTTAAATTAGTTCTTCACCTCCATTGACACTCGTTTTTTGGTTTTCTCCCTATAGTGTGGGTTGGTGCTAGACACCAGTCTGACCCACAGAATGGGAGTTATTTCATCCATCTTTCCTCCATCCTTCCAAAAACCACATATCTACACAAGGAAAAATTTAATACATCTAGGAATTTTTTTTTTAATTACAAGCTATTTAAAGAGATGAATGTGGCCAAAGTTTTACACAATTGAAAATAAAGTAAAACAGACGGCATGTGTTTAAACCTGAGTTTATCAGGCATGGCAGGAAGTTGCAGGAGAGAGAGGCAGTGACCCAAGCCAGTGCACTTGATGTTCATGGACATATATTTTTTTTAAATAATAAATTAAAACATTTTAAATAGAAGCATAAATTGAGTTGTTTGTTGGCGCTGAGATACTGCCCACTGTGAAACAAAGCTTTGACTAGTTTTTTGTTTGTTTACTTTCTTCAGGGGGGAGGGGGGCAAGTTTGGGTAGGAAAGAAAGCATAAATGAACGTGACCCTGAGGTGAAGAGGTATATGAACAGCCTTTGCAATGTACAAAAAGAAAAAAAAACAAAAAACAACAAAAAAAATAGAGCAAGTGAAACCAAAAATGATGTTCTTGGTGTTTTTCTATAATGTAGTCTTGTTAGCTTTTTTGTTACTGTAACAATGCTGATCTCGAACTGTACCAAAATACATGGAGACTAACAAACAGAACCACATGGAACTTTCAAACTGAAAAAAAAATTTGTCACAAAAACTTTGTTGTCATAGTTAAGTTGATTGTAGATGGTAATTGAATATACTCCTTTGAAAATATTTCATCAAGTATGTTTCCTGCTCATTGTGATACATTAAAAAAAAAATATGAGCAAAAGCTCCTGTCTCTGTTACCACATTTGTGCACATGCATGTGTGTGTGCAGGAGAGAGAGGCTGATGGCTGGCAAAGTATAAATGTGAATACCTTGAGGTTGTGTGTGCAGGGAGTACTTATCCCAAGGTACAAAAGGATGTACACGAGCCCTTTAGTGTTTCTAAAGACGCTTGTATTTCCCATCTCCTGGGGCTCATGAATGTCAGAAGTTTGGGCCATGATGCCGTCTGCGTTTCTTCATTGGGAGGGGTGAGTCTGATATCTTGGACGATATTTGGCCCTAGAGTGCCCTAATAGCAACTAGATTTTTAATTCAAATATTTATATGAAAGTTTTTGATGCTTGACACAATTGCAGGCAAAAAAGTTTTACTGATTGATAGCCATGAGAAAGGTAGGTTCAACTTTTTTGAAATGGGAATTGGATCTAGTGTTTATGACAGAAAGATATGAACGGTAAGTTGAACTAATGGATAACTGACTACATTTACCTGTCCTAGCAAAAGACTTTTCTAAACCTCTGTTAGAGCAGAATTTGAGAGGCCCAGTCTGCACAACAGCAGTATCAGTAATGTCTGCATACAAGAGATGATTCAGTCCTCTTACAAAAACCCTCCCCTACCACAGCAAATGCTTGAACTTCATTAATAAGGAATGCCTCCAAGATCAGGCCTGAAGACCTTCCATTCATCTCTAATTTATAGCCACAGCTAATAAATACTTTACTTTACTTTTAAAACTTTAGCGGGTGGGCCTAGATGACATTGCAGACTGGCTATGTCCTTGCAAGGTCTACAGCACCTGCCCTCCGTCAAAAGGAGTATTTTCTTCCCCAGGAGTTGAGCTACAAAATCCTCTTCTATTGGCTCAGCCAGCCATTTTTCTTAGTTTCTGCAGCAGGCATTCAAAAAGTAGTGACCCTATTAACTCAAATTTTAAAAGAATTCTACAACTGACACTGGCATTACTAGTGCTCAGGGAGTTCCCTGGCCAGCGCTGGAACCTCTATGTCAAACAGGTATTGTCACTGTCCCTAATGAAATCCAGTCTTTCCCCAAGCGTTGTACCTTTCTTTTCGGTGTTCCTGCAGAAGTGGATGGCTTCAATCTCGGTATGTTTTCTTGACACCCAGTTAACGTTGCTGATCTCTCTTCCCACCCTGTGAAAAGGTACAGTGGGATAAAACTTGTTGAGACCCAAAGCCACGTCTGCCTTTCTAAACTATAATTATTTTAGGATCTGGCAGGATTGCATTGAAACATTTTAAATGGAACTAGTTTTGCAGAGAGGTGTTGCTGCTTCAGCTCTTTGGAGGAAGGTGACTACAATTCAAATTCTCCTACAGATAAATTTCTAACAAGAAAATAAGACAAAACTTTATTGATGGTTGAGCCCTTTGTATCAGAGAATCTCTGAACACCTAAGTTACATTAAGGAAGGGCTGGGTAAAAGACTGAAGCTCTTTCTGTTACTGGAAAATCTGTTTTTCTTAAGGGAAAAGAAGTCTTCCAGTCTGGCTTCAGTATCATCCTCATATGGATGAATTAATGGCTTTCTCTCCCTTGGAAAATGAAATGGCACTATCTGAAAATGGCAGATATGTGTTAGGTAGCTGTTTCTAATTCTGCTTTAAAGAAACGTCTGTAGCGCCTAACCCCTCCCTGTTACAGACTAATGACCTTCCAAACCTTACTTTTAACAAGTTTAGACTTTAAGTTACAAGAGCACATGCAGTTTAAGAGTCAAGTTGAAGGATGAGAATTTTGCACCTGCTGCTCTGCTCTGCAGCCTTACAGAGTGTGCAGCAGGACAGATGTGCTCACTCAGCCTCTGTACATTACTGCTGGGGATGAAACAGCCAAGGTTCTGGAAAAACTTGCAAAGAAATAAGTGCTCTCAGAACCACTGAGGAAGAGGCAGTTTTCCATTCCTTACTTCATGATGAAGGTAGGTATTTTCCTTCCCTCCTTGTTTCATTCTTTTCTTAAACTAGAGGCATCTGTTTTTAGGATTCCTAGTCAGTAAGCTTGGGTTCCTCTGAATCTGTCTTCTTGAGTTTTTAAATTACAAGCAACATAAATAAATTTGCTTTTGATCCTTTATGTATGTTCACTTCTTATTCTATGTAGAAGAGATGAACAAAGAGGCTATTTAATTAAACTTTTCAATCCCTTATTAACATGGGAATGAAAAATCTCGGATAAACTGTTTTAATTTTGGGCCAAGATCCCTTGGCCTGAGAAGTGAGTGCTGAGCAGTAACTAATAGTAACAATGGAGAAAGGCAGCGGGGGCTATTCTCTACCTCTGCAATGTTCACAGCTTTTTTTTTTTAACATCATTCTTCCTTGCCTTCCTACTTAATACACTACTCTCCTACGCCCTCTCATACATTGCTGCTCTTTTAATTCCTGTGTATGCCTTATATTTGCATAACACTTGTAAAAATATTTTGTAAAATTACATACTTCTTGTTTGTTCCTCAAATGATCTGTAAGGTAGACAAGGTGGGTGACATTTATCCCCAGTATTCAGGATAGTGAGGTAATGAGGGGAGAAGGCACTAACCAGGTGTTTAGCCTTCATCCAGTGCTCTTCCCCCATCACACTATTTCTTGAGAGACTACAGAAGAGTGAGAGTAGGGGCTCCAGAGTCAGACTGACAGGTTTCAAATTCTGGCTCCATCATGGTGACCTTGATTTAGCTATTTATTCCCACTGTGAAATGAGGGTAATGGTACCTGTTTCATAGAGTTGTGAATTTTAAATAAATTAATATACGTAAAATGCTTAGGACACCACCTGGTACATACTAAGTGCTAAAAATCGGCTGTTACTATCAGTCATTATGACCTCTCCACCTCTCCTTTCTGTAGGCCCCTTGGAACTGCTGCTTTCTAAACTTGGCTTTCCTTCACAGAGGTTTGGGAACTGCAGCTGTAAAGTTAAGTGCCATCAAGCCTCTGTCATACATTTATTTCTGACATTTTCCTGTCTATACATATATCAGAGGGTGCAGAGATCCTTTAGGAGGTTTCTGCTCACGAGTTGTACAGGAGTATGGTATAGGAGTTTGGGTTATAGTATTTCAATGCCCACCAGTAGTAATTAATTTGGACATGAGGAAAAGATGGCTTGTAGTTTGCTTTTGTTTCCAAGACAATATGTATGTCTGCTTCACCATGCCTTGAAAGATGAGCCCCTTAGATGTACGGGGTTACAGAATAGGGAAAACAGAATATGCTGTGACAGTTTGCCCACTACCTGATTTGAGGTGGTTCAGATGTGCAAGTTGAGAAGTGTAGCATCTGAAATGAGACTCCGCATGAATTAATTGTAGGTGAAACAAAATTGAAAGGGGAACACATGCAAAAGAATGCAGCAAGAGGATCTCTTCACCCCTAGACCCAGGAAGAGGTTTTTAAAATACTATTATTGGAGTAAGCTGCAAAATAAATATTTAAAAGACGCATGGAAAAAAAAATGGGTAAAAACTAAATCAGCAGAGAGAAAAGACTCAATTAGAGTGTTTCTATGATAGCCTCTGCAGGTAAGAACTCATCAAGCTTTAGGATACAGGCTTTAGGAGGCCCTATCTGTGAACTTTGTCTATTTTTAATCAGAACAAGGATGGCCTCAGAAAGAAAGTTGCCAATATTGATATCAGAGGGCTAGTAAAGACCTCTTTACTAGAGAATGACTGGTGGGTGATTTTTCTTTTTCTCTGAGGATAACAACCCATAAATGTAGCTTTGTCATACTGCCTGTAGATAGGACATCGTCATACAGTGTCTTTGTTACATGGTTGTAAGTTTGACACTTTGAACAGTTAGCAAAGTGTGATTTGTATTCAGCTTAATTTATTTTTTTTCTTTGAGTACTTTAAAGGTAGTGCTCCACTGGTGCTTCATTTGCATGGTTTCCAGTAACAAATCTGCTATCATCCTTATTTTTTATGTATTTTTTTCTCTAGTTGCTTTTAATTTTCTCTTTATCACTAGCTTTATCACATCACAATTTCATTATGATGTGCTTTGGTGTAGTTTCATTCATGTTTCTTGTGCTTATGGTTTGTTGAGTTCTTGGATCTGTGGGGAATTACTTTTCATCAAAATTGGAAGATTTTTAGCCATTATTTTTCAAACACATTTTGTCTGTCCCTTCTCCCTTCACTTCCCCTGCCACCACCCCCACCCTGCCCCCAAAGGGATGCCAATTATATAGTTATTAGGCCACTTGAAGTTAACCCATTACTTACTGATGCTCTAAGTTTTTCATTTGTTTGTTTGGTTTCTTGTTTGTTTGCTTACTCTTCTCTCTGTGTGTTTCCTTTTGGATAGTTTCCAATGCTATGCCCTCAAGTCCACTAATATTTTCTTCTAATCTGCCATTAATCCCATCCAGTGTATTTTTTCATCTCAGATATTAAAGTTTTTATCTTTAGAAGTTTAAGTTGGGTCTTTCAAAATACCTTTCATGCCTCTCCTTAAATTTTGAACATATGAAAAACAGTTACAATAATTGTTTACCATCATCCTCTGCTAATTCTAACATCTGTGTAAATTCTGAAACAGTTTCAGTTGATTGTTCTCATTAAGGCTATTGTCTTTCTGCCTGTTTGTATGCCTGCCAATCTTTGATTGGCTACTAGACATTGTAAATTTTACCTTGTTGGGTCCTGGATATTTTTGTATTCCTATAAATTTCCTTAAGCTTTGTTCTGGGATGCACTTAAGTTATTTGGAAATATTGTGATCCCTTTGGGTCTTGTTTTTGTTTCGAGCAGAACCAGAGCACTATTTACTCTAGAGCTAATTATTCGCCACTACTGCAGAATGATCGTGCTGATGCTCTACTCAAATGTCCCATGAACTGTTCCCCATCTTGTGTGAGCATCAAATATTGTTCCCTTTTATGCTTTCGGTTCTTTCCAGGGCCAAAAGTAATTGGTACTTTTCTGAATACTTATGAGGGACCCCATGAAGATCTCCAGGTTTTCATCTTTCCTGTGGCACTTTGTCCTAACAATTCTAGCTGCTTTGGTCTCCCTAGACTCAGCTTTATCTCTTCAACTCAGGGAGTCTGCTGGGCTTCACTCAGGTTCCTCACCCTGTGCTGTGGCCTGGAAACTTTCAAGGCAATAAGGTGGGATAATCATAGGGCTCACCTTGTTTGTTTCTCATCTCTCTGGGATCACTGTCCTTCACTGTGTGATGTCTAGTACCTTGAAAACCATTCTTTTATATATTTTGTTCTGTATTTTTTTGTTGTTTCAGCTGGGAGGGTACATCTGGTCTCTATTATTCCATCTCTGCTAGAAGCTGAAATCAAATTTATTTTTTAGATATATGTGGTAAGAGTCCTGCATACCTTTCCAAAGTGCTACCAACACTTAGGAAATTTCCCAAAAAGTTTGAACACAGGAACCTGACGTTCCCAGCAGACTTCTCTGGACATAAGGTGCTGATTGACCTCTTAAGATTAAGGTTGCAACTAATTCATCCTTTTGCTTACAATGATCAGAGATGGAAGAAAGGTAGGCAAACATATGAATTCTTCTAGCCACCTTTTTTTGCTTTGCCATAATGCCACATAGAGTGGGAAAACTGTCTCTTAGGTTTTGAAGTTGTAAGCCAGCCCAGAAATATGAGGGAGCAGATGTATGACTGACCCTAAAACAATATATTAGCTCTTTCCCCTTAACTACAAGAGTTATCACTATTCATAAAGTTATTCTAGCCTTTTTAAAAAAACACATTTCAATGTCTTCCTTCACACAGATATTTTACAGGCTAACCAAATGTGGCTCAAAGAAATCCATTGATTTGAAAGTATAGCTCTCACTCTGACGTGAATTCACTACACTGAGTAATATAAAGGAGTGAGAAAAGTTAGACCCCAGCAGATGCTAGTCATTTTGGCTAAACCTAAATAATGTCTTCTGTATGTTTATTTATTTTGCAAAACTTAGTTCCCACTTAAATTGGGCATACAATACATCCATGATAAGTGAAATTCTTAAAGTGTTAACTCATTACCTGCTTTCATAACTCAGTATTTGTTCCAGGCTACCTTTCTCACTATACTTATCTGTGGATAATCTGTTACACCAAAACCAGCCTACCTTCCAAACACAACCTGTACTTTCCCCTCTACCTTTACAGGCTTATCTAATATCATTTGTTCCATGACATTTACTCTCATCATATCTTCCCAATCCCTTTTCTGATTCCTTACAGTGGCACATGAAATATCTTGTTTGGCAGTGATTCATGCATGTGTCTTATCCTTAGGTAGCCTGATAAACTGCATTTACATTGAATGTTCCTGTAACTGAGTAAATTAATTAAAGAATGAATGAAATAAAGGGTATTCACTCTCATCTTTATGCTAAGGGGGGAAAGGTCTTAAGTGAATGAATGGGTATATATGGAATTATATAAAATTAGGATGGAATGGTTAAAAATATTTTGTCCCCAAACCCTCTGTAAAGTAGAAGGAGAGAGACATTTTTCAGTAAGCAGAGGAGTAATGGAGAATCGAAATCAGTTTAAAAATTAAATTGGACAGATTAAAAACTATGCTAGGTAAACATTTTAAGGGAGAAAATGATTACAATAAAAAACAGTCTAGATATTTGGAAGTACCAAACAAAATCCTTTATAGCTGTCTCCAAGTTGAAGGGTGGTGTTAAATACTATTTGAAAGGAGTTACATGGTTATGTTTTTCTAATTAAAATAGAAATGTTTGTAGAATATTTGAAAGCTAGGCCTTACCCTAAACCTAGAAAAAATACCAGAATATAACCCTAATAGAGAGTTAGATAATTAAGAAGTCTGAAATCTGCCTTCAGTCTTTACTAGCTGGTGGATTAGGGGAAAGAAAAGATACCTGGATTTTTCCTTTTTTTTTAAATAGAGACATGGTCTCACTATGTTGCCCAGGCTTGTCTCAAACTCCTGGCCTCAGGCAACCCTCCCACCTCAGCCTCCCAAAGTGCTGAGGTTACTGTGTTCAGCCACATGAAACATTTTTATGATGTTTCTATCTGTAAAATCTCATACCAATAAAATTTCCATGTCATGTATAAATGCAATAGAAAGAAATTGAGTACAGAAAAGAGAGATGCAGACTTCTTGAGCTCCATTTAGTGGAGCTACGTGATCTGGAAGACTACAAGAGTTTTTCATACTCCAATTGTGGGGACAGGGGGCTTGGGGCAAGGCAAGGGATCTCTGGTAAGATCTGAAAGGGATGAAACTGAAGTTCCCTTTTAGGACAAAACCCCACAGTAAGAAGAAACTACAGGCAAGATAATTCAAATTGAGCAAGACAGGGGCATGAGAGACTGAAGATAAAACAAAGGGAGGGGAAGAGACCAAGAATCCTCGGAGAATGAGGCCATGTTCTTGAATGTTTCATGAAAACAACATAAAGCTAGCAGGACCACTGGAACTGTGAAGCTAAAAAAGTTACCCCAACCTATCTGTTCCTCCTAAAATTCAGAAAACTAGTTACACATGAAAATGACCAACAGAAAAGGACTGTTGTTGAATTCCATAAAAATTTATTATAAGAAAAAATGGTAAAGAGCAGAATAACCTTCTTGCAGTTAATGAAAGACATGCCTTTAAAATAGATAAGTTATATAGCCAAATATTTCAAAATGAGCCAATGAAAAAGTTTTTAAAAGATAAAAGATATAAAAGAACAGCATCAGAATTAGAAAAATCTACAAAATTATCATTTTTCTTGAATCCATCAGAGAGCTGAGGTTAGATAACAATGAAGAAAACTGAATTCCAAAAAGGAGCAAGCCCTTTCAGGAAGAAAGAAGACTCACAACTATCTTACCTTTAGCACAGCATAGGAGAAAGGGCCACTCTAAAAATCTATAAGAAATCAAGTACAAATGTGACAAAATGTTAATGACCAACTGAAGGCTAGTTCAGTATGGAATACCTAGGATGAGGGTGGGGACAGGCATAGATGAGTGAGTTTAGCACTCACAGGCATAGATGAGTGAGTTTAGCACTCACTTGCTACTCTTTTCTATGGGCCTCTACCAGGCCTACTGGAGGTGATCAGCTAATGTTAGGAAACAAGCATTAAGCACAGCCTGTTTCAGAGGACCTTCTCCCTTACAAAGCAAAAGCACTGGAGGAAGGGATAGCTAACCCTACTGCCCCATGGACACAGGCAAAAGACACTTTGTGGCGAGGAAAGAGGGTAGAAGGAAAAAACTCTACACCCCTAGGGCAGGGGCAGGAGCAGGAAAAGGTCATGGGTACAGGATCCTACACCAATACGCATCAGATATCTGCTACCACTAAGGGAGAAACAGAAAACTCTTGCCCAACACCAACAACTCAGAGTAGAGTTTGCTGCTATGGGGAGGAGGAGCAGGAACATGGAGAAAGTCCTTTTGGGAAAACTCTTGCTCAACACCAACAACTCAGAGTAGCGTTTGCTGCTATGGAGAGGAGGAGCAGGAACACGGAGAAAGCCCACTGCCAAGCCCTTTTGCCAGGGCCTGCCTAAGATGGATGCTAGACCTGGATCACCAAGAATACCCACTTCCTGCTCCTACCATGAACCTAACGCTGAGTGAGAAAAACCCACTGTATGATACCCAAGCCTCCACCCGAAACACAGGGCAGCAGCAGCCCACAATTAGAGGATGTGAAGTCTATGGTATACTGAGGTTACTCTTCTTGATTTATTGACTCAATCTCCTAACAAACAAAAAGCATGTCCCTATCTGGGCATAAATACTATTTACCTTACTCCCTACTGTTCTACACACAATGTTATAAAAAAGCAGCAACCAAACATCATGTCACTATCTATGGAAAAGTATAACATTAGCCAGGCACAGTGGCTCATACCTGTAATCCCAGCACTTTGGGAGGCCAAGGTGAGAGGATTGCTTGAGCCCAGGAGTTTCAGACCAGTCTGGACCACATAGCAAGACCTTGTTTCAACGAATCTTTTTATTAGGTAGCCAGGAATGGCGGCATGCACCTGAAGTCCAAGCTACTTGGGGGGCTAAGGTGGGGCGATCATTTGAGCCAGGTGTGGGGGCGGGGGCAAGGCTACAGTGAGCCGTGATTGGGCTACTGTACTCCAGCCTGGGCAACAGACCAAGATCTTGTCTCTAGATCCAACTATGAATTCCTAAGGTGTTACAGGCTGAATTGTGTCTCCCCTCACTCCCCACCCCAAATTCAGATGTTGAAGTCCTAGGAATGTGACTGTATTTGGAGCTAGGGTATTTAAAGAGGTAAACTTAAATGAGCTTATTGAAGTGGGCCCTAATACAACATGACTTATAAGAAGAAGAGATAGGGACACAGACAGGCCCAGGGATAAGACTACATGAAGACACCACAAGACGACAGCCATCTACAAGCCAAGAAGAGAGGCCTTCAGAAGGGCCAACATCTTGATTGTGGACTTCCAGCTTCCAGAATTGTGAAGAAATAAACTTCTGTTAATTCTTCCAGTCTATGATATTTGTTTTGGCAGCCCTAGAAAACTAATACAAAAGTTATATAGAGAATAGAGGAACACATTAAACTATAGCACAGGGATGCAATAAACCAAAAGTAGACTGTGGGAAACTCTCTATATTAAACAAAGAGATATCTTTTTCAAATAAATTGCAATGAGAATGAAGGCATTGGAAGGAAAAAGCTTATGCATTAAAATATACCTAAAAACCTTATTTTTAAAAACAATGGCAATGTAAATGTAATTGGATCCTGATTCAAACTATATATTTTTTAAAGTTACGATATTTAAGACAATTAGAAATTTGATCATGACTAGAAATTTCATAATATTAAGAAAGCATCATTAAAGGAAAAAGTACGAAATTTAAAGTCCCGGGCCCCTACAAAAGAGGATTCTAACAGGAGACACCTTACACAATAAACTAGGACCAAAAGAGGCTACAATCTTGAGGTAGCCTCAACGGGTAATCCATACATAGAACAGGCCTCATCCAGATTGACAGTCTGAGTTCCAATTCACCAGGAAATCCGTGGAATCTCAAGATTTAAAATTGGTTTTCTGGACTGATAGTAGCCACAGTTACCTGACACAGCAAATATAAAGCTTCACTAGCAGAAGGTACATTCATTATATACCTAAAATTATCTCTACAAATAATTTTCAAAAACACAGTATTGTGTCTGGAATTTATTCCTTTTGGTGGGTTCTTGGTCTTGCTGACTTCAAGAATGAAGCCAAGGACTCTCGTGTTGAGTGTTATAGTTCTTAAAGATGGTGTGTCCAGAATTTGTTCCTTCAGATGTTCAGATGTTCAGAATTTCTTCCTTCCGGTGGGGTCGTGGTCTCACTGACTTCAGGAATGAAGCCGCAGACCCTCGCAGTGAGTGTTACAGCTCTTAAAGGTGGTGCGTCCGGAGTTGTTTGTTCCTCCCAGTGGGTTCGTGGTTTCGCTGACTTCAGGAATGAAGCCACAGACCCTCGAGGTGAGTGTTACAGCTCATAAACGTAGTGTGGACCCAAAGAGTGAGCAGCAGCAAGATTTATTGTGAAGAGCAAAAGAACAAAGCTTCCACAGGGTGGAAGGGGACCCGAGTGGGTTGCCACTGCTGGCTTAGGTGGCCAGCTTTTATTCTCTTATTTGGCCCTGCCCATGTCCTGCTGATTGGTCCATTTTACAGAGTGCTGATTGGTCCATTTTACAGAGTGCTGATTGCTGTGTTTACAATCCTTTAGATGACACAGAGCGCTGATTGGTGCATTTTTACAGTGCTGATTGGTGCATTTACAATCCTTTAGCTAGATACAGAGTGCTGACTGGTGCGTTTACAATTCTTTAGCTAGACACAGAGCGCTGATTGGTGCGTTTACAATCCTTTAGCTAGGCAGAAAAGTTCTCCAAGTCCCCACTCAACCCAGGAAGTCCAGTTGGCTTCACCTCTCAGTATCAGCTCACAAAGATAAATAAAACACAAGGAAATTAAGACTCCATGAGTGAGAAACAGGAGACAACAGAAATAGAGCCTTAATGACTTAAATGTTCAAATGATCAAATGCAGAGAATGAAATGACTATGCGGAATATACCTGAAGAAATTTTAAAAAGAGCTTAGGGATGTAGTCACTGGACAAGAAAGTAACATTCAAATGACAAAAATACAATAACTAAAATTAAGGACTCAATGAATTTAACAGTGGACCGGGCATAGTTAAATAATTAATGAATCAGAAAACAGATCAGAAGAATTTACCTAAAATGCAGAACATAGAGAGAAAAAGAGAAAATACAGATGAAAGGGTAAGATATATAAAGCACATGGTGAGAGGGTCTGACATATATTCAGTCAGTGTCCCAGATGGAGAAGAGAAAGACAATGGTAAAGAGCCAGTATTTGAAGAGATAACAGCTGAGAATTTTCTAGAAATATTGAAAGAGACAAATCCAGAGATTCAAAGTACAATGGAAAGTAGAAGAAGAACAGGGAAGTAAAGAAAATAATTATATAGGCCAGGAGTTCGAGACCAGCCTGGCCAACATGGCAAAACCCCGTCTCTACTGAAAATACAGAAATTAGCCAGGCATGTTAGCACATGCCTGTAATCCCAGCTACTAATAAGGAAGCTGAGGCAGAAGAACCTAGGGGGCGGAGGTTGCAGTGAGCTGAGATCCTGCCACTGCACTCCAGCCTGGGCAACAGAGCAAGATTGTATCTTCAAAAAAAGAAAAATTTTACAAAAAAGAAAACAAAAGAAGTATACATATCATAGTGAGGATGCAGAAAACTGAGGCCAAAGTAGGCATAGAAAGCAGACTTGTTACCTTCAAAGAAATAGCTTTTAGATAGTCAATTGGTTATGCAACACAAACAATGGAAGCCAGAGGACAGTAGAATAATATCTTCAATATGCTCTAATAAAATAACTACCAACATAGAATCCTATACCCAGAAAAGGATAATTTTAGAATAAAGGCAAAATAAACACATTTTTAAATGAACAAAAACAGAGTTTGCCACTTGTAGACTGATTAAAGAATGTACTTCAATTAGAAGGAAAATGGTCCTAGACAGAAGATCTGATACAAAAAAGACATGAACATTTTAAAAATATTGAAACTGTACATAGGCAAATCTAAATGAATACATATAGTATGAAACAATAACTGTGTAACTTGAAAAAAACTATATAGAAATAAAATGCACAACATTAGCATTTAGATTAGGAGAGGGTAAATGAAGTTAAAAATCTTTTAAAGTTCTTGTTTTGTCCAGGAAGTGAGAATAATTATTATCATTAGCCTTTATATGTAAATAATGATGGTTTTAAGTCTTAGGCATTTATGAATTTGTATTTAATACTCAAAATTACAAGGCAAATGAGAGGCGAATATTCCATGAGTTCAATACATGGTCAATAAATTGAGAAGGCATTTTTGCCATAGAGGGGAAAACAACATTCAGAAAAAAGATGAATATATTTTAATTTTCAAAAATTCATTAGCAAAATAGAATATATCCATTAGCCAAACTTCAAACTCTATTGTCTTTAACAACAACAACAAAAATCCTTGAGTACTAATGTTTTTACTTGCTTAAGTCATATTTATTTAGGTATAATCAACATACAGAAAAAAATCATCCTTTTCAGGTACACAGTTCTATGAGTTTTGACAAATATGTGTGTGTGTAATCACACATATTTTACTGTGTAATCACCAGTAAATATAAAAATAAATACTAAATTGTTTCCATTACCACCATAATGTTCCCTCCTTTGTTGTTAATGCCCTTCCAATCCCCAGCCTAGGCAATGACTAATCTTAATCTGTGTTCTTTCCCCGTAGCTATGCCTTTTATAGGATATAATATAAACAGAATTATATAGTATGTAGCCTTTTGTGTCTGGCTTTTTTCACTAAGCATAAGACTTTGGAGATTCATCTATGTTGTTACATGTATCAGTACCTCCTTCTTATTGCAAAATAGTGTTCCATTGTATGGCTATGCTATGATTTAACTATCTGTTCATCAGATTATGAATATTTGGGTTATTTCCAGTTTGGGGCAATTTTTAATAAAGTTGTTATAAACATCCATGTATAGATCTTTGTATGAACATATATTTTCATTTCTCTTGAATAAATGCCTAGATGTGGGATCATATGGTAAATGGTAACACATAACCAGATAACACATAACTTTATAAGATTGCTACCTGTGGTGGACAGACTCTAAAATAGCCCCAAATTATCTTAGCCTCCTGGTATGTGTATCCTTGTGTAATACCTTTGTCTTGAGTCTGGGTGGAACCTGTAACTTGCTTCTAACCAATAAAATACATCAAAGGTGATGGGGTGTCACTCCCATGGCTGCATTACATAAGTTTGTAACTTCTCTCTTGCTAGTAGACTTTCTTCTCATCCTTCTTGGCTCTGATGAATTAAGCTGCCACATGGCACAGTCCAGTGGCAAGAAAATGAGGGCAACCAATAGGCAGCAATGAACTGAGGCTTTCAATGATAGAGGCAAGGAACTGAATCCTACCAACAACCACATGACCTTGAAAGAGGATCCTTCCCTGTTTGAGCTTCAGGTGAGACCCCAAGTGTGACTGACACCTTGATTGAGGCTTTGATAGAGTCCTTGAGGCAGGGGACTCAGTGAAGCTGCATCTAGATTCCTGACACATACAAACTGTGAGATAATAAATGTGTGTTGTTTTAAGCTGCTAAATATATATAACTTATTATGCAGCAATTGATAATACATTACCTAAATGTTTTCTAAAATGATGATACCATTTTACACTCCCACTAACAATGCATGAAAGTTCCAGTTGCTTTGAATACCACTAGAGTGATATTGTCAATTTTGTAAATTATAGTACTGCTAAAAGGTTTGTACTGGTATCTCATTGTGATTTGAATTTGTTTCTCTAATGTAGGAGTTCTTTGTATATTCTGAATGCTAGTGCTTTGCTAGTTATACATGTTGCAGATACTTCCTCTTACTCTGTGGCTTGCATTTTGTGTTCTTCGTAATGCCTTTTGATATGCTGACGAAGTTCCTAGTAAAGTCAAATTTATCAGCATTTCCTGCTCTCATAAATGATTTTTTTTTTTTTTTGAGACAAGAGTCTTACGCTGTCAACCAGGCTGGAATGCAATGGTATGATCTCCGCTCACTGCAGTCTCCAACTCCCAAGTTCAAACAATTCTGGCGCCTCAGCCTTCCAAGTAGCTGAGACTACAGTCATGTACCACTATGCCTGGCTAATATTTTGTATTTTTAGTAGAGACGAGGTTTTACCATGTTGGCCATGCTAGTCCCAAACTCCCAAGCTCAGGTGATCTGCCTGCCTTGGCCTCCTAAAGTGCTGGGATTACAGGCATGAGCCACCATGCCTGGCCTCATAAATGATTTTTTTTTTTTAAAGAAATCCCCCCTACCCCAAGGTCATGAAAATATTCCTCTATATTATCTTCTAAAAACTTTATTATTTTGCTAAAAGGGATTTTGGGTGTACAGTCTGCCTTAAAGTCATGCTACATAGAGGTCCAGTTTTATATTTTTTTCACACATGGATAAGGAGAAAAGATAGAAAATCTTTGTGACCTTAGGTTATCACAGATTCTTGGCTTAGTCACAGCAAGTAAATATCACAGAAGGAAAACTGACAAATTAGACTTGAAATTCAAAGCTTCTGCTCTTCCAAGTACATTGTTAATAACGGTACATTTAAGTCTTAAGCCCTTTTCTATATTTGTGTATTTTCTACAATAAAATGGATTTTAAAAAATAAAACATGCAGAACAGGTTACATAGTATGCTAACATTTATTTTATATGTATATATACTGTATCTATGTGGGAGTGTATGAGAGAGAGCATGCGTGTGCAAGCAAGCACACATATTGAATATAAGAGGGACTCACAAGTAACAACTGTCACTTTTGAGGAATTGGGAGCATCAGGGATGGGAGAGAGACTTAATTTGTATTGTATTCCCTTTTTACTGTTTGAACTTTATACCAAGTATATTACTTTTACAAAATGTGTTTTAAATGTTATTTCAAAAATAACAAAACAAGAATTACATGTTATGCCAGATGTGCCTAATATTACAGTGGGCCAAGAAAACTGGTCCATCTCAGGTTTATTTTAGTGAAGAAGACATTTAAATATAAATGTTGTTTCCTGACACCACAGCTTATTGCCTTGGGCTGTTTTGTAGCTGGTTACATCCCTGGTTTTAACTGGTTTGGTACAGTGATGCCATAGTAAAGTTTTATACACTAGTGATGAAAAGTTACTTGCGAACAACAAAACCCAACAGGTTATTTGACAAGGCTTAAAAGTATGCCATTGATCTACTTTGGGTTTCATCCTGATGTTTATTGGAGATAAAGGCATTTCTCTCCCAGAAACCTGGAGATTTACTCCTACTCATATCACTTAAATAAAATGGCAAAGCAAACCTACTAAAGCAAATGCCCAGAATCATGAGGTAGCCAGCCCAAACAGTCTTATGGCACTGTGGCTAATGCCTATAATCCCAGTGCTTTGGGAGCCCAAGGAGGGAGGATTGCTTGAGACAGGAGTTCAAGAGCAGCCTGGACAACACAGTAAGACCCTATCTCTACAGAAAATTTAAAAATTAGCTGGGCGTGGCGGTGTATGAAAGTAGTCCCAGCTACTCAGGAGGCTGAGATAGGAGGATGGCTTGAGGCCAGGAGTTTGAGGCTGCAGTGAGCTAGGAACATGCCACTGCACTCCAGGCTGAGTGATACAGCAAGACCCTGTCTTAAAACATAAACAACAACAACAAAAAAACCAGTCCTAAGCATTCTCTAAAAATTACTTGTTGTTTTGGATTGCTGTACGTGAATTACTGTGGGCTTTTTAAGTACTCACAAAAGCTTTTCTAGATGACAATACTCACAGGAGGAAAAATCGAGACAATCAGAATGAAGCTCCTATTTAGTAATGTGTTTAGTAATGTAGTAAAATTTTAGTAATGTATTAATGTTAGGAATATGAAAGAAAGAAAATTCTATGCAATAGTTAACAACTGATTCAGCTGAGAATACTTCACTTAATCCCCTTTCCTAAAGGCCCATTATGTATAGCTGTTGTTTCCACCACTAGGTCATCCCGTTCTATTCTCTTGCTTCATCCTCAGCTTGCTATCTCAAATCCTTTTTTGAATGAGGACTACATGTACACACTCCTCAGGCTTGCTCGCTTGCTTTCCTTTCTCTCTCCTTTCCTCCCTCTCTTGTGTATGGGAGGAATGGGGGTGGGTTAAGATCCCACTTCCAGTGACTGATTATAAATGCCCTTCCTTATAATACACTGAGGGAACCACAGGACATCTTTTCCTCTTCTATGAACTTCCGTAGTCAAAAGCTCAAGGAGGGTAGTCATGCTGCTCAAGCCTTTTTTTTCTTCATCTGCTGAAATGTTCTTTTGGTAAAACACACCATAACATAGTATGATAAAGATAAATGAAGGACATTTACTGAAGGAAATGAAATATTTTCGGAAACCTCACTTCTTATATTTCTTTTTCAAGAATGATCTAAGTCATAGTTTGGTGTTTTGTTTTTATTTAGTTTAAAGTTCCATTTGGTATAAAGACTGGCTATATTAACATACAAGAAATGGTGATTTCCTAGCAGGAATTTACACACTATTTCCTTCATTTTGATATCTAAATATAACCAGCACAACTAAACTCTATAAAGGTAAGCACTCAAGATCAGATTAATTTATTCAATTTTAGGTTTGGACTCAGCACTTTAAAGCCATGCTCTTTATTAAATGCCATGAAAGAGTGAATCTACAGACAGGCGAGATTCAAAGGCCAAGGGTATTTTTGTAAGTAACGACCTTGTTCCTGTCTTCTCTACCATAACTTTGAGAAATTATGAACAGTGTGAATCTAGAATACGATTTCTGATTGCCTAAGAAGAACAGAATGTTAATCTTGGCATTAATATGAGATATTTCAATCTGAAAAGCAGCAAGTCTTTCAGGATTCTAGAAAGACAGCCAAAGAAAAGGATGTCAACAGGAACACCAAACCCAGTAAAGACATATAGTCTGAGACATCTAGGACATCCACTTTGTATTAATGTGATAGTTCTTATAATGAGAGAAAATATTAAAAAAAAAAAAAAACCCAGGCCATCAGATGTTCTAAGAATGAAATATCGTATCTAATTATGTGACAGTTTTGCTACCAATATCTACCTAACAGTTCCCTTTCTTCAGATAAAAACCTCAAATTCTGCGCACGCGTGCACGCATGTGTGTGTGTGTGTGTGTGTGTGTGTGTGTGTGTGTTTAGAGACAAGGTCTCACTCTGTCACCCAGGTTGGAGTGCAGTGGTGCAATCACAGCTCACTGCAACCTCGATCTCCTAGGCTCAAGCAACCCTCCCGCTTCAGCCTTCTGAGTAGCTAGAACTACACGCACCACCGCCATACCCGACTTGCTTGCTTATTTATTTATTTACTTATTTAGCAGACAGTGTCTTGCTATGTTGCCCAGGCCAGTCTCAGACTCCTGGCCTCAAGCAAATGCCTAGAAATGACTGACTTGGACTGTTGCTGCCTTTTATTTACCTTTTGTTTGCTTGAAGCACTTCAGGACTTTTCTAGGATCTATCAATTGCTCAGCACCTTATAGGCTGTGCGGGATGAGGACTGGAGAAGTGGAGGACATCCTTATGAGATATATTTGTTTTCAGAGAAGGCTGTGTCTCTGTTTATCATTGCAGGCAAAGAAGATTTGAATCTGAGACACTGTAAAACTTGAAGCAGAGTTTACAATCTGTGCTTGAGGATCCCAAAGACACCATTCAACACATCTCACTATCCTCTAACAAGGACTGCCCTGTGACACATCTGAAAGAGAAGCAACAATTTTATTCAGACTCTTCATGGACTGGCCCTCTATTTGGGCAACTACATAATATGTAGATCTTTGATATCATATCTGAGAACAAAATTTTGTCAGCTGTGCAGGAACCAAATTATCCTGGGATATAGTAAAATAAACCACAAACTACCTTTTCCTATTTATCAAGCAGAGCAAAATGATATCGCTTCCTTTAAATCTGGGTTGTTTCCCTTTTTTCTTACCTAACCAGCCCTTCAACCTGGGGCTGGAACTGATTGGGACTTTAAAATGCTTTGTTACCATTCATTCTTTTCTCTAATAAGCACAATGGTTTACTCCCTTTTGAGGCAGGGGCCCCGTGTAATGAGTCAATGCTTCTGCTAACTCCAAGAACCCTTAATTATTTCCACCATTTTCTCCATATGTTTCCTTCACCGACTGTGCGAATCAGAGGCAGGCTGCTGGTTGTCAGAGACTGGAAAAGTCACTGGCCTTCCTTGTTGGCAGGGAACTGAATTCTGCAGGGTCTGCATTCATGGACAGAGTATCCTGTCTCAGAGTTTATGCAGCACCTTCTGTTTTTAGTTTACTGGTGAACGCGGCACATCACAAGAACTTGGAGTGCAGCTAAAGCCAAATCAGACTTGACAGAAAATTATTAGCAGGGTACTGAAGGAAAAAAGATCCCCCTTCCTTTCTGTAATCAGGTTAATATGTGCATGGAATGTTTCACTTAGAAAGGTAGTGTGTTTTGGCAAAGCTGGTTTCTTAAGTAAAATTTCAGTTCCCATTATGCGAGGCTATCCACTGCTGCTCTGGCAGAGCCTTTGATCAGTGAACTCAGTGGGGGAGAAGGGCATAGGCATATTAATAACTTCAACATGTGGCCCTTCGGCCCAGCTGCACCCTGTCTTGGAAGAAGGCCAACTGGAAAGGGTTTTCTTAACACGACCTGTATATGCATATTTTGGAAAGGGGAAAGGGAAGGTAGGGGTTCAAAGGAGGAAATAAAATCTGGTTTTATGGTGGTTCTTTCTCTTGTCCCTGTTACCTATTTGGGCCATTCTACTAGTACATATGTGGATCCTGTGGAATCTGGCTCCATTTTCAACTTTTAGTATCTTTGTTCCCCCTCCTATAATATTATAAAGATTAAACCTAGGGGTTTAATTTACACACCAGCTCAGGACAAGGTTAGGGGGAGGCATGAGGCACCATAAGAATCTACAGGGATGAGAGATTAATGGAAACCAGGTGTCCGAAATAGGAGCCCAGGGTCCATTTTGCCAGGATTGTATCTTTTGCCCTTTCCCCCCTGCCCTGGTATTTTTTTACTGTTTAATTTTAACAATCACAGAGTTTAGGCCTCATTACATTACTGCTGCAAAGTAGAGGCTAGCCTGCTCTTTTACTGTGTGTTTCCTTGTATTACTTCATATCATTCTCCTTTCATTTTCTACTTCTGAGAGGTTCATTTTCCATGTATCCCTGTCTGATCTTGAAAAGGTTCCTGAGTGACTCTTCATCATGGTCATGGAGCAGGCTTCAGTTCTCATCACAAGTGGCTTTGCAATGATGACCTCAGCTGACATTCATCTCACATTCTCTCACCCTCCTCCTCTTCTTTCTTCAATTTTATAATATTCTTATCATTTTCTTGATCCAAACCTCCCATGCTTTCAATTCCCTAGCTGCCTGATACCAACTTGTCACAAGGAATTAGCAGGGAATGATCCCAGAGGTGGGATGTAACACCTAAGGGCACTGTATAAGTTAGGGTACAGATTTGACTTCTGTAACAAAGGCCAAAATATTAATGGCTTAAGCAAGACAGTGGTTGATTTTTGTCTCATATAACAGTCTGAGCATTAGCAGCATGGGGCTGAAAAGATGACACCATCAATTCTGGTAGTGGAACTCCTCTATCCTTTTGCTTTCTGATTTTCAACACACAGCTTACATTTTGTAGTCTCGGATTGCTTCTCCAGTTCCCATGCCCACATTCCCATGTAGGGAGAAAAGTGAGGGGAGGGCACACTCCTTCCATTTTGAAGGTGTTAAGTTTTACTTATTACTTCTCATATCCCATTATCCAGAACCTAACCACTTGGGCACACTTAGCTACCAGGCAGAATGGGACATAAATTCTTTACCTGCTGGCTTTCTTTGGCACAGAAACCTACTTAACATTTTGTCTCAGACAACTATGGCAGTTGTGAAATTGTGAGATAGTTATAAAACTGAACTATCACAGTTATGTTATCTTCTTGGAAAAGGTGAGAATTAGAAGAACAAGTAACAGTGTAATGGCAATGTTTTCCTTTTGTTTTTGAACTACTCTTCTTTGATCATCTCAATTCATTTATTCCTTCAACAAACTAAGCTCTGGACCTATAAAAGCTCCCCCAACATAGACTCTACCTTTATGTATCTTCCCGCAGGCATGTGAAGGAGTCAAACAAAAACACAGGTGAGCATGCTGGGGATCGTGAGTTCAGTGGGACTCTAGTAAAGAGTTTCTACAAAGAGTGAAAGGAAAGAAGCTAGGCAAGAATGAGATTAAGATCAGGATAAGGAGATTCAAATTTATCCTATAAAAGGCAATAGCAAGATATCAAAGATAAATTAGCAGGAAATACAGGAATTAATTTCTTTTTTAAGTACAGAATTCCTCTATAAAAGAGATGCTTGATCAATGTGACTAAATGAAAAGTTTTTTAAAATTTGTTGGCACAAACATCATGAAAAAAATCAAAAGATGAATGACAAAATGTGAAAAATATTATCTACACATATGAAAGACAAGGAGCTAATATCCTCATATAATACAAAAGCAAATAATCTGAAGACCAGTAATCCAAGAGAAAAGTACCCAAAAGATAAGAACAGACCCTTCACAGAAAAAAATGATTTACTATTGACTTTCAAATAAAGGAAATAAGCTCAACCTTACATTAAAAAAATTAAACAATTGATACACCACATCCAAAGTCTGCTCATACACCATATTGGTAAGTATTGTAGGGAAGAGGCACTCAGGGCAAAAAGGGTTACTCAAAAGGAATGCTTTTTAATAATAATCGTTTTAAAGGTATACCCCACTATGGTAAATAGCCCCTAAAATAGCCCCCAATCCCTGCTTCCTGGTATTCATGTCTTTGTATAATCCCTTCTCCTTAAGTGTGGGCTAGACTTACTGACTCTCTTGTAACCAAACGAACACAGCAAAACAACTGAGATGTCATTTCTGAGATTAAGTTACTGAAGAATTCTGGCTTCCATCTTGCTCACTCTCTTTCTTTCTTCCTTACTTACTCTGAGGAAGACCAACTGCCCCACTGTGAGATGCTCTGTGGAGAGGCCCAAGTGGAAAAAAGTGATGTCTCTGGGCAACAGCCAATGAGGACGTGAGGCCTGCCAACAGTCACATGAGTAAGCTTGGTAGTGGATTCTCTCTTAGTTGAGCCCTGAGGTAACTGCAGCCCCAAATGACATTTTGATTACAGCCTTATAAAAGACTCTGAGTCTGAGAGTCCAGCTCAGCCATGCCCAATCCCTGGTCCACAGAAACTGTGAGATAATAAGGGCTTTTTGTTTGAAGCCACTAAGCTTTGGGACAGTCTGTTGCACAGCAAGAGATAACTAATACAGACTTTGGTACTTGGAAGTGGGGTGCTACCTTGGCTTTGGAACCAAACATGGGCAGAGGCTGGAAGGATTTTGAGGATTCTGTTAAAGAAAGCTTAAGTTGCCTTGAAAGACTATTAATAGAAATCTGGACTTTGAGGATGCCACCAGTAAGGGCAAAAAAGGAAGTTAGGAACATGTTATTAGAAGGTGGTGAAAGAGAGATCCTTTTTATGTCATGGTAGAAAGCTTAACAACACTATTGCCTTCAGTAACATGGAAAGCAGGATATGCATTGAATGAACTGGGTGATCTAGCTTAGATTTCCGAACAAAGTGTTGAAGTTACTGTCTAAGTTGTTATGTTGTTTATTGTAAAATGTGGGATAAATTAAAGGAATAATGGTAAAATGAAAAGAAATCAGAACTGGAGAGGAGAATTCCAGGAAGATGGTGGAGTGGAAAGTAGCAGAAATTAGTCTCCCTACCTAGATAACATTGTTCTGCAGAAACTAGCTGATGTAACTATTCTGGAACTCTGGAGTCTATTCAAAGACTTGCAACTTCCAGATAAAGGCTTGGACAGTTAATTAATTTTGTTCAATTTCTGTTCTTAATCTGCTAGCTTGCCCACCCACTAGCCCCAGCACAGGCAGTTACACATGTGTTCCAGCAGCAGCTTATACACCACTTGCAGAGACATGGGCAATAAGGGCTCTGTCCTCCAGATATAGAAGATCTGTGCTCTGATGACTGACTGCTACTTCTGAAAGCAGAGGTGGAGACACACAAAAGAGAAGCCATTGTTGCTACTCTCACCACCATTGCTGTAAGCCCCTTCCCCTGTGGCTGAAGCAGTTTCTAGAAGATTTAAAAAGCCAACACATTTCCCCTCTTCGGTTTTCTCTTTTTCCCCTTTTGGGAGCCAGATATTTAAGGACTAGGACATTCAAAAGCAACTATATATAAAAGATAATTTAGAAAGTAATTACACATATTTAGAGAAAGGTGCCAGCTGAGAAAAGGCATAAGAAACCTTAAATTTACTGATCCCAGGCACAGAGACAGCCTATACCAATTTAAAAAAGAAAGAAAAGCAAACTCTGAGAAAGAAGGAGAATCTGATTTCCAGACTTTCCACATTATAAGATTCAAATCTCCAGTTTTCAACAACAGCAACAAAAAAATCACGAGGCATAAAAAGAAACAAAACAGTATGGCCCATTCAAAGGGAAAAACTAAATCAACAGAAAATGTCCCTAAGGAAGACCAGATGGTGGACTTATCAAAGACTTTAAAACAACGGTCTTAAAGATGCTCAAAAAACTAAACAAAAACATGGAGAAAAATGTTTTAAATGTATATGAACAAAGTGGAAATATCAATAAAGAGATATAAAACATTTTTTTAAAACCTCAAAAGTGTTTCAAGGCTAAAAAGTGCAGTATCTGAATTGAAAATTTCAGTATAGGGATTCAAAGGCAGATTTGAGAAGGCAGAGAAAGAATAAGAAAACTTGAAGATAGGACAATTGAAGTTATTAAGTCTGAGAAACACAAAAGACAGAAAAAAAAGTGAATACAGCCTAAGGGACCTGTGGGACACCATTAAGCTGACCAACATGTACGTAATGAAAATCTCAGAAAGAAAAGAGAGAAAGAAAAGGCAGCCAAACATTTCTGAAATTTCATGAAAGACATGAATATAGAAATCCAAGAATCTAAACTGATGCTAATAGGATGAAATCAGAAGCCAGTATCAAGACATACTATAATTAAACTGTCAAAAGACAAAGAATCTTCAGGCCAGGTGCTGTGGTTCACGCCTGTAATCCCAGCACTTTGGGAGGCCAAGGCAGGTGGATCACCTGAGGTCAGGAGTTTGAGACCAGCCTGGCCAACATGGCGAAACCCCGTCTCTACTAAAAATACAAAAATTAGCCGGGTGTTGTGGCTCACTCCTGTAATACCAGCTACGTGGGAGGCGGAGGTTGCAGTGAGCCGAGATTGCACCACTGCACTCCAGCTTGGTTGATAGAGTAAGACTCTGTCTCAAAAAAGACAGAAATAAAAAAGAATCTTCAAAGCAGCAAGACAGAGCAACTCATTACATACAAGTGTTCCTCGATAAGGGTATCAGTAGATTTCTCATCAGAAACTTTGGAGGTAGAAAGCAGTAGGATGATACATTTCAAGTATTGAAAAAAAGAAACTATCAACTAGAATCCTACATCCAGCAAAAATGTCCTTCAAATATGAGGTAGAAAGTAACACATCTCCAGATAAACAAAAGCTGAGGAAGGTCATTACCACTAGAACTGCCGTTCAAGAAATGGTAAAGAGATTTCTTCAGGTTGAAATGAAAAGACACTAGAAGTTAACATGAAACCATATGAGGAAATAAAGGTCTTAGTTAAGGCAAATATAGGCAATTATAAAAACCAGTATTATTGTAACTTTGGTTTGAAACTTCATTTTTTGTTTTCTACATGATACGAGACAAATACAGATATAACCATTGTGACATCAATAACTGAAAGTAGTTATTGAGGGGGACAAAGCTGTACATGAGTAGAATTTTTGTAGTTATTAAAGTTAAGCTAGTATAAATTCAAATTAGAGTGTTATAACATTAGGATGTTAAATGTTATACCCATGATAACAACAAAGAAAATAGCTATAGAAGATACATGAAGGTAAATAAAAAAGGAATTAAAACATCTCATGACCAAAAATAAAAAAAAAATACTAATGCAGGAAATGAGGAACAAAACAGCTATCAGGCATATAGAAAAAATAGCAAAATAACAGAAGGGAGTCCTGCTGTATAGGTAATTATTTTAAACGTAAATGGATTAAATTCTCCAATCAAAAGACAGAGGCTGGCATAATGAATTTTTAAAAAAGTAATCCAACTACAGGTGATCTATAAGAGATTCGCTTTAGATACAAAGACAGAAAGAGGTTCAAAGTAGAGGGATGAAGAAAGATATTCTATGTAAACAGTACCCAAAGGGAGCAGGGGAGCTATAGTAATAAAAGGCAAGATAGATTTTACATTTGAAAAGATTACAGAGAACATAGAATGACATTATGTATTAATAAAAAATTTAATGCAGCAGAAGATATAATAATTATAAATATTTACACACCAGCAATAGAGCATCAAAACATAGGAAGCAAAAATTGCAAAAAGATTAACAGAATTGACAACTTTTAGCTAGATTGACTAAGGAAACCAGATGTCTCAAATAAATCAGAAATGAAAGAGGGGACATTACTACCAATAAAAAGGATTATAAGAGCCAGCAGAGTGACACATGCCTACAGTTCCAGCTACTCAGGAGTCTGAGGTGAGAGGATTTCAAGGAGTTCAGGTCCAGCCTGGGCAATATAGTGAGATCCCACTTCTCAAAAAAAAAAAAAAAAAAAAACAAAAGGAACAAAAGAAAAGGAAAAAGGATTATAAGCGAAGACTATGAACAACTGTATGCCAACAAATCAGATAACCTAGATGAAAGACTTGTGCAATGAAAACTACAAAACATTGCTGAGGAAAATTTATAAAGACATAAATATATGCGAAGATTCCATGTCTGTGAGTTGGAGGGCTTAATATTGTTAAAATTGTCAACAGTACCCAAAATGATACAAAGATTCGATGTAATCCCTATTAAAATCTCAGTAGCATTTTCTGCAGAAACAGAAAAATCATCCTCAAATTCACACAGAATCTTGAGCCAAAACAGCCTAGAAAAAGAAGAGCAAAGGTGGAGTACTCACATTTCTTCATTTCAAAACTTACTACAAAGCTACAGGAAACAAAATAGTGTGGAGCAGGCTATTCTATTCCAAATGATTTCTTAGCTATGACACCAAATGCACAGGCAACAACAACAAAAAATTGGGCCACGCGTGGTGTCTCATGCCTGTAATCCCAGCACTTTGGGAGGCTGAGGAGGCTGAATCACTTGAGGTCAGGAGTTCGAGACCAGCCTGGCCAACACGGTGAAAACCCATCCCTAATAAAAATACAAAAATTAGCCGGATGTGGTGGCATGCACCTGTAATCCCAGATACACGGGAGGCTGAGGCTCGAGAATTGCTTGAACCCAGGAGGCAGAGGTTACAGTGAACCGAGATTGTGCCACTGCACTCCAGCCTGGGTGACAGAGCGAGGAAAAAAAAAAAAGAAAGAAAAGAAAAAATAGACAAGTTGGGCATCATGAAAATTTAAAATTTTTGTGCCTCAAAGCACAGTACCAACAGAGTAAAAAAGCCACCTCCAGTATGGGAGAAAATATTTGCAAATCACATATTTAGCAAGGGGTTAATACACAGAATATAGAGAGAACTTCTAAAACCCAACAACACACACAAAAATAAACTGATTAGAAAATAGGCAAAGGACTTGGATAGACAGTTCTCCAAAAGATATACAAATGGCCAATAAGCATATGAAAAGATGTTCAACCCCATTAGTCATCAGAGAAATACAAATAAAAACCAAATGAGATACCACCTTCACACACATTAGGATGGCTACTATAGAAAACAAACAACAAAATGGAAATAGACAAATGTCGGCAAGGATGTGGAGAAACTGGAAGCTGTGTACTGTTGGTGGAAATGTAACATGTTGCAGCTGCTGTGGAAAACAGTATGGTGGTTCCTCAGAAATTAAAACCAGAATTACCATATGAACCAGTGATTCTACTTGAGGGTATATACCCCAAAGAATTGAAAGCAGAGTCCTGAAGAGACATTTGTACACCCATGTTCATAGCAGCATTATTCACAATAGCCAAATGGTAGAAGCAACTTCAGTATCCATTGATAGGTGAATAATGTGGGGTGTGTATATACACACACATATACATATATGTATACATATATATATATATATAGAGAGAGAGAGAGAGAGACATACACATACATACATACATACACAATGGAATATTATTCAGCCTTAAAAAAGATGGAAATTCTGACATGTTACTACTTGGATGAACTTTGAGGACATTATGCTAAGTGAAGTAAACCAGTAACTAAAAGACAAATACTGTATGATTCAACTGATATCAGGTACCTAGAGTAGTCAAATGCATAGAGACAAAAAGTAGAATGGTGGTAGTCAAGAGCTGGAGGAAGGAATGGGGAGTTGCTATTTAATGGGTACAGAGTTTCAGTTTTTAGGATGAAAAGTATTGTGAAGATGGATGGTGATGATGTTTGCATAACAATATGAGTGTACTTAATACCAGTAAACAGTACACTTAACAATGGTTAAGATGGTAAATATTATGTGTATCTTACCACAATTTTTAAAATTTTTTAAGAAATCAGGACTTGATGTTTTTGAAAATTCTAAACTCTCCAGATTTAGAAGATGCTAACATTAAGAAATAGCTCCCGGCCGAGCATGGTGGCTCATGCCTGTAATCCCAGCACTTTGGGAGGCCAAGGTGGGTGGATCACCTGAGGTCAGGAGTTCAGGACCAGCCTGGCCAATACGGTAAAACCCCGTCTCCACTAAAAATAGAAAAATTAGCTGGGCGTGGCGGCATGTCCCTGTAATCCCAGCTACTTGGGAGGCTGAGGCAGGAGAATTGCTTGAACCCGGGAGGCAGAGGCTGCAGTGAGCCAACAATGCACCACCACACTAAAGCCTGGGCAACAATGACACTCCATCTCAAAAAAAAAATAGAAATAGCTCCCAAGAAAAGTTCATACTGTGGGCACCACCAGGAGAACCCTGGTCTAAAGATGACACTAAGAATGTGACTGTAAAAACTTCTGTTATATTAAGAAAGGTAAAAAGTGGTACCATCAGAGTACTATTCAGTCACACAAAGGGCCTTTGAAAAAGATTAAGGGTATGCTTCATAGATCCTCTCAAACAGTAAGGCCTTCAGAAAACTTATGTGCCTTGACCCTCAAACTTTTAAGCAGGAACCGAAGGTAAAGAAAGACTTATCGAGAAAAGATTTCTGGTTTGACTTTTGTGTAATGGAGTAAACCCTAATAAGAGTCACAGGAAGCCCACAAGGTTTTTGCAAGAATTTTATCAGGAAGAACTCAGCCAGCTTGAACTGAAAAGCACAGAATGAAAAGTACAGCATGAAATGAAAAAAGACTATTAGACTGCCAATATGAATGACAAGTAAAGAAGGTCGAGGCGATTTCTCAACTGTAGCATGTGCTACCTTTCTTGCAAAAGGAAAGGTAACTCTGAGAGTGAAACCTGAGCCCAAGGAGCAGAGCTGAAGGCCATGAAGAATAATTCCTAGGTCTTGAGACCTAATCAAAAAGCTTCTAACACTGGAAGGCCAGGAGTGGTGGTTCATGCCTGTAATCTCAGCACTTTGGGAGGCTGAGGTGGGTGGATTGCTTGAGCTCAGGAGTTCAAGACCAGCCTGGGCAACATAGCAGAACCCTGTCTTTACAAAAAATATAAAAATTAGCCAGGCATTGTGGCATGTGCCTGTAGTTCAGGCTACTCGGGAGGCTGAAGTAGGATGATCGCTTGAGCCCAGCGGGTCAAGGCTACAGTGAGCCATGATTGTACCACTGCACTTCACCTGGGCAACAAAGTAAGAACCTGTCTCAAAAAACAAACAATTTCTCACATTGGAGTAACTGGCTTTCAGAATTGCACTGGACCTTTATGCCTCCCATTTCCTCTATTCTAAAACAAAAATGTCTAAAATGGTTATCCTTTGTCTGTCTCACTACTGTATGTTGGGCTTGGTTGGGGAGGACTTTTACAGATTGAGCAGAGCTGCAGAGGAACTACACCTGAGGCGCCTCATCTACACCTGGACATTATTTAGGTGATGAGATTCTGAACTTTAAGCTGATCATAATTGGATTAGACTTTGGGGGACTGGGAAGGAGGATGAGAGTATTGCATGGATGAGGAACATGATCACTGGGGACAGAAGGAAGACTAGAGTAGACAGCCTCTAAAATAGTCCCCGGAATTCCACAGTTTCTCGTATTTATGCCCTAGGCAATCCTCTCCCCTTGATTATGCACTGTACCTACTGACTCTTCTAACCAAAATAATATGGCAAAAATGATGAGATGTCAGTTCCATGTTAAGTTATAAAAAGACTGGTTTCCATCTTGCTTAAATTCTCTCTTGCTTTTTCCCTCACTCCCTCTAAGGAATACCAACTGTCACACTGTAGGCTGCCTGGCAGAGAGGCCTACATGTCCCTGGGCAGGAACTCACGTCTCTGTTGAACAGTCGGTAAGGATCTGAGGCCTGCCAAGAGCCAGGAGAGTAAGCTTGTAAGCAGATCCTCCCCTAGTTGAACCTTAGGATGACTGCAATCCTGGCTGATACCTTAATTGCAGCCTTGTGAGAGAGACTGACCCAGAGGACACAACTAAGCTGAGCCTAGATTCCTGATCCAAAGAAACTGAAATAATAAATGTTTGTTGTTTGATGTTGCTAAGTTTGGGGGTAATTTGTTATACAGAAATAGAATTAATACAACCACAATGAAGGTTTAGCAATCCAATGATGGCAAAAAGTGTTCTTGATAAAAATGTCTTTAAATTTTTTAAGTAATTTTAAGTTTTAAGAAAGTTAAATTTTTTAAACAATTTGTAATATTCATTTTAAATATGTATCTAATATACATATTATATTCATATTACACATACATATATTTTAAGAACTTTGGGACATTTACAAAAGTTAACTCTATATTAGCCCTTAAAAAAACAATACATTCCACAAAGTATCATAAAACTAGTACAGATAAAATTATCTGATCAAATGGGGAAAAACACCCTAGAAATATTTTTACAACTTTCTTAACAAAGGACAAAAGGAAATCAAGTCCAAAATTACACAATTTCTTTAAAAAAAAAGATAGCAGAAAAAGATTTATCAGAAGTTATAGATAACCAGAGGATAATATGTAACATTAGTTAAATATTTATGTTCATTTATGTTATTCACATAGGAATAAAAGTTTAAGTTTCCAATTCAAGAAATTGGAGGGCACCAACAAACCATTTAGCTAATAAGTAGTTTAAACAAGAAAAAAGAAACATAAATAAACAAAAAAAAATTAGAATGTGGAGAGAACAGATTCAGATAAAATATAAAACAAATTATAACTGATTGCTTTTCTCAACTCTACATATTTATTTATTTTAAGACAGAGTCTCTGTCACGTAGACTGGGGTGCAACAGCATGATCATAGCTCACTGCAGCCTTGAACTCCTGGGCTCAAGTGATCCTCTTGCCTCAGCCTCCCAAGTAGCTGAAACTACACATGTGTACCATCACGCCCAGCTAATTTTTAAATTGTTTTGTAGAGACAGAGTCTTGCTATGTTGCCCAAACTCGTCTTCAGCTCCTGGCCTCTGGAGATTATCCTATCTTGGCCTTTCAGAGCACTGAGATTTCAGGCATAAGCCATAGCTCCTGGCCCCTGAAACCATTATTAAAATGGATGTATTTTTAGGAAAATATAAATAATAAAAATCTAGCTCCAGAGAAGACAGCAAATCTAAATGGACAAATTATGATACAAAAAAAATTTTGATCGTCAGAAAGCTACACCTCAAAATGCACCAGGCCAATAAATTTTTAGTAGTTCACTTTCACTACTATTACTTAGCACTGTCATGGAAGGAATAGCAAATGCGATTAGGGAAGAGAAAGAAAAATGGGGTCTTAAATTGGAAAGGAAGAGGCAATACTTTCATTATTTGTAGGAGACACATGCCTATTAAGCCTCCTTATGTTCTGGAGGCCACACATTCCACAACTAGGTATACTGAGCTCACCTACGTACGTATCAGGCAATATAAGAGGCTGCCAGCTTTGAGTGGGGCTGGGAACAAGAGCTCTTTAGAAGGTACAGGCTGTGATGCAAGTCGCCCAGCCACTTGAGTCATACAATCCAGCAGACCCTATGGTATTATATGTATCAGTTTTGATAAAAAGGGCAGTGTGTTTATAGTAAACTCTAGAGGAAGAATCACAGTGCAGAACCTGGGGTCTGTGACATCTATAGCATAAAATTATATGACTTTTAAAAAACAGCTTCTGGGCCAGGTGGTGGCTCACGCCTGTAATCCGAGCACTTTGGGAGGACTATGTGGGTGGATCACCTGAGGTCAGGAGTTCAAGAGCAGCTTGGTCAACATGGTGAAACCCTGTCTCTACTAAAAATACAAAATTAGCTGGGCATGGTGGTGTATGCCTGTAATCCAAGCTACTGGGCAGGCTGAGGCAGGAGAATCGCTTGAACCCCAGAGGCAGAGGTTGCAGTGAGCCAAGATTGTGCCACTGTACTCCAGCCTGGACAACAAGAGCAAAACTTCATCTCAAAAACAAAACAAAACAAAAACAGCTTCTGATATGATACTGGGACCTGACAGAGATGGAAATTTGACCATGTGACACTTAGTGACCGTATGTCCAGAACTGCTGAACTCAGTAAGTCATAAAGTTAAGATGGCTTGCCAATAATCTATTATAAAATAGAAATACTACATACAGGATAATCACGAGCAGGACCACGGGGCACATGTAAGCTGCATGAGCGGACCCCCCCATCATCCACCACAGTTCACCCAGAATTCTTCCCT
Source organism: Homo sapiens (assembly GCF_000001405.40). Taxonomy (NCBI): domain Eukaryota; kingdom Metazoa; phylum Chordata; class Mammalia; order Primates; family Hominidae; genus Homo; species Homo sapiens. The sequence goes on along the minus strand of NC_000016.10, from coordinate 72,751,726 downwards.
AAGTCACACCTATGGCCTACATACCATAACCTATGTACACACATTTATATATACACACATATGTACAACCATGTGAAGGAGGTAGACAAAGCCTGGGTTTTGAGGTAATGAATAGGTTACTCAAGCCAAAAATGAATGGCAGCTGCATTACAACTTCATTGACGGGTGGCCTTGAAAGACAGTGGAGAGGGAAAATCTTTCTGATGGTCCCAGTTCAGGCAATGGTCATCCACCTTGTGTGGAAGGAGTGGGCTTGTGACGAGAGTATGTATGGATTCATGGGCAGTGACAAATGGCTTGGCCTACTAGTCAGAAACACGGAGGACTGAAAGATACAGAGACAAGGACTTCTGGGGTACCAGCATGTAGATAGGCCTATGAGAATTGACATGAATGAAGTACAAAGATTGTTGTATCACACACTAATGCTCATTACAAAGGTACAAGGGTCTTGGCATGTTGCCCAGGCTGGTCTTAAACTCCTGGCCTGAAGCAATTCTCTTACCTTGGCCTCTCAAAGCACTGACATTACAGGCCTGAGCCACAACACCTGGCCCCTGAAAACGTCATTAAAATGAAATTATTATCATGGAAGGAGCATTAAACAATCAAGTAAACAAAATGACTTGGTGAGTTAATATTAGCCAGTTTTTGTCACTGGCCACCCCAGCACAATGGCCCATGAATGAAGTGACCAGAGAGGCAGAAATGGAGGCTATACATGGACTCAGTGGCATGGGCTTTCACTCACCAAGGTTGATATAGCTACGGTTGTCTCTGAGTGTCCCACTTGCCAGCAACACATATCAGTGCTGAGCCTCCAATGTGACAACCAGCCATTAGATGGAAAGTTGATTATGTTGGGCTCCTTTTATCCTCGAAGGGTCCACGGTGTTTTGTTTTGTTTTGGTTTTTTTCCTCACAGCAATTGGTATCCATTCCAGATGTAGGTTTGCCTTTCCTTTCCTCAGGGCCTCAGCCAGCACCACTAACCAGGGATTTAAGGAATACCTGATCGACAGGCATGGAATTTTGGCCTGTTGTGTATTGTTTTTCCTCCTCTCTCTTCCTCGGTATTCAACCCAGACCTTGGCCAGGTAGTCTTGTGTTTATATCTACGCAAGTCATGATCACTCCAATCCAGATGAGGTCTGATAAAGGTATATTAAGATTCTTGTCCCAGGGTGACAATGGAGATAAACCTGATGCTGTCACAAAGCTCACAGACAACCACTTCTGTTCTGATTACGAGGATGTACCTTCCTTCAAATGTACCCTGAAGTTTTCTAAAGTCACAGCCCAGTGTAGTGACCAGAAACTTTGTTTTCCCCTAGCCTTTTTGCCTTTTTTCATGAGAAGAAGATCCTTTTCCCCGGCCCCTGGTTTCATATGGAAATCAGGATTCATGCCCCTTGTTCATATACTTTAAGTACTCCTTATCTCATAGCAGCTAAACTCCCAGCAAATACTGCCCCTTAAAAAAACAAGAAACCCACAACACAGAAGCCCTTTGACTTCAGCTCCACTCATTGTTTTGCTTTTCTGTTCTATATTTGGTTCACTGAGAGATTTATCTGTTTCTGAGATTGTGTCTTTTGGTGTTTTAATATTTCATTGAACATTGCTAAGTATTGGAGTGTTTTATATCATAAACTTATGATTATTGTGATTGAAAACACCCTAAAGGTGGAGTTTAAAATATTAATTGAGGAATGTTTTCAGAGAAGTTTAAAAGCATTTGGAAAAAAATAAAATTGGGTCCCTACCTCATATCTCTTACTAAAACAAATTCTCAATGGATTAAAGATTTAAACTTTGAAATAAAGCTGCTGAAATATTATAAAATACCTTAGGGTAGACAAAAGTTTTTAAAATACAAGTGCTAAAGACATACAAGTGCTAAACATAAAGGGAAAAACTGATAAATGTGACTATATTAAAATTAGAAACTTATGTTCATCAAAAGACACCATTAAGAGAGTAAAACAGCAAGCCACAGACTGGAAGAAGATATTTGCATGATGCATATCCAGTAAAGAACTCATATTCTAGAATATACTTTCTTTTAAACTACTAATCAATAAAAGAGACAAAAAAAAACAAAAAACAAAAAAACAACCAACCAACCCTCAAAAACCTAACCTCATTTTAAAAAATAGGCAAGAAATCGGAAAAGGCACCTTACAATATATGATATCTAAGAATCCAATAAACATATGAAAAGGTGATATATACCGTTTGTCATCACAGAAATACAAACTAAAATCACAATGAGAAACCACCATCCCCTCATCTGAATGTTGGTGAGGATGTGGAGACACTAAAACTCTAAAAAATTGCTGGTGGGAATGTAAAATGGTAAAACCACTTAGAAAACTGGCAATATGTACTAAAGATAACTATAGGCCTAGTAAAGGTCAAATAGATTAAGTCATAGGCCCACTTAAAGTCACATAAAAAGGAAGTAAAAGCAATGTCTATCAGATGTCTGAGGCTTTGTTCTTTACTGCTATTCCTACATAACCCAGGTCTTGTACAAACACACCAATGCCTTAAATGGACTTGATGTCTCTTTCTGGTTCAATGTTATTTGTATTTGTTTAAAATGGAAGACTTTATCACAGCCCAGCCCTTGGTCAATTGTCGCGGTTTATTGAACCTTAATAGGAACCTAGAACTAAAATACCAGGTAAGAATTAGAAGAAGCATCACATAAACTATTAGTGGTTGTTTTTCTGATTTTAAGTTGAATAAAATCCTTCCCAATATACATCAGAATTATTTTTTAAACTAAATTGCCTTGCTACTCTTTCTCTTGGTTGAAATCCTCGGGGTTCAGAATATCCTCAATTCCTAACTCTAATAAAAATTCAAGGCTATGGCCTTGCCTAGTACTTATTTTGTTTCTGATGTCATCTGTCTATCACCTTAGATCGCTGCCTAACCTCATGTTTGTGAGTCTACTAAAGCTGCCAATATGTTATTACTTCAGGATCTCATCTGAAGTCCTTTACCTAGAAATCACCACAGGTTTTTCTTCTAGAAAATGCTTTTCACTCCTGTTGCTCATCAGGATCCAGTAAATCTGCATCACTAGACTAAAATTTATGACCTTTGTGGTCAAAACTTTTTAAAGCTTTTCCAAATCTTTGTCTTTTGGGCAATCCTAAACTGCTGCTTTCACAGCCAGTTGATGGGTTTCCAATCATATAGACACACCACACACGAACACCTGAACATTCCTGGGATAAATAATATTGCCACATTGATCTGCTAAGTTAATAAGTCTTACTAATATTGTATTGGAGCCTAAAACTTATGCATTAAACATTCCATTAAAAAGCAGCAGCATAGGGTGTAGTGGCACATGCCTGTAGGCCCAGCTATTTGGGAGGCTGACGTAGGATTGCTTGAACACAGGAGCTCAAGACCAGCCTGCTAGCCAACACTGTAAGACTCTATCTCAAAAAAAAAAAAAAAAAAAAAAAGCAGTAGCTTAGAAACCATAAAAGTTTAATTTGTATTCATTTATTTAATAATAGTATTATTCACCCTGGAGGTCCCTCAACTAATTAGAAATCTTTTTTAAAACACTGAAAAATTTTAGACAGTACCTAAGGGACAGAAAGAAGACTCAAATTTCAGTCAAAAGCCTGACTATTACAAACAGTTTGCTGGAACAAAGTGAAACAAAGAAATCTCCTCAGATGTCAACCTTTTCCCCAGAGATCAAGAGGCTTGGGCATGGACAGGAGCAAGGAAGAGTACACTTCTGAGCTCTGAATCTGCAGGAGAGCGTTTTCTTGATTGATTAAAGCAGGAAAAAAGGATATGAATTAAAGCAATCTGGCTAAATGAGAGAACAGGTTAGTAATGACTTTTTCCTCCTTAAGAAATTTTATGACGATTCTACACATGTGGGACTGTCTAGGCGTCTCCAGCACAATTTTTTTTTTTTTTTTTGAGACGGAGTTTTGCTCTTGTTGCCCAGGCTGGAGTGCAATGGCGCAATCTTGGCTCACCACAACCTCCGTCTCCCAGTTTCAAGCAATTCTCCTGCCTCAGCCTCCCGTGTAGCTGGGATTACAGGCATGCACCACCACACCCGGTTAATTTTGTATTTTTAGTAGAGACGGGGTTTCTCCATGTTGAGGCTGGTCTCGAACTCCTGACCTCAGGTGATCTGCCTGCCTCGGCCTCCCAAAGTGCTGGGATTACAGGCGTGAGCCACCGTGCCCGGCCTGCACAATTTTCATTCTAGGCTTTGAAACTGTGAAGACTTCTTCCCTATGAACAATGAAGACTAAGCATCCTTAAACTGAAGTTAATGTTCAATTCATATAAGCCATAAATGTATATCATAGATATTGTGACACTGCTTTTTATCAGTTTGGTTCATATTGTGCTATTATATATGCCCTAATGCTCATGTTTATTTTAGAAACTGTGACCCAATGTCCTTTGTTCCTCTTCTAATTAAAAAAAAAAAAAAAAAAAAAAAAAAAACAACAACAAAAAACTGTTCCAAGTCTTAAGTTTCTTACATTTTCCTATGTTTCTGAGACTGCTCTGCCTCACTTGGCGGTGCTCCTTTCTGTCTCCAAACCTGGGTGTAAAGGTTCACAACAGTAAGATTCTGAGTCAGGAACTTAGAATCTGTAGGATGGAACTGGCCAGAAGGGTTTGAGTGAAGGCAGTGGATGTCAGGACCTAAGGCAGAATGACAATAATCAGGGATACCCCAGAACCCACTTTGCCTCTACCTTTGGCCACTTTGGAGAAGAAACTTACAGGTAAACCATTACTGGTATTAATCCTCACTCATTCTTACCAAATAATTGATGTGGTTTCTTTTTTGTTTTTTTTTTTGAGACAGAGTCTCGCTCTGTCGCCCAGCCTGGAGTGCAGTGGCGCAATCTCCGCTCACTGCAAGCTCCACCTCCCGGGTTCACGCCATTCTCCTGCCTCAGCCTCCCGAGTAGCTGGGACTACAGGCGCCCGCCACCACGTCCAGCTAATTTTTTTGTACTTTTAGTACAGACGGGGTTTCACCGTGTTAGCCAGGATGGTCTCGATCTTCCGACCTCATGATCCACCCGCCTCGGCCTCCCAAAGTGCTAGGATTACAGGCTTGACCCACCGCGCTTGGCCTGATGTGGTTTTTTTTTTTAATCTTAGAAGACATAAGGATATTTCTTAGAACCATCAGTGTCCTTATGTTATTCCCATTGTTCTCTTGATCCTTGTCAGAATTCATTTTTAGCCTTCCACAGCAAATTTCCTACAATAGCCTTCTCATACCTCCCTGGAATTATATTTCCCCAAAAGGTAATTTGTTCACCTGTTTTTTTTTTTTTTAACAAGTAGAACAGTGAATGCCAAAAATTCATAAGAATCATCATAGATAACTGTTAAAAATACAAAATACCAGTTTCCACCTCTGACTTACTGAATTAAGATCCATGGGAGGAACACAGGGATATTTACCTTTAACAGAACCCCAAGTGTTATCTTGGTTAGATAACTTTAAGATACATTGCAGAAGATCATAGTACTTCTGGTTACACATATGGTGACCATATAGTTTATCATCAAAACAGGACACTTTTGAAAGCTAAGTCAGAGCTATTAACAATTCACTGGCACACCTGGTAAAAAAATACTGGTTATTTGGGGCAATCAGAACATATGGTCATCCGAGTTGTGGATCACCATCTTCCTCCTCACCTACACCCCCTTTTTTAATAATAACTTTGAGATAAAATCCTCAAATTTCTCATACCATGCAATTCATCCACTTAATATGTCCAATTCAACGTTTTTTAGTATATTCAGAGTTTTGCAACCATCACCACAATTAATTGAGAACATTTTCATCATCGCCAAAAGAAACCCCATATCCTTTAGTAGTCACCCCCACTTCCCTTCTTATATGTGGAATCATATAATAAGTGGTCTTTCATGACTGGCTTCTTCCACTTACATAATGTTTTCAAGGTTCATCCCTGTGGTATTGTGTATCAGTACTTCATTCCTTTTTATTGCCAAATAATGTTCCATTATAAAGACATAACACATTATATTTAGCTACTCATCAGTTGATGAATATTTCTACTTTTTAGCTATTATGACTAATGCTGCTATGAACTTTTGTGCACAAGTTATGTGTGAAAGTATGTTTTCATTCCTCTTGGGTATATACCTATGTTCTCCCCCACCACCCCACCCATTTTTTTGTCACCCCTGTGCAATGCGCTTACCTTGGATGACTCTAATAGTTTTCACGAGCCATGAAGAAGAGCAACACATCAGTAAGAAGGACCTAAAAGGTAGAAAATTATGTTACTTAGATCAAAGAGCTATTTTTGTTTTAAAACTACATGTATGCCCTTTTTAGCAATGACCCAAATACTTGTTCAGAAATTAGTGATTGAGAAACAGACCCAGTGAGGGAAGGAATCAGCCTTCAATATCAACAGAAGTCCCTGCTGGGCTACTAAGGGTCCTTGCTTCAGAGTTTAAAGTCATTTATCTATGAGCAGATGGACTAATAAATTGAAGCTAATATAATGGTTCCAAAAAGCTCCTAAGGTCTTTGTTCTCTCACCAAATATTTGCATCCTGTGTCTTGAATAAAAAGTTTTAATTTCTACTTAATAGTTCACTCACTGATGACTTCTTTAATTTGGTCTTTTTCTTTAAAATGTATGACACGGGCAGGCTAAGATTTCAGGAAACGTGTTTAACCTTATAAAGATCAACACATAAGTGTAATGGTCTTATGTGAGGAGAGGCATAGTAAAGTTAGTTGTGTTAAAGTAAAATCAATACCTACAGAAGAGAAAATTAGAAACTGCTGATTTTCTGTCCCTCTTTCTTTTTTCTTGTCAACAGTCTGTGTAGGTTTGGAACTCTAGGAATCATTACATTATAAAACTCCAGGTTTTCATTCTAATGGGTTCCAGGTTTTCCTGTTATGGGGATGAAACTAGCAGACTTAGTAAATCCTTATTTATTTGTCCCAAAGGCCAGGCAATACTCTTTCTTCTCTGATGCTGGTTTCTATTCATTCACCACCTCTTCTCACATTCTTTTGCTGCCCATTATTAATCTTTCAAGCTACAGCTGGGTGGGTTCAGAACAAAACCATCAGAGGAACTGAAAAATGAAATATTTACCTGCACCAATGGGGAAAAAAGGCCTATCAACTTTATCCTTTCAATGCAATCACATTTTGAAAAAATTTATTCTACTCACTTTCTAGATAGAAGACAGGAAGTATACATACACACATATATATATTCACTCTTGGTGTTTATATATATATATATTTTTTTTTACTATCTATCCTCATTTGTAATGAGGTGTAAGATATAGAGCTCAGTTAGTTACCATGGAGACACTGGTC